>NC_000011.10:110808788-111111818 GCF_000001405.40 Homo sapiens
CTTATAACATCATGTTCAAATGTCATAATTGTAATTTCCAGGGGTGTTGGATTAGTTCACCAAAATTTGCATAGATAAAGATGCTACATTGCATTTTTTGAAGCAAACATTTTATTCAGAACACTTTTAGATTTATAGAAAAATTGAGATGATAGTGCAGAGTTCCATATATTCACACTCAGTTGCCCCTATTTTTCAAGTCTTACTTTAGTATGGTGCATTTGTTATAATTAATGAAAGAATGCTAATACATTATCATTAAAGTCATTATTTTGCTTTCCTTAGTTTTACTTAATCTCCTTTTATTGCTCCAAAATTCCATCCAGGATACCATATTACGTTTAGTCACCATGTCTCCTTAGGCATCTCTGGGCTGTGATGGTTTCTCAGGCTTTCCTTGTTTTTGATGACCTTGACAGTTTGAGCAGTGGTGGTCAGATATTTTGTAGAATGTCCCTCAGTTGGGATTTGTCTCTATTTTTTTCATGATTAGATCGGGATATTGTGTTTTGGGGAGGCAAATCTCAGATGTAAAGTGCTATTCTCATGACATCATATCTAAGGTACATACTATCCATATGACTTATTGTTGATGTTAATCTTAGTCGCCTGGCTCAGGTAGTGTTTGTCAGGTTTCTCTACCGCAAAATTATCTTCCTTTTTTTCCGTTAAGGATTTTTTTTTAATTTTACTTTTCTATAGATTTTTGGGTTGCAGGTGGTGCTTGGTTACACCTTACCATATTGTACCCTTTGGAAGGAAGTCACTGGGCACAGTCCACACTTAAGCAGTGGGAAATTATGCTCCACCTCTTTGAGGGCAGAGTATCTACATAAATTATTTAGAACGTATTCTTGCATGGGAAATTTACATTGCATTTTAAAAAGCAGCAAAAATGCAGAAAGACTAAATTAATGCTGTTGAATAGCAAAACTGTTGAGTACATGGACATGTCTTACATTCATTTATATCTTCTACTGCACTCATCACTTCGTAATAATAGTAGTTAACACAACTCAACCTATTGAGTTGTTGTCAAACAAATTCAGTCTTCTCAACAAAACTATTGAATTGCTACTATGATTACAGGAATTTTGCAGATGAAGAAACTGAAGCTTAGGGAGGTTAGAGTTATGAGCAGTTACCATAAATCAAATAACGTTACTTTCTTGCTTAAAAATTTAGTGGTTTGTGGTTTCAATTATAATAAATTCAACCTCCTTATCTTGGCCTTCAGACCCTGTATAATACAGCCTAACTTATTTCTCTTGCTTCTCTCCTACCTATCTTCCCTTCCTTCACTATGCTTCAGTCTCAGGGGCCTTCCTTCTGTTCAAACCTCAACAAAATCTTGCTTTAGAGCCTCTGGATTTTCTGCTTTCTTGGTCCCAGATCTTCGAATATCTAGATCCTTCTTATCAATGTTACTTTTCTGCTTAAGAATTTAGTGATTTCTGATTGAGGAGTGGTGGTTATTTTGTAGATCTATCAGATTGCAGGCCAAATCTCATCTTTTAAAAGGGGCCTTTCCTGACATTCCATTTTAAATTAGTTCTCTTCTTCCCAGAATCATTCTCTATCCCTTCCCCTGTGTCATTTTCTGCATAGCAGTTGTGACTCTGGGACGATTTCAGTAATGCATCTTTATTTCCCTCTAGGTTATGAACTCATGAGAATAAAGTTCGTGCCTATTTTGCTCACTGCTGTGTTCCCAGAGCCTAGAACAGTACCTGGCATATAGAAGGCACTTGGTAAATGTTGCTGCAGGAACGAAGAAAAGAGTAACCTGACCCAAGGAACAAGATAAGTAGGCAGCAGAGCTGGTATTCAAACTCATATCCTTCTGATAGCAGAACAAACTTGTAACATTTGCTGTAAACTCAAATAGGCACTCGGTAAGCATGCTGATTTGATCCAGCAACAATATACTCAGAGACTGAAGACAAGGACCTGATGGTTCTTAACTCCCATTAGTAACCTCAGGTCAGGATGCCCTACTTGCCAGCCCTGTCATTTGAGGCAAGCTACACAATCTGCCAAGTCAAGTTTCTCTGTCTATAAAACGGGATAAAAATACTGCTTACCTCACACAGTTTTTGTGAGAATAAGATAAACATATGAAAAGTGTACTGAAAACTAAAAAACATGATATAAAGTTTATTTATTAGTTTTTATCAAAAAGAAAAATACACATTTTTTTTCCTGGGTCTTTCCCATGGGGTATTGTTTTGATTTCTGGTCTCACTCTGACACCCACGCCAAAGTGCAGTGGTGTGATCTCAGCTCACTGCAGCCTCAACCTCCATGTGGTGGGGAAGATGTGGTGGTGAGAAGAGGACCAGGTTGGGAAGGAGACACTGAGCTCTGTTTGGACTGGCTTGGACAATGTCATGACTCTGTATGCTGAGATGTCTTACATTCATTTATATCTTCTACTACACTCATCACTTCATAATAATAGTAGTTTACATAACTCAGTGTATTGAGTTGTTGTCAAACAAATTCAATCTTCTCAACAAAACTATGCTACTATGCAAAACTATAGCTACTATGATTACAAGAATTTTGCAAATGAAGGCAAATGAGGCCTACAAATACATGTTTTGTCAGTACATTCACTTTAGCAAACATTGGAAGCAGAATATACTACAGGTGTTTAAGGTTATTTTTCTCCCCTGGCTTCTGGGGATACACCTGCCTACTATGTGTTGAATTACATCCCCTTAAAATTCATATATTGAAGGCTTAAACCCTGGTATCTCAGAACGAGACTGTTTTGGAGATGAGGGTCTTTAAGGAAGTGATTAATTTAAAATGAGGCTGTTATGGTGGACCCTAATCCCACATGACTGGTATCCTTATAAGAGGAAATTTGGACACATGGAGAGATACTAAGGATGTGTGTAGTATTAGTCTGTTTTCATGCTGCTGATGAAGACATACCAGATACTGGGAAGTTTATAAAGGAAAAGAGGTTTAATGGACTCACAGTTCCCACGTGGTTGGGAAGGCTTCACAATCATGACAGAAGAGCAAGGGAGAGCAAAGGGATATCTTACATGGTGGCCGGAAAAGAAAGAATGAGAGCCAAGCAAAGGGGGTTTCCTCTTATAATACCATCAGATCTCATGAGACTTCCATTCACTATCATGAGAACAGTATGGGGGAAACTGCTCCCATATTTCAATTATCTCTCATCAGGTCACTCCCACAGCACGTGGGAATTATGGGAGCTACAATTCAAGATGAGATTTGGGTGAGGACAGAGCCAAACCATAGCATGCATGCACAGAGGAAAGGCCGTATGAGGACATGGTGAGAAAGCCATGGTCTGCAAGCCAAGGACAGTGGCCGCAGGAGAAACTAAACCTGCCAACATCTTGATCTAGACTTCTCATCTCCAGAATTGTGAGAGAATACATTTATGTTCTTTAAGCCACCCAAGCAGACTATTATATTACCCAAGTGAGAATTCATTTCCTTGAGAACTAACCACTACGTGTGATTCACTCTGTAGTTTGAAGAAGCCCGTGTGTCCCAGAGTGTGGGGACAATTACCCCCAACAGGAATATGCAATGGGACATGTGGATAATCGTGTTTTGGACAGCAAGTTCAGTTTACTACCCCAGAGCTTAAAGTGAATTTGAATTTGTAGCAATGGTGTTCAAGAGTGGATGGATTTTTGTGAGATTTCTCTTGTAATTTTTCAGAGCTCAGTATACTGAATTGTATTTGCTTCCTCTTTTAGGGTTTCAGTAACACACAAACAAGATGATGAATCTCTGCTTTAAATAGATGCTTAAAATGTTTTCCTGTGTGTTGAGAAGGAATGGGTAGGGTTCTCAGTGATTTGGTCCACTCAGCTCACTTTATGAAGGACACAATGTGGTACTTGTTTTGTGGCAAGAGTTGGAACTAAAATGCAAGTCATCTGACCCCCAGAGCAGTGCCCTGGCCATACCATCTATTCAACTAGATTATATATTGGAAAATAGTCACATTTTTGTAATGTTTTTCAGCTTTTGCACTTGTTCCCTTATTTTTGGCACTTGTTTCCTCATGTCATCTGCTACTCTTCAGTTCAACACTAACTTTGGTTTAACAGTACTGTATATTGACTTCTGTCTTGTAAGCCTATGTGTATTCTCCTTTACTCAAATCATTGCAAATGCAGAGATTTGCTTGCAGAAATGTCCAGAAGTCCTTTGTAGCTGCCAAAGGGCTGGTAAGCTTAGAGTGTAAGTGGAAATGATTATAAGTCTCTCTGTGGAAGTGCTTCTCAGCCAAGAAGCCATTTAAAAGAAATGTCTTTTGTAAGCTTCAATTAACAGAACTTCTAAATTATTTGTTATGTGTATTTTTTCTTATTTAACTCATGAATTTAGAAGCTGATAAAAATTTTTAAGTAAAAAATTTTTAATTATGGTAATTACACATAATCTAAAATTTACCATGGTAATTTTTTTTTTAAGAGACAGGGTCTTACTCTGTCACCCAGGCTGGAGTGCATTGGTGCGATCATAGCTCACTGCACCCTTGAACTCCTGACCTCAAGCAATCCTCCTATCTCGATCTCTCAAAGTGTTAGGATAGGTTAAGACCATACTGGCCTTAACCATTTTTAAGTCTACAGTTCAGTAGTGTTAAGTATATTCACATTGTTAGGTAAACAATATCTAGAACTTGTTCATCTTGAAAACGGAAACTTTATACCCATTAAACAACTCCCCATTATCCCCTTCCCCCAGCCCCTGGCAACCACCATTCTACTTTCTGTCTCTATGAATTTGACTACTCTAAGTTCCTTATGTAAGTAGAATTATACAACATCTGTCCTTTTGTGTCTAGTTTATTTCACTTGGCATACTGTCCTCAAAGATCATTCATGTTGTAGCATGTGTCAGAATTTCCTTCCTTTATAAGACTGAATAATATTCAGTAGTATGTATGTACCATGTTTTGTTTATCCGTTCGTCTATTGATGGACACTTGGGTTTCTTCCACTTCTTGGCTATTATGAATAATGCTCCTATAAAGCTGGGTGTACAAATATTTCTTTAATACCATGCTTTCAATTCTTTTGGGCATATACTCAGGAGTGGGATTTCTGGATCATATGGTAATTCTGTATTTAATTTTTTGAGGAACCGCCATATTGTTTTCCATAGTGGCTGTATCATTTTACATTTCCATGTGCATAAGAGTTCCAATTTTTCTACATCCTTGTCAAAACTTATTGTTTTCTGTTTTGTAAATGTAGTCATCCTAATGAGAATCAGGTAGTATCTCACTGAAGTTTTTATTGCATTCCCTTAATGATTAATGATATTGGGTATCATTTCATACACTTGTTAGCAGTTTGTATGAACATTGGAGATGTGTCTATTAAATTCTATGCCTATTTTTAAATCTGATTATTTATTTTATTGTTCTTGAGTTATAGGATTTCTTTATATATTTGGATATTAACCTCTTATTATCAGAAATGATTTGCAAATATTTTCTCCCACTCCATATGTTGCCTCTTCACTCTGTTGATGCTATCCTTGATACAAAGAAGTTTTTTATTTTAATAAAGTCCAATTTGCCTGTTTTAACTTTTGTTGCCTATGTTTTTGGTGACTTAGCCAAAAAAAAATTGTCAAATCTGATGTCATGAAGTTTTTCCTCATTTTTCTTCTATGAGTTCTATAGTTGTAGTTCTCAAGTTTAGGTTTTTATGCATTTTGAGCTGATTTTTGTGTATGATGTGAAGTAAGGGTCCCGCTTTATTCTTTTACATGTAGAAATCCACTTTAACAAAGCTGTTTGTTGAAGAAACTTCCTTTTTTGTTGGATACACTTGGTATCATTGTCAAAAATCATTTGACATTTGAGTGTATATGAAAAGGTTGACTTTGGGGGTCTCTGGTCTCTATTTAATTCCATTTGTCGATATGTCTGTCTTTCTGCCAGTACCACACTATTTTGATTACTGTAGCCTTGTAATAAGTACTGAAATTGGGAAGTGTGAGACAGCCAACTTTGTTCTTCTTTTCTAAGATTGTTTTGTCTATTTAGGGTCCCTTGAGATTCCATATAGATTTTAGGATAAAACTTTCTATTATTTTTGTCTTTAAATTTTTTTCCAGCACTGTTTTGTAGTTTTTAATGTATACATTTTTTTTGCCTCCTTGGTTAACTTTATTCAAAAGTGTTTGATTCTTTTTTATGCTATTATGAATGAAATTATTTTCTTGTCAGATTGTTCATTGTTAGTACATAGAAATGTAACTAATTTTTGCATGTTGATTTTGTATCCTATAACTTTGCTGAATTTCTTAGTTTTTTGTGTAGAATCTTCTTGGCTTTCTACATATAAGATCATGTTTTCTGAAAACAGAGATAATTTTACTTCTTCCTTTCCAATTTGGATGTCTTGTCTTTTAATTCTTTTTCTTGTCTAATTGCTCTGGCTAGGACTTCCAGTATTATATTGAATAGAAGGGGCTAAAGTAGACATCTTTGCTACTGAATAAAAAATTATCCTGTGTCAAAGAAATAGGAACATATAAAAAACTTATTTCAAAGGAAAACACTGAAGCTGACAAAAGTCAGAGGAATTTCTGAAGAGATAGTCATAGGCTTTTGAGTTGCTTTCCTGTGTACTCCAGCAGGGACAGTGGCCTAGGTCAAGATCACATTCAACAAACATTTATGGACAAACAGATGTTAATCTAGGTAGTGAAGAATTAGGGAGCAAGATGGCCAGGTCCCTGCTTTCATGGAGCTTACAGTCTAGTTACAGTGAATATTATACATGTCTTGGGGAGGGGCAAACTACAATCAAATAACAAAAACATTTTTCAAGAGATAAGTTTGTGTCCCAGTCACACTTGAATTACTCACCTTTACACGAAGGACATTAAAATTTTCATCCACAGAGATGTCTCCTCTAGGACTGTAGAAGATTTTCCTCTAGATCCCAGATGATTCAGCTTGGAGGTGCTGTTTAGCAATCGTGATGGTTAACGATTTTCTTGGGGTCTTGAGTCTTGACATTTTATATATGAACTCTTGGAAGAATAAGGTGTCTTTATCTAACTGTTCCCTGATTTTTGAGTCTTCCTTTCCATATGGAAAGCTGACTGCCTCCTAAAGCAAGTGACTCATTCCTTTTTTTTGAATGGCTCTGTCTTAGAAAGATCTTCCATATACTAAGCCAATAGTTATCTCACTGTAATGTCCTCTAAATTGTTCCTATTTCTTTTTGTACTCTGCTCAAACAGGTATGGAGCTGGAATTTTGGCCCATCTTACGTGTGATATTTAAACAACACTGAAGGCTGCTTCTTGTCCTTGGCATAGTGATGTATAAAACAAACAACCCCATCACAATTTTGCCAGACAAAAGTAACTGCCTGGCAAGATGGAAAAATTCAGTGTGAAGAAGACAGAAAACAAACAAACAAACAAACAAAAAAACCAGAACCCCAAAGACACCCTCAAATCACCATAAAAATGTGTTTCTTTCACTGCAAATATTTCAGCAGGGCCTGTTCCTTACCATAGGGTAATTTTGAGGAACTCTACATTTAATCCCCAGGGCTGACCAAAGCTATGGTGATACGGTTTAGCTCTGTGTCCCCACCCAAAACTCACCTTGAATTATATTCTCATAATTCCCATGTGTTGTGGGAGGGACCCAGTGGGAGATAATTGAATCATGTGGGCAGTTTTCCCCATTCTGTTCTCATGGTGGTGAATAAGTCTAATGAGATCTGATGGCTTTATCAGGGGTCTCCGCTTTTGCATCTTCCTCATTGTCTCTTTGCCTGCTGTTGTCCATGTAAGATGTGACTTGTTCCTCCTTGCCTTCCACCATGATTGTGAGGCTTCCCCAGCCACATGGAACTGTAAGTCCAATTAAACCTCTTTCTTTTGTAAATTGTCCAGTCTCAGCTATGTCTTTATAAACAGTGTGAAAATGGAGTAATACACATAGTGAGCACCAAGCACAGAGGTTAACAAATAAGGAGAGAAAGAAAGAGGTCAGATTTGGGTAGTGAACTATGCTGAATTAGCTGCTCTGCTTGGATCAGTGGTGCAAGCAGAAGAAAGAAAGGTGGCCTTCATAGAAAAGACAACTGGGAAAGTGTCTTTTTAAAAGCAGGAGGATTCTCTCACATCGATAAGAGAAAAAGCATACATTTGGAGAGAAATAATTAGCTATGCTTAATATAGAACATCCTATACAAATGCCTGTACCTAAGAATGGCTATCTAAATACTGAATGTACATTAATTATAATCATTAAAACATGAAACCATAGAAATATAGACAATGGAGGACTGTATATTGAACATAGTTCAAGAAGGTGATTTTTTTCTTTGCATTTTTTGAGCAGTGTACCTTCTTAGAACTAAAGAGGATGTTTTTGCATTATCATACCAGTTTTTTTTTTCTTTTTTTTGAGATGGGGTCTCGCTCTGTCACCCAGGCTGGAGTGCAGTGGCACTGATCTCTGCTCACTGCAAGCTCTGCCTCCTGGGTTCATGCCATTCTCCTGCCTCAGCCTCCAGAGTAGCTGGGACTACAGGTGCACACCACCACGCCCGGCTAATTTTTTTTGTATTTTTAGTAGAGACTGGGTTTCTCTGCATTAGCCAGGATGGTCTCGATCTCCTGACCTCATGATCCACCCTCCTCGGCCTCCCAAAGTGCTGGGATTAGAGGATACCAGTTCTTAGTCTTTGATCCATACACTTGTTCTCAGGATCATATCAATAGCTAAATTTTACTGAAGCACCTATGGAGCAATGTCTTCATATCATCCCATGAAAGGCTCATCTTATAAAATGAGTATAATACTCTCCTTATTTTTTAAGTGTAGAAACTAATGATTTGTGAAAGCAAGCAAATTGCTCAAGTTCATACAACCAGTGAATGACAGACCCAGGCTTTGAACTCAGGATAAGGGCCATAGAGTTTGGGCATGTGATGTCCACCCTGGCCCCATCCAGCTGTTGGTGAGCAAGTAGGACCAATGGGGAGAAAAACAAATGAAGTGGTAGACACCCATGTTTCTCCTAAGGGCAATCTTGGATCTGAATGAAATGTTATCTGAGATGAGGCTTGAGAGATAAATAGGTGGTGATTCTGCATTAGAAGGCAGAAAAAAGGTTGGAAGGAACAGTATATGCAAAAGCATGAAGGAAAGTGAATGTATGTGATACTATGAAACATCCATATACATGAGTGTGGCAAGGACAGGACAGGAGTGGGTGTGACAGTTTGTACTTTTCAAAGATGACTGCAGCAGTATCTCCTGTCCTGTATGCTCTTCCACAACCTTGCCACTGACCCATCACCCGATAGAATCTGATTTTTCTGCCTTTCAGTATGGGTGAGCTTATGACTCACTTGTGCCTAATATAAAGCGATGGAAGTGGCACTGAGTGGTTTCTGAGGTTAGATCATAAAACATGATGCAACTTTTACATTGTTAGCTGAAATACTCACCTTTGGAGCCCTGAATTTCCATATAAGAACTGCAATGACCTTGAGGCCGCCATGCTACGAAGTCTGGGCCATGAGGAAAAGCCATTTGTAGGTGTTCTGGCTGAGAGTCATAGATGAAGTCTCAGCCGACAGCCAACATCAACCACTAGACATGTGCGTGGAGACATTTACAGATTCTAATCTCTAGCTGTCAAATCACTCCAGCCTTTAAGTCTTCCCAGCTGAGGACCCAGACATACAGCAGAAATAACTGTCCTCACTGTACCCTGTCTGTGCTGCTGATCAGTGTTTTATGCCACTAAGCTTTGGGATGACTTGTTATGCAGCTGTAGTAACTGGAACAGGTGGTTGTATTATGTAAATAGTTGATTAAATGTGTCTGGAATTCAGAAGAGATATATGGTTGAAAATTTAGCCCTCAGAGTTTTCAGCATTATAAGTGATAGCTGAAATCTTAAGAGGAAATGAGATAATCCAGAGAACGATGTAGGATTAAAGGAGAAGAGGGTAAGAATTTAACCCTGGTAAATGTCAACACTGAAGAACAGAAAAAGGACACAGAACAAGAAAAAGTCCAAGAAGAAAGCATCAGAGGAAGGACTGGAACCTGGAAAGGGGGTTATTAAGGAAGGCAGTGCATGAGAATGTTTTATGACAGATGAAGAGGTCAACATTCCCAGATGCTGTAGAGAAGGCATTGGAAAGGTGACCACGGGTTTAACAGCCAAAAGTTGACATTGTCCAGAGCAGCTTCAGAGAGAAATGAGGATGCAGGACAGTCTGAGGTGTGGCAAAGATTGGGTGCCTTGGATAGTAGGTGCTTGATAAATATTTATGGAATGAATGAATTTGAGGTGATGAAATAGACAAAAGTAAGTTGGAAGAAGAGAGCTGGAGAAAAGTGAGGATCAAAAGAGTTGAGGAAGAGGAAGAGAAGAGATTTTAGCATTTGTAGCATTTGTGGGTGGAGCTGCATAGGTCTCTCCCACCAGCTGCCTTTTGCTGGCCTCTCCGATACCAGGGCTGGGGTGGGACTTGTACAGGCCCTGCTGCAAGCACCCCAGAGTAGCAAGGCTGTTCCAAAGTCCCAACCCTGAGTACTTTCCACCACATAACAGCACTGTCTGGATGACAGTGACATGGGTGAGTTGCTAACACTTCCCAGAACGTGCAGTCTTTTGTTTAATAAGGGAGTAGGGATTGGGAGGAGGGAGCAGTCAGCCTGCTATAAAACAGGATCATGAACTGTGGTCTAATATACAAGGGCCATGGATAAAATTAAGAACAACATCTATTCTGACAGCACCTCCTTTCTTCCAAGAGCCCATAACACTTAATCCAGCACAATTCCCATGTGAGTATTTGGGTAGGGGAAGGAGGAGGGATGCAGAATAATCCTTTCAGACAACTTCATTTTCTAATTTTCCCTTATATCCAGGTTTAGAACCAAACACTTTGCTGTTTTCCCGTAATAGACTTTTTATTGACTTTACAGTTTCTGTTTTACATTATCAATTTAAGCTGGTGTTGAAGTAAATTTGCCTGCCACAGATTCTTGACAAGTTGGCTTAGGGATGATTTATGCCCCAAACCCAATGTTTACTAAGTAAGGAGAATCCTTGTCTAAATATACATTGTAATACAGAATTAAAGGGATATATTTTCTCACTCTATTATCCAAGCTGGAGTGCAGTGGTGTGATCATAGCTCATTGCAACCTCGAACTCAGGCTCAAGAGATCCTCTTGCCTCACTCTCCCAAGTATCTGGGTCTACAGGCTCACACCATCATTTCTGGCTAATTTTTTTTCTTTTTCTTTCTGTAGAGACAGGGTGTCATTATGTTACCCAGGCTGGTCTTGAACTCATGGCTTCAAGCGATCCTCCCACCTTGGCCTGCTGGGATTATAGGCGTGAGCCACCATGCCCAACAGATATTATTTTAATTTGGCTTTCACTTAAGCCTCACTGATTTTCTGCTGAGCTGAGGTCTGTCCTGGGCTGGAGAAATTCTAGGTTGATGGAAAATTGTGAATGCTTAAAGCTGGTTTGGAAAATGAGTGAATCTTTGCAAAATCATGTGCTTAAGAGACCAACTTATACTAATCAGGATAGCAAAAATCCTTTAAGAAATGATAATTAAAGTACTTCTGCCTTGTATTTGCTTGCCAAATATTGCAGGGGGATAGACTTCTCCAGGCTGTATTCTAAAGCAGCTTCTTATGAAAAACGGTTAGAATCTCCATTGACATCAAATAATCAACCTGTTCTAAAGAAAAATCAGCCTTTGATTCTTCTCCATGCCCTAGGACCTTGCTTGCAAATGAGTGCATGACACTGTTTTCCTCTTACTATGCCATTAAAACCAAATGAAGAAGCTGTCAACTGCATGCCATTTCTCCTGTCAAATTATTATGAGACATAAGTGTCTCATAATTTGCCTCTTCCAATCTCCCCAAACTTGATATAAACTATATATATGTTAGTGTTCAAAAGGTATATTTCTTTACATATAGGCAATGGCTTCATTTAAGAAGAACACAAAAGTCAAGTCTCAGAGTCAACAGAGTGGCTGCATCTACAGACATGACGGATTGCAGAATGGGCTATGTAAGGTGGAATCTGCCAGGTGGACACCAGGGAAGATACCCCAGTCTGTGTCTGGAGTGACAAGTTTTCAGAGTCAGCCTTGCTGGGGCTCTTCTTCCTTCCCCAGATGTTGTGATGGTTAATTGAATCTGTCAACTTGAGTGGGCCACAGAATGCCCAGGTATTTGGCTATGCATTATTCTGGATGTGTCCATGAGGGGTTTCTGGATTAACTGAACATTTGAATCTGTAAACTGAGTAAAGCAGATTGTTCTCCCCAGTGGTGGTGAGCCCCATCTAATCTGTTGAAGGCCTGAATAGAAAAAAGGCTGAGCAAGAGAGCGTTTGCTCTCTGCCTGCTGGCCTCTTAGCTGGGGTCTTCTCTCCCCTCCCTTCAGACTGACTAGGACTGTAATTTACACCATAGGCTCTCCTGAGTCTCAGGCCATCAGCCTGCAGATCTTGGTACTTCTCGGCCTCCATAATCATGTGAACCAGTTTCTTTATCATAAATCTCTTTATGTATAACCTTATTGGTTCTGTTCCTCTGGAGAGGCTCTGTCTAATTCAGGCCTCCTGTCATGATATTCCTGGTCTACCGTGCAGGCTGCAACAACAGATGGGAATTCTGACAAAGTCATGATGTTGCGAACTGGGCATTGTGACCCAATGTTTCACACACAGTGGAGGCCTCTCTCGCACCCAGAGAAGAGACTGTGTTTCTGTTCAATCAGATTAAATTGGTGGGGGCCATCACATGATTACACGATGATCTCCCTCCCGCTTCCAATCTTTCTTGGGTTGTTTGATGTGAAAGGTCATTTATAGGGAGTTTGAAGAGAAAAGTTTAGAGCAGATGAACAACAAATTGCTAAAGCAATTAAAAATTCTTGATCATCCTGGGTCTGATTGTCTAGTTTGTCAATTATTTAGGCTCTTTAATGTTGGTCTCTCCAGCTGCTGAGCTGCTTGCAGGTTATTTAACATGAACTAGCAACTCAATTTGAAGAAGGCCATGAGGAATGGCATTGGAAGAAAGGAAAGCAGAAGCAGTTGATGTTGCTGCTTTCCTTCTTTCTGGTCTAGATGAGGTTAGAGATTACACCTGGATTTTTTGGTACCCTTTACTAGGGGAAAAAGTAAAGAGTATGCCTCACCTCAAAAGGTCAGTTCCTATTCCTATGCTGTCACAATTTAGGAGACAGGCATGTCAGCAAGTTTGTTAAAATGGCAACTGGTAATTTTGCAAATCCAAGGAGACCTGGGGGAGAGGTTGTGTGAGCCTTCAAGGGAAGACACGTTTCAAAAATATGACTCAGGCACTCAAATGCTTGCTTAACATTTATTTGAGACATATAAAGTATTTCCACAAGAAAATCTAAATAAACCCGCAAATACTGAGTAGACGGACACAGAATGGAGCATGAGAAAGAAACCAAAAGGAGGCATGGGCAACAGTCAAACCTGACTCCCTGTTTACAGTGTGGTCTTGGGTACATCACTCCACCTCTTTGGGCTTCTACTGTCATGATGTCACATGAACCACATGAGGAGGTGGGTTCTGATGAGTGTTTCTCAAACTGTGTGTCATGATGTCCCATTGTCTGCAGAAGTGAGGATAGGCTTGCGGGGTAGGGGAGTTCTCAATTATCCCTACCCCTACTTCAACTCGAGAAGCTCCATTTTTATCTATTTTATATACATGTGGGGCTTCCACACAATATTTCATTTGAAGAAAAGTTTCCATAAGTAAAAGGAGCTTACATATCTTTGACGGGATGACCTCTAAGCCTCCTCATGGCCATAATAGTTTGTGTAATTATTTCAATGCTCCTCGCTAAGAGGTTAATCTCTTGGTGAGAGTAATCTCATGTCAGAGTCGCACCTAAGTGTTTACAAGTGGCCATAGTTTTGTTGTCCATTCATTCACTGTGTTTTGTTGGTTCACTATTGCAATTTTAAAAGTTCCTGTAAGAAACAATGGTTAAATTTATCATAAATTTTTCTTTATGATCTTTTCTTACTTTTACTTCTTTAAGTGTTTGATTTTATTTTGGAGTCTCACAAGTTCCCAAATTAGATATTATTTCAGTCAGAGAAAACAACTGAAAGTTCCCCAAGTCCAAGATAAAATATCAAAAACAAACAAACAAACAAACAAAAACCAAGACCATTTGGCATGCATGTTAATATAAATGGGAGGAATTCCCTGGAACTTCATCTACAGAACCTAAAATTGCATTTGGTACACAACGTCTTATTGGGATAGCTTAGCATCTTCATAAACCTTCTATTCTCCAGGCAGAGTTAATCAAAGTTCTGGGTCTTGCTGGAGAGAGGATATCTAAATCTTATCTTGTATTAACTTTTTCCCTGCTATAAAAGTGAGTTATGACATAATGAGATACATTTATAGAAAAAATAAAAGCAAATTGGCTGAGATGAGAGGATCTCTTGAGCCTAGGAGGTCAAGGCTACAGTGAGCTATGGTCATGCTGTCATGCCACGGCACTCCAGCCTAGGCGATAGAGTGAGAATCTGTCTCAAAATAAAAATAAATAAATAAGTAAAATAAAAACATCAGCAAAGATTTGTAAAAGTAGAAATACTCAAAGCTGTCAAGGAAACAATGTGACACTCTTAAACACTTTCCTTCTTTGCTGGTGGGAGCTCAGATTGGTAAATTGTTTCTAGAAAGTGAGACCGTAGCTGCAGTGAGCTATGGTTGTGCTTCCATACTCCAGCCTGGGTGATAGAGTGAAACCCTGTCTCTAAACACAAAAAACAAAACCCCCAACCTTATGATGTCTTAACAAATGCAGAATCTTTTATTCTTGGTGTCTCAACCAGTTTTAATTCTTTTAGAATTTGTTTCTTTTAATGTATATACAGTCTATTAAAGAAATAAGACATTTTTAGGGTCATAAAGCCAGGTCTGTGTTTTCAAAGAGGAGCTTGAACTATGTACCTCCAAATGTCACTACTGCCTAAAAAATAAGAATTAACTTCTTTATTATTGCTGTTGTTGTTACTGTTTAAAAGTGTCCCAGGAAAAACTCATAAAGTAAAAACATTAGACTCTGTCCT
Source organism: Homo sapiens (assembly GCF_000001405.40). Lineage (NCBI taxonomy): Eukaryota > Metazoa > Chordata > Mammalia > Primates > Hominidae > Homo > Homo sapiens. The sequence continues at coordinate 110,823,965 of NC_000011.10, forward strand.
CTGGTCTTTTAGATAATTTTCATTTATAGTTCCAAGATTCTATAATGAGGCCCTCACTAACTAGGACAAAAAATGGGAAAAATCCTTTTATCAACATTCAGGGAACCATTTTCTATTGGCTTTTAGTAAAGTTTTTACAACTCTTGCCAAGACTCCATGAGGAAAATTACTCAGCAAGTACTTAGTCAAGCATGGCTGCTGATAAACCCATCCTTCTTGGTGATCCACTCACTTTCCATCCTCACAGACAGACATGGCCGTTGTCATCAGAATTAGTAGGGAGCAAAACCCTATTTATAAAGACCACTCATGAGCAAAATCAGTCTAAGGAAAGGCATTCCATCTTTGTCCATCTCTATCTCTCTATCAATCTCCATCTCCATCTCTATCTGTCTACATTTCTATCTCATCTAACTATCTCTCTTCTATGCATCCATCCCTCTGTCTCTGTCTCTATCTCTGCATCCATACTATCTATCTATCTATCTATCTATCTATCTATCTATCTATCTATCTACCTAATCTATCATCCAACCATCTATATCTATCTATGTTTCTATGTATGTGTGTATGTATGTATGTATGCATGCATGTATGCATGTATGTATGCATGTATCTATCTATCTATCATCTGCTCACTCTGCTATAAAGCTCAGGAGTACAGGGACTTTACTCATACCTGTGTGTCCCACAGCACCTTAACTAAGAAATTAGACAATGTTTGAAGAATCTAATTACATAGCATCATTTTTCACATGTCTAAAAACCAAAATTCAAGAGACAGAAAGATAGCTGTAGACTTCGTAACCCAATTATCACCATTTCTAATTAGATAAGTTAAAATGGACATATTCCCAAGAAATTATAGCAAGAATAACAAACTATCACTTATAAAAGGTACTAGAATCTTTTAAAAGGCATGTTAACAGACATTATCATTATTTTCCAAATGTGGTATTAACATTATCCTGATCATGTTACAAATGAGAAATCTGAGGCTCAGAGATTAGATTCCTGTATGGTCCCAAATACATATTGGCATTATAGAAATGTTTCTTTTACAAAATGCTTCTTCCTAAAAGCCTGGGTCTCATGAGTTACTGCCCGTAAGGCCCAGAACATAATAATTTGAATATTCTCCACCAAACCATGGTATTTTCAAAATAGAGAACTGAAACAACAATGGATTGTAAGGCATTTCTATCTCCTCTATATGAATAGATGCACCAAATAATTCCTTGGCAGTAGTATCTACACAAGGAATATATGTGTAAGTGACTATTATCTCAAGCCCAAACAGGTTTTCTAAAGCCAACAAACTACTCTGTGAATATAGACATTGTGTAGGAATCTGTTGCTTTGCAGCAAGTCTTCACTCATGAAAGTCTCTCTGACAACAATCTGGGCTAGGGCTTGGCACATTTCAGCCTCTCTATCCTTTATCGCATTTCTCTTCTCTGGAAATTCTGCTAGTATTTTCAGCAACCGAAACTAGATTGAGAGAGCTTCAGATTTTAGTACAAGTGTCTGATGAGACTTGCTTACTTGGATCTGGACCACATGGCCAAGTAAAAGCTGCAAATTCTAAGCTTCTGTAAAGACAAAATAGGCAAACAATCTTGAAAAGAGGGATGGTTCACTCTGGCCTAAGAGAGAAAGGTGGCTACCCAAAAAGAGCAGTGGCTACTGAGTAGAGAAGACAACAGGCAAATTTAAAAATCTTACTCCAAGAGAAGAGAAGCCAACCCACAGTTGTGGCACCAGGAGGCTTTCGGCAGTTTGGGCCGTGATATCATGATGTCTATTACTGTGACTAGATTTCTCACTGTACTTCCTGCCCTTTCAATGATGTGCCTTAAGTTTTGGCAGTAGTAGATAAACTAACTCTCTGGTTGATTTAAATTTTTAACTGAGCCTATACTTGGTTTTTAAAGTCTAGGGAATGAAGGCAGTGGGAGAATGGATGTGGTTAAGAGCTTCCTGGGGTGACCTGGTGTGTGGAAGTTCAAGCAAAAGGACAAAGCCTTTCAGCAGCCACTCCTTCCATGAATGAACACTGTACTTCTCTTCCATTAGGGTCTATACTCTCTGCTCTCTGTCTAGTGAATTAGTCTCTCTAAAGCCTCTTCTGGACAACTATGCTGGTGTTCCACTGTCCCAGGAACAAAAGTCAAACTACCTTACAGGGTTTTTCAGGCTCTTCACTAGAGGATCCAACCTACCTTCTAGTCTTATTTCCTCTTCCTACATTCATGTTTCACATAGAACCATTAGTTATTCCCTGCATATGAACCCCCAATCCCACATAGACCATGTGCCCTTTGGGCCTTTGTGATATTGCTCATTCTGCCTCAAAATACTCCTTTCCTATTTCTGTATCTCTAGATCCTATCTCCTCTTCAAGGCTCAGCTAGAGACTTCTCAATGAAGCCCTCCCTGATTTCCAGGCTCATACCAACCCATATAATCACCTGTAAGCTGGAAGTTCTCTCCTTTGTCTAGAATCTGTTGTTTATGTACATGTTTTATCTTTCTGGGCTGGTTTGAACCATCCCTGCCTCTACCCTGAAGCATTTTCTGCCTTTCAATGCCTTGTTCCATGTGCTGGAATGCTGATCCTTAACCATGTTGCCAACTGGCTCCCTTGCCTGCAAGCTTCCACTTGTGTTCAGCCAATGGCAGGTACCAGAAGAAAGATCAGCTGTTGGGAGGAGAGATCTTCCCTCTCCTCCCTGTTTTAGCACTGTGTATCCACCGGTAGTCACTTCCCTCCAAGATTACAGCTTCTGCCAAGTGACCCCTTTTCTACTCCTCGGTTCTCATGAGTCTCCAGTTACACTCTTTCCTTCTCTTGCTCCTTTGGCCATAGGAGTAGTAATGGCTCATCCCATTGCTAGTGTCTGGGTGCCTCAACAGTCCTTGTTTATTCCTATGACATACATGTCTGTAGATAGCCCTTTCATGAAAGTCTTTTTACACACACCATCTAGAGTGAGCTGTGCTCACTCAATACGGTATTGCAAAGGCCTAATGATGCATGTCTTACCTGGCACCCTGACTGATAAACACTCTTATCAGATATTCATCATGAAGGCATTATTTTCATGGTACAGGGAAATAATGTGGGGTGAGGGTCAGTTATCTGTAGAGACTTTTCATCAGAATACAGGGTATAGTGGATTGAATGGTGGCCTTCAAAGGAATATGTCCTTGTCTAATACCCAGACACTGTGAGTGCTATCTAATATGGAAAATGGGTATTGGCAGATATAGTTACATTAATACATTAATACATGTAATCTTAATTACATTAAAGTATCATCCTGTGTTATTTGGGTGGGCTCTAAATCCAATGATAAGTGTCCTTATAACAGACAGAAGAAAAGACAAATACATGAAGAAGAGTGGTGATGTGACCATGTAGGCAAAGATTGGAAGCCAAAGAATGCCAACAGCTCCCAGAAGCTGGAAGAGGTAGGGGAGAATTCTCCCCAGAACCTCCGGAGGGAGTACTACCCTGCCAACACCTTGATCTTGTACTGCTGGCCTCCAGGACTATGAGACAATGCATTTCTGTTGTTTTGCACTAGAAAGTTTGTGGTCATTTGTTTGCAGCCCCAGGAAACTCATGCATACTAAAAACAATATTTGCAAAAATCCCAGAGGAGAATCCATCATGGATCATTGTCCTCAGTAAGGCCCAGTATGTTGGAACAAGTTAGACCACTTGAAGTGATGGCATGACATCCCCAAGGACCCCAGAAACTTAGAGGGTTACTGCCACCCTCGATCACTTGGGCAAACTGAAGAGAGAAGTCTATCCAATTCTCTCAGAGTGAAGAATAACAAAGTCATGTGAAGGCTATAGGGATGGAAACGTCTACTAAACCCCACTGCCAGAGATGTTTGGATAAATGATGAGCCTGTCTTTTGGATATGAACATGTTTAGCTGTGAAATAAACAGTCTTGGGACCTAAATGGTCCTGCTGAAAAGAGCTGAAGCCATTGAAGAATGCTTGAGATGATGCCCCATATGAAGCTACCCTTAAGAGAGCCACAGAAGAATGCTGCAGAAAACTCAGGGAAGCTCAGTGTGAGGACAAGAGACATTAAAATTGTGCCTAGTAAGGGCTGGAGCCAGATGAACTTGGAAAGCTATCAATTATGTGGAGGAATAAAGTTCACAAGCACATTCCACATGAACGTCTTCATGAAGGTGTTTTGTGGTTTGGAATCACTGCAGTTCCTGCACACACTATTTCTTGCTTCCTGTGGAAAGCTAGGAAACTATTATTTATACCTCCTCAGCCTCCCTCTTCCAAACCAAAGATGATGCCTAAGGGAATTTGTTCCATTTCCCCCTACAGTAATTTATCTTTAGAGAACCTCAAATATTCCTTTGATTGAAGACCAACATTCTGTAACAAATCTTCTGCATCAGGCCAAACCTCTGCAAGTAAGACTTCTTGGTGTTGGCCAATTCATGTGCAGAAGGCTTTATCCTCTTTCTTCTTTACCTTCTTTTCAATAGTCTTGGTCTTCTGAATTCACAATCTTTTTTTTGTGTTCTTACTATTTGGTAATCATGCTGAACAAAAATTACAACTTCTAACATGTGTTGGGAGTGAAGTTAGTAAGCTTGATGCTCTCCTTATGGGAGGCTGGACCAGGTGGGGTCCTAGAGGCTAAGGCTGGTTTTAAATAGGGTGGTTACCCAAAAGTGGACCCAAGTGGAAGCTAATGCAAAACTCGGCCTAAAACAAGAATGGAAGATTGACAGCCAGAAAAGCCGTTCCAGGCATCATATCTGAAAGCTGAGAACAAAGCAAGGATTCATGGCCCAGGTAGGGCCCTAGGGAAGGATGGGGGCCTGCAGCAAACTGGGAATTGAAATCCAGGACTCATTTTTATTTAGCACTGGCCATGATGTACTGCTAGGTCAGCTCAACTTAAGGGAGAAAAGTCAGGGCAAACAAGAACAGATTTGGGCAGTTATCCTGTCTGTGTTGGAGCCTCATTCAGCAAGAAAGAGTGTCCCTCTGCCCCCATTTTTAAAAAAACACACTAGAGCACCTACTGTATCAGAGAATGATTAAATAACACTAATTAATTAACTTTTAAACATCAACAATAAACGATGCCTAGTTTGGAGACTAAAATGACTGAACCCATTTTAATTCTTTAAGGATTAATAATCTGTATGATATCATTCAATTAATGGTCTATGATTAGTCAGAACTACCTAAGACTAAACATTTACACTCCATATCAGGTCCATAGGTGCCTATTTATTGTTATTTTCACAATAGTATCTTTTAGGTGTTCTCTTCATTTCATTTTTACATCGATCCCTTTCAAAGTCTTACATATACCAGTAAAGCTGACTTTTTGAAATGATAGCCACCTCTCTCCCAAATTCCCAGACAAAAATGCTATGTGTAACACTAAAGGGTTGCTTTACTATTGATATTGTTACCTTTGCCATATGTTCAGAATGATTTTCTGAGTGCCTGTGAAATGTGATCACCTCTGGTATATCACACAAATAAAAAAAAAATCAAGAGACCTCATCTACTCAGTCTAATTCCCACAGGTTCCCGTGGAGATACCGAGCATGCCTAACTCCAGATGGGGATGTATATTCTGAACTGCTGGTGAGGCCAGGAATGAACAGATCAAGCAGGAAAAAGAAGGCAGCTGAGCAAAATGAGGCATGACATACAGTAGAGAACGCTGCAGCTAGAGTGCAATGCACGCTGCACCATTACTGTTTGAAGCTGTTGTGCAGATAACAGCTAATGGTATAAAACAAGTGTTGGATCCGATTTGCTTCTATACCTTGAATTATACCACAAGCCAAAATAAGAGACAAAAACAAAGCCCCAATCTAGGATGTGGCAGGCAGTGGGTAGCACTTTCAGTTACAGAACTACCTTAGCAAATGAAATTTAATGAAAAGAAACAATCTGGAGCTAGTTATACTTAAGAAGGATTTCACAAAGAGCTGCCTTCAGCCAAAAGTCCCCAGATATTTCTCCAGGGTTTATATTCCAGAGGTCCCAATTTGAGTTTGGTCCTGACTTTCAGGAAATCTGTGTTCAATTGCAGATCCATTACTTGGGAGGAAGAGGAAGTGACTCCTTGATGAATAGTGTAGACCATGAGATAGTCCAACATTCTTTAAAAAAAAAATCATTCCACAGTGGGGTGGGGAGAGGGAGAGCATCAGGATAAATAGCTAATATATATGGGGCTTAATACCTAGGTGATGGGTTGGTAGGTGCAGCAAACTACCATGGCACATGTAACAAACCTGCATGTCCTGCACTTGTATCCCAGAACTTAAAAATAAAATAAAATAAAAATTATTCAATACTTATTATCAAATGCCTACTATGCACCAGGCCTGGGCTAGACATTTCGGCTGTAACTGTGAGCAAGACATGGTCTCTGCCTTTGAGGAGTATGCAGTTAGAGTTGGAGACAGAGCAGGGCGTTACAGGTAGCTTTGCCTGCTGTGAGAGGAGGCACAGTGTGATAAGAAGGCAGGCTCTGAATTGCATTCCTGCATTTGCATCCTGGCTGTCACCTCCTGGGGTGAATTACTTAACTTCTTTGGACCTCTGTTTCCTCATCTGTAAAGTGGGGATAGTAATATTATAATACCTTATACACTGATGGAGGGGATGAATGAGTTGACGCGTGGAAAGCACTCAGAACACGGCCTGGTGCATATAGAGCACATATGTATTAGTCCGACGGAGAGAAAAATGGGTGTTATGGAAAGCATGGGAGCAGAGCATTTTGTCACATGGGAGTTGGAGAGGCCTCTCTCCCAGAAAATGACATCTCAATAGAGCGCCAAATATGAGTAGGGATTAGCGGGTGGGTGAGGCATTGGAGCCTTGGGAAAGAGGGGGTCGGCGTGTGCAGTGAGCAAGGCAGAAGTGATGTCAGCAGACGTTCCCTCAAATAATTTAGTGTTCTCATGTTGCCTGATTCATTTGGCAGGAAAAACAGGTTCACAAGTTTGCTGCCTTCACCAGATGACAGATGATGGTTTCTCCAACACCTCCTCTGTGAAATAGTCCCTGCCTTCTTGGGTTAGCTCTTCTCTTTGCTGTATCTGCAAACCCCTTAATAACAGAGTCCCAGGACACTGCAAGTGTTAACCTGTCAGTCTCCCCGACCAGGCTGTCAGCTCCAGGAGAGCTGGCACTGTTTCTTTTACACATATCCTGGTGTTTCCTGACGTCTAGAACAAGATCTGGCTTACCTTGGGTGCCCAGGAAAAATGTATTAAATAAACATCACAGCCTTTTTGTGACAGAACAGAGACTCACTTCACAGTACCATTTCTAATCTTGTATTCTTTCATCAGAATTCAACATCAGAATAATCTCAATGTATCCATTTCCAAATGTTCTATCCTTTTCAAATAGAACATTTAATTTCTGTCTTCCTTCAGGTGCCAAAGTGTGGGTATGATTTTTCCCTCCTAAATCAAGTAGCTAGTATTTTGCTGCAATGAGGTAAACATTACAAGAGAAAGACAAATTAACAAAATATATTGAATTTGAATGAGCCTCAAATTTCTGAGAAGCTTGGCATTCATGACGATTCTCTTGCACACTATAGAGCAACAATACAAAAGTAAACCTCTCATTGCTAACTTCAACCCAAAAGTCAGAATGCTTTGTTCAGCCTTCCTTAGGTTGTCTTAGTTAATTCTCCTTCATGCATTTTTCAAGGGCCTGTTCAAGAAGCCCATGAACGACTCACTCATGGATATTCTTCTTGGCCTTTCTCTTTCCTCTCTTTTCTTGAGGCTAGAGGTTGGGATTTTAAACCTGCATAGCACTGCTAGCCAAGGAACATTTTTCTCCTCACTCAGAATCACTCATCACTTTTGCATAGTTACCCAAAAGACAAAAGTTTAGGAACATCTCCTATATGTAATTGCAAAGACCATTTCTATATCATAAATACCCGATGCTATGAAATGGGGGTGAGGCACATATTTGGCTAGGTGACTTCCTGCCCACACACTGCAACCAGCAGGGGAGAAGACCCTCTAAGATCCTTGTATGGGAGGGTTAGAGATGGAGACCTTTTGTTGTCATTGTACATGAGGGGGATGCCTCAGGCCTGCCAGGGTTATGGCCCCAAAGGAAGATATAAGAATTATTGATTCATTTATTTATTTAACAGAGATGTATTGAGTGCCCTGTCTGTGCTGGGCACTGTGTGCTTGGCACTGAGGATATAGCACAAACAAGATGGACAAGGACTCTGTACTTGTGGGGCTCGCATTATCATGGGAGAGAGACAGACATTAAACACATATGGAGATAAACAAATAAGATAATTCCAGATAGTGACAACTGCTCTGAAGCACATAATTCGGGGAAATAGCACAGAGAGTGATCAGGTCCAAGAGGCACTTTAGCTAGGGTGGTTGGGGAAAGCCTCTCTGTGGAAGTGACATTTCAGCTGAGAGTCAATGTTGAGAAGCATTCCGCCAGATGAAGACCTGGGTGGGGAGGAGAATATTCTAGGCAGAACTTAGTGACAGAACAGGACTAGCTATATCTATGGCTTCTGTCTTCCTGCAAGACATAACGATTACACCAGAAAAAATCACAACTTGAGCATTTCCAGATTACTTAGGGCCTCTATGTGATGCCACTCAGAAGACATCATGTACACTCTGATGTTCTGTTCTTTTGCTGTGGGTGATGGAGCTGATGCTCTAAGACAGGAGTGGCTGCTTTGTCGTGGGGTCAGGGTGGGGTTAGAAAGAAGGATGCTGTGGCTGGAGTGGAACAAACAGGGATGGTGGTTTGGTTTGATTGCTGTAGTTAGGACCTAACAACAACACAATAAAAATTGCTATTAATCATTACCATGCTGATCCTCCAAAAGCATTATCTTGTTTGTGGAAGGTATTTGCTATTATGTCCTCTTATGTCTCCTTTTATAGACGAGGAAACGGAAGCTTTACAGTAACAAGATAAGAACTAGAGTTTAGAGAGCAAAAGTGATCAGACCATGAAGAAACTATTGACAAAGTTATAGAAACAGGCAGAAAGAGTCCTGACTTGCCCTTTCCATTCGGAGTTTCTGAAGTTTCTTTTCTTCTCTGAGAATGGCTTTCACTTAAGCTAATCACGTTAGCCTTGATGCATCAGAGTGAGTCATTGTGAATAATATTTCCCGACATTTGACTTAATGGTACTGGCAGCATCACACAAAACATTTTTACCCTCTTTGAATTCTGTTAGGTAAGGTGATACTGACATTCATTAAACACACTTCACACTCAACTAGGAAACTATGCTCAGAAAGAATATGGAGTTCCCTATATGCATATGTAATTCTGTATAGTGAAATTCACAGAATATCACTTAAGTAAAAGCCACACACAGATTGGAAAGAACCCCCATCTGACGGATGAAAGAGGTGATTATTTTCTGTCTCATTTGGTGATTCATTCTTAAAGATTATATAGTACCTTATCTCTAAAGCCATGGTTTTCTTCAGCCCCCAAGCTTTCTTTTATACTTACAGAGAGCTTTGATTAGAGAAAGGACCACGTTATTCTTTCTCTAGAGCATGTGGACTACACACCAAGTCCTAACCTCAAGGCAGAAGAATCCAGGGGGCTCTGGAGGGTCCAAAAGCAACAAAACTCCAAGAAGCTGCCTTAATGAAACATGGCAATTACCCTTCTATATGAAACTTCTGATTGAAGAAAACGATTTCAGGATACTAAAAGGCAGGTCAAACTCTGCACTTGACTAGGAGAGTAGAGGCATTCTGCCAGTGGTCCTCTTTCCACAACAAAGAGGAAAGTGAACTTCAAAGAACTTGGGTCTGTGTGCAATAACTTTATCAGGAAAAAATGCCATAGGATGTGCATCTTCTCTTCCTACATTCATGATCACCAATGATGCACATTTTAATTGGGGGTCCTGCTTATATAAACTGCCAGAGCTACAGAATGCTAAAGTACAGAAATGAAAATGGAATTAAATCCCATTAAAAGACACATGTAAAATTTAACAAGTCTAATTCTACATCAAATTAAAAAGCTTATTTTAATTCAAAATAGCTATCATTTCTTATATGGTTAAATTTATTTATCTACAAAATAGTTTCTTGCTTTTTAACACTGATTGATGTGAAATAATTTTACACAGTGCATTTTACCCAAGTCCCCAAGAATACCTCATATGTAACAGAAAATTCTCAAGAAAAGCAAGGTTAAAATGAGTCCCAGTGCTGAAGTGACATGCTTTCTGAAATCACAAAACCAAACACATGGTCTGGACATAAGTTACATTTATATTTACGTAAGTTAACTCATTTATTTTTATTATTTATTTATTTATTTGAGACAGGGCTTCTCTCTGTCACCCAGCCTGGAGTGCAGTGGTGCGATCTCAGCTCACTGCAACCTTCACCTCCCGGGTTCAGGTGATTCTTGCTCCTCAGCCTCCTGTGTAGCTAGGATTACAGTCATGAACCACCATACCCACCTAATTTTTGTACTTTCAGTAGAGACAGGGTTTTGCTATGTTGGCCAGGCCGGTCTCGAACTCCTGGCCTCAAGTGATCCACCTGCATTGACCTCCCAAAGTGCTGGGATTACAGGCATGAGCCACCATGCCCGGCCTCTCATTTAGTTTTTATGGTTTCCCTATGCCACGATTGTTAAAGATTGTTAACTTTGTTTTATGGATGAGAACTCAGAGGCCCAGGGAGATCAAGTAATTTGCCCAAGGTAGTGCAGCCAGTAAGTAGAGCCAGGGTTTGAAGGGAGCCAGTCCGCTTTCAGAACCTGACCTGGTAGCCACTACAGTAAGTCACTTCTCAGTGCCACATTTTCTCTGATTTACCACTAAAATATTTGAAATCATGCCTCTTCCAAATATCCAGAGCATATTGCTATGGTACTGAAATCATCACTTTTAGGAGTCTATTATTTCTATCTTTAGTTTAAAAAAAACCCCACAAAAGTAATATGCATTCTATAGAAAAATTCAAATAATGTCGATGTGTTAAAAATAGCAAAAAGTCATAGCCTGATCTTTAAAGGACTCCTATTTTACAGGTGATGGATTTGATTTTTAGAAAATCGATGTCGTTATTTATTCCGGATGATTATCGCATAACCTTGTTCCCCTTCATCTGTTCTTTTCCACCTACCCTCCACCACTATTTCTTACTGGCTGGACTGCTTTTTGTAGACAGCCCAAGACTTCACTCCTTGCCGATACAGTGACAAGATATGCTCTGCCCTCTTACTCACTCTTATCTAGAAGGTTCCTGAAAACGGAAGACCACGTGGGAGTTCTGTAAACTATGTATGTTTCTTCACTATGCACAACAGGAAACAAGCTGAGTGCACATGTGATAAGATGGTAATCAAAAAATATCAAACAAATATCTAAGTAGAGGGAGGTTTTGATATCTTAGAACCAGAAGTCATCTCGTAGATAATCTAACCCAAACCATTACTTTACTGATGACAAAATGGAGACCCAAAGAAATGCAGAGGAAAGAAAACATACTTTGGCATCCAAAAAAGAAAAGTTTGAATCCTGACTCTGCAACTAATTGGCTGTTCAATCTTGTCAATGTCCCTAACCTCTTTGAACCTCAATTTATTTTTCTATGAAACTTCGAAGAGGGTTACCACTTTACTCCACTGCCACCACCATCACTCTTTCTAATAGAACACACCATGTTCCTCTGACTGGTTTCTGAATAGCCTCTTGACTTCTTACCACTTGCAATCTGTTCTTAGCCAAAGTGGACTTTAAAAAAACATAAATCAGATCATGTCATACTTAAAGTTCTTCAAAGACTTTTCGTTGGCTCCAGAATCCTGCAAAGCCTCACATGCACTGATATTGTTTAGCTGTGTCCCCACTCAAATCTCATCTTGAATTGTAATCCCCATCATCCCCATGCATTATGGGAGGGACCTAGTAGGAGGTAATTGAATCATGGGGGCAGTTTCCCCCATGCTGTTCTTGTGATAGTGAGTGAGTTCTCACAAGATATGATGTTTTTATAAGCTTCTGGCATTTCCCCTGCTGGCACTCATCCTCTCTCCTGCTACCCTGTGAAGAGGTGACTTCTGCCATGATTGTAAGTTTCCTGAGGTCTCCCAAGCCATGTGGAACTATGAGTCAATTAAACCTCTTTTCTTTATAAGTTAGCCAGTCTCGGGTGTTTATTCATAGCAGCATGAGAATGGACTAATACATGCACTGACCCAGCCTTCCTGCCTCCCTTCCCTTCTTGGCTTTCCTCAGCTCTCCTCTGGCCACACAGGCCTCCTTTCTTTCCTGGAACATACAGAGCTCTTTCTGGCTTGAAAGCCTTTCTGTTAGCTGTTCCACTGTCTGGGATTCTTTCTGTCTTGTTCTTCCATGGATAGCTCCATCTCATGCTTCAGGGCTCAAGTAAACCCCCATTGATGCCTCTGACCATTCCATCTGAAAAGACCCATCTATTGAACTTTGCGTATCATATAACTTTGTATATTTCTTTCACAGCACTTTTCATCGTCTATAATTATCTTTTTTATATTAATAGATAAAATATGTTTAACCTTAATTATCTGTGTCTCTTCTTACAACACAACATCCTTGTGGACAGGACCCTTATTTGACCAGAACAGCATCTGATGCACAGGAAACAACTTCTCAAGTGATTGATATTTTTTATTAGTAACAATAATAGACATCTAAACACTTTAAGTGAAATCACAGGAAACAACCCCTTGCTCCAGTGGGACTTCCTTTGGGCTAGAAGAGTCAACCTTTAGGCTTTTGCTATCTCCCGGGGACTAGGCAAGTCAGGGAGGGGGAAATGCTGGGCTGGGATCAGAAGATTGAAGAAGGTGTGCTAGAAGAATTCTGGTGCACACAGCCAAGGCCAAGGGGTCAGCATTAGTAATGGCAAGTAAGGCCAGGGTCTGGAGTCTCTGAATTCTGCTCAAACCCTTTCCCTGTCCATCCCCACCATGACTATACCCCTGGGAGCTGGATGTCCAGAAAGCACTCTAGGACATAAAATGCTTAGCGTTACTATCTGGGACTCTTAGTTACCAGGCACTTTTGACTTTGGTTACAGGGAGGCCCAAATTGCAATCTTCATCCTCTAGCATTTTGGCGACCCAGTCACAAGTCCTTGCCTAAGCCTAAATGTTTCCTCCTTGGAGGTGGTACAAGAAGATAATCAGGGCAAGCAAAGAAGAAATGCTCAGTCCATAACAAAGGCCGGCAATTCCAGTACAGCATGGAGGCCTCAGAGTTTCCTATCAGCAAGAGGGCAGCCTTGAGGTTCCACACCTTGAGGTTTCACATGACCCTCAAGGGTCAAAGAGTTATGATTCCACCTGGGGGGCCTTTTGGAGCCCTTAGGAGAAGTTTTATCCAATATAATCATGCAGTAAGGGAACTAGGGACAAGGTAATTCCTCAGAGCAGCACTTTTATGTTTCATCAAGTCTGAGATAGAAGGAGGGGGTGAATATTTAATATCTTAGGTAAATTTCCAACATGGAAAGAAGGAATGTACTAATTGTATCTGCCAAAAGCCTGGGAAGCTTGGGTTAGACTTGATTACCAAGTTCTCCTTGTCAAAGGCTGAGAAGGCCAGAAGGAGTTCTGTGCTTCCTTTATCTCTCTCCAGGCTCCAGCTTGGATGGTGGCCAACATTTTATTCGGAGTGAGAGTGAGGGGGAGGTACATGGGCTTTCTTAAATACAGGATATATAATTCATAGGCAAATGCCCACTCTCTCTCTCGCTTCCTCTTCCACTCCAAAAGTGCTTTCCCCAGCTGTCCTCTCTTTCTGCGCTTATATATCTTCTGACTTTTGCATTCTGCACATCAAATCCATCTCACTAGTCTTGACAGCTGAACTTGCTTCCTGTGCTGCTTCTGATCACTATCAGTAAAGAGGTTGTGGGTTTAGCACAGGAGCTTATCCTGGGTCCCATATTTATTATTTCTGATAAGCAGCTCAGAGGGCAAAGGCTTTTTTCCTCCCTCCTAGGCCACCTCCCTTTATCATCATTATCTCCATCTTATTATTTTTTTATTTTACGTTACGTTCTGGGATACATGTGCAGAACGTGCAGGTTTGTTACATAGCTATACATGTGCCATGGTGGTTTACTGCACCTATCAACCCATCATTTAGGTTTTAAGCCCCCCATGCATTAGGTATTTGTCCTAATGTTCTCCTTCTCCTTACCCCCCACCTCCCAACAGGCCCCAGTGTGTGATGTTCCCCTCTCTGTGTCCATATGTCTCCATCTTATTTAATCAGGTACATTTTGGGCAGAGAGTGAAAGAAGAGATATTTTGCTATGGAGCATGAGTTACCACATTGTACTCTCAATTACAGGCAAGGTCAATGCTAAGACAGTGCAGCCTCCAAAGGTACTACTTGGAGATGACCTGGACTTAGACCTTCCTGCATCCATTAGGATCATGACTGAACTGAGCACTTGGATTTGAGACTTTCAGGACTGAGGTGGTGATGCGGTGATGGGGGAAAAGTGGGGTGGAGGGACTAGGTCAGCCTTTGGTACTAAACAGGTAAAAGAAGGTCCTGGGCACCCATTTGAATTCCTTGGCCTATCTCTCTGCTCCCTTCTCTCTGTTCTTTTAGAGGCAAATTACCCTCTGGCAGGGCTTTGGTACTTCTCCAGTTAGATGTAGAAAGCCATCTCAAAGCCTTATTTTCTCTGAACTCCTCAGGTTTAGCCAGAGCATGCCTAGCACCATTACTCAAGAGAACATTCTCCTCACACCGTATCTTGCTTCCAAGGGCCCTTTTATCTTCTTTGATCTTCCTCTTCTGAATCCTGCTGGCAAACTGCTTGCAGGTCCATCCTGAGCATTGATTTGACCTCATGAGAAAAGTTTGTTTGAATCCCCAGTTCCCGCTTTGACTCTCTCTGATATGGTTTGGCTCTTTGTCCCCACCCAAATCTTATCTTGAATTGTAATCTCCATAATCCCCACTTGTTGAGGAGGGACCTGATGGGAGGTAATTGGATCATGGGGACAGTTTCCCCCCATGCTGTTCTTGTGATAGTGAGTGAGTTCTCATGAGATCTGATGCTTTTATAAGTGTTTGACAGTTCCTCCTACACACACACACTCTCTCTCCTGCCACCTTGTGAAGACGTGCTTTCTTCCCCTTCTGCCATGATTGTGAGTTTCCTGAGGCCTCCCCAGCCATATGGAACTGTGAATCAATTAAACCTCTTTCCTTTATAAATTACCCAGTCTCAGATATTTCTTTACAGTTGTGTGAAAATGGACTAATACACTTTCTATGTCAGAAAAGATCTCATGTGGAATAAAATCACACAGAATAAACCCGAAACAATTACAGTCTAGTTTCTTCCTAATTCTAGCCTACCCCTTCCAGATGAATGTGGGAATTTTAATTCTTCAAACATCCCAGGACATGTGCACATGTGGTTTTCTCAGCCTAAAAGGCTCTTGTTCACACTCTTCACATAAGAGACTACTCAGAGGCCACTTTCTCATAAAAGCCTTCACTGAGTGCCAGTCTTAAATGGTCTCTGGTGTTATAGTCCTTCTTTCCCGCCCCCACCCAAAGTACTTCTCTTACTGGATACTTTTAAATATGCAGTGTTTCTACTTATTTAATGTCTGTCTTTCCCCTCTGGGCTATATCCTATAGGAGGGCAAGAACCACGCATGGGCTGTGCATCTCTATCTATAGAGTGCCTCATGCAGAATTCTACAGCATACTAGGTACTCAATAAACATGGGAAAGCAATATGGCAGACTAGTTAAGCATATGAACCCTGGAATCAGATTGCTTAGGTTAGAATCCTGCTTTTATAACTCACTGTGTAACCTAGGGCAAATTAATTAACCAATCCTTGCTTCAATTGTGTCATTTATACAATGGGGACAGTGATACTTAACTCATAGTGCTACTGTGAGTAGACACAAAATGTTTAGCAGAATGCCTAGCAATTGGGATGTCCCCATTCAAGGTCTTGCAAGGGCAATGAGAAATTGGTTTAGCATACAAAGAGTAAAGATTGCTTAGATATGGAACCTTCCCAAGCATGGAGTGTTGGTAAAGGACGTAACTTCCTAGAGAACAATGGAGCAGAGAGATTAATGTATTTTATCTCATGCCTTATACGTGTGTCAGGTGCTATGCTGGGTAGTACGTGCTAGAAGTTACACAGTGATTTGGCAGCAGTGGGGGCAGGAGATCAGGTGATTCAGATGTAGGTAGCAAGGCCATCAAACTTTGTGAAACACTAGTTTAGACCATGGGTTTCAACATTTGCTCTGCCCCAGCACACCAGCATCATTATCACACTTTCCATCAGTAACAGTGGCTGACTATGAAGGAATGTTCCTGATGGTGGGGCAGGCAGTGCTGAGGGGAAAAGGGACATGTGTGTTTGCCAAAGTCTCATCTTCAGGGAGACTGATGTGGCCTCTGCAGGAGAGGGAGCTGGCTCCCATCCTATTGAGCATCTTTGCAAATAGGTAAAGGAAAGCAGATACATAGATTCACCTACAGTGATGATAATGGAACATGATAATACCAAATAGACACACACAGGCTCCAATGGCAACACTAGGGATGGAGCACCTAACAGTATCTCGGGACCAGAAATGGGAGGTGCTTAGGGAAGAATTCGTCCATGGCTTCATTGCTTATTGGAATCCAGGGGAGAGTAGGCCAGGTGGAGACGGGGAAGGTAGATGCAGGTAGATGGAACTAAGCTTTCAGAAGTATGGAGGCATGTTGGCCTGGCTGAAGGGTAGACTATCAGGCAAATTCTTCTGCTATAAACCTGGCTCTGTCGTCTTCTATCTAGATCACCATGAATATGTTTGTGATGATCTGCCAGTGACCTTCCACTACGATGTAGTGAGCTTGGAATTGTTCTTGACTCTCTTCTCTCCATTGAAATGCATCTACTTTGATTTTCATTCTCAGGGCCTTAGTTGTTGCTAGAGGGCAACTTATGCTAATGCACTATTGAAATATCTAGCCAACATAAAATAATTCAGATTTTTATCCTCCCCTGACACCCCATGGAACTTTCAAGCCTTTAGAAGACCCAAAGGTGAAACACTAAGGACAGGGACTCCATTGATCATGTCACACTGGTAAGAGGATAGTTCTTAACAGACAGGCTTATTTTTGCTTCTCAAGTGACGGTAGCAAGCCCTCAATAAGAGTTATAATGACAGCTAACACTTTTTGAGCACTAAGTGCTATGACCTCTAGGAGCTGCAATGACTTTTTTGAATTAGGTGTCTTATTCATATTTTACCTATAATGAAACATAGGCTTAGAGGAGTTAACTTGCACAGCTAATAAGTGGCCAAGCCAGGCTTTCAATCAGGTCTATTTGTCTCTGGATTGGTGGGGTTCTGCAGAGGACATCAGCAATACTTCCTCCCAGGCTGGACCGTAAGTGCTCAAGTACTTGTTGCTCCTGATTTAAGTAAATGTTTCTGGTTAACAGCAAATTTAATTTTAGTAACATCCTCAATTTTTGATTGAGGGAGCTAGGGGCTTCATCTCAAAGCCAATCTAATTTCCCACATCTAAAACCCAAACAAGCTTGACATTCTTAGACCACATAAGGATATCTTGGATGTGCACTGAGTGTTTCCATGTAACTTAATGTCAACTTCCAATTTCAGAAGAAATTATCCCTGTACAAGCTCAGATGAGAATTCCCTTGCCTTTTTAGAAAGAACACTTAGATTGGCCTTAGGTCACGTTGGATTATATCAGTTCTCAGCTACTCAAACTTAACACTCTAATACAATCCCTGCAGTCTTGTTCCATTTCTTTTCACCTAGACAGAGTTGCCTGTAGCTCCCTGACACTTATATCCCCAAGATGAAAAATATGACAAGTAAAAAACCACTCTGTGGTTTATCAGTTTTTTTCCCAAGCTATTGCTCAGCAAAGTTCACATTCTACAAATCTCATTTCCTCACTAGCTTTTTTTTTTCATGACAATATTTTTTAATGGGGGGATAGAATCATTTAAAAAATTATGAAATGCAAAGGACCTCTCTATTATTTTTGCAACTTCCTGTGACTCTAATAATTTCAAAACAAATTTTTTTAAAAATTGTGAAATACACACCCAGAAGAGAATATTAAAAGAACATGCGTGGCTTAAAGTGAACACAAATGTGCTTGCCAAACTGGTTAAAAAAAATATGACATCCCATTGCACTGGAAACCTACTCCACACCGTGCCATGTGCCCCTTACCGGTCATATTTCCTTGGCTTTCCCCAGAGGTACCATCTTCCTGACTTTTATGTTTACTGTATTCTTATTTTTATTTATTGACTTAGCAAAAATATTTGAATCACTAAACTATTTTGCATGTTTACTAGTTCATATCAATGGAATTATTCTGCATTGTATGAATTTTTCAATGATTTTTAAATCTAACATTGTATTCCTGAGATTCATCTATCTTATTGATGTAACTTATTTATCTTCAGTGCTGTGTAGTATTCCAGTGTAATAAACCACAGTTTATTTGTCCAGTCTCTTGATGATTGGCATTTGGGTTGTTCTCAGTTCAGGGAACAATGGTGCTTTAAATATTCCTGCCCATGTTTCTGAATGTACATAGGCAAGAGTTTCTGTGGAGTATATAACCAGGAGTAGAATTAATGGATTATAACATAAACACATATTCAACTTTACCACGTGATAGTAGAAATTCAAAGTTTGTACCAATTTACTCTCCCACCAATAGTGTATGAGAATCTCCATTGTTCTACATCTTTACCAAGACTTTATATTGTCAGACTTATTTTTTCTTCTATATAATGAATATGTAATGTTTTTTATATTTTTTATCATATACTTTCAGCTTTTTTTAACTTTTATTTAAGTTTAGGGGTATATGTACAGACGTGCAGGTTTGTTACATAGGTAAATGTATGTCATGGGGGTTGGTTGTACAGATTATTTCATCACCCAGGTACTAAGCCTGGTACCAATTAGATATTTTTCCTGATCCTCTTCCTCCTCCCACCCTCCACCTTCTGATAGGCCTCAGTGTGTGTTATTTCCCTGTATCTCCCCATGTGTTCTCATCATTTAGCTCCTACTTATAAGTGAGAACATGTGGTATTTGGTTTTCTGTTCCTGTGTTAGTTTGCTAAGGATAATGGCCTCCAGCTCTATCCATGTCCCTGCAAAGGACATGATCTCATCCTTTTTTATGGCTGCATAGTATTCCATGGTGTGTATGTACCACATTTTTTAAATCCAGTCTACCATTGATGGGCATTTGGGTTTATTCCATGTCTTCGCTATTGTGAATAGTGCATTCAGCTTGTTTTTAACAAAATTGAGCACCTTTTCAATAATTTATTGGTTGTTTGAATTTTTCTTCTATGAAGTGTCTGCTCAAGTCCTTTGTCCCTTTTTTGTATTGGGTTTTTGGCCCTTTCTTATTGATTTGAAGGATTTATTTTATTTTATTTTATTTATTTTTTTGAGACAGAGTCTTGCTCTGTCACCCAGGCTGGAGTACAATGGCACGATCTTGGCTCACTGCAAGCCCCACCTCCCAGGTTCACGCCATTCTCCTGCCTCAGCCTCCTGAGTAGCTGGGACTACAGGCGCCCGCCACCACGCCTGGCTAATTTTTTTTGTATTTTTAGTAGAGACAGGGTTTCACCGTGTTAGCCAGGATGGTCTCGACTTCCTGACCTCATGATCCGCCTGCCTCGGCCTCCCAAAGTGCTGGGACTACAGGCGTGAGCCACCGCAACTGGCCTAGGATTTATTTTATTATTTCTCAGATTTGAGTACATTCTTGTATGCATTGCAGATCTTCTCTCAGTTTTTGGTTTACCTTTCACTCTCTTTATGGTATCCTCTCAAAAATAGATGATCTTAATTTTAAGTTGTTAAATTTCCTAATCTTATCCTATTTGTGTTTTCTCTTATTTAAAAAATCCTTCCAACCTGAAGTCATGAAAATATTTCTCTGTATTATTTTCTGAAAAGTTTGTAGTTTTGGTTTTTATGGGTATATCTTTAATCCACTTGGAATTGATTTTTGTGGATGATAGGATCTAATTTTCCTTTTCTCCTGTGGGTAACCAAAGCTGAAAAGTCTGTCCTGTCCTCAGTACTTTGACCTCTGTCATATGTTAAGTGTACATATATATGTGAGTCTGATTCTGGGCTCTCCATTGCATTCCATCACTCTGTCTATGCCCGCTCTAATTCAGCACAGTCTTAAATATGGTAACTATAATATGCTTTGATATCTGGAATAACGAGTTTCCCATCTTAATCTTTGAATGACTTGTCTTTCTTGGCCTTTTGAACTATTAGAACCAGATCATCAAGTTCTATTTAAAGTATTTTGGAAGAATTGGTGTGTTTTTTATTACTGAGTTTTGTAATCCTTGAGTTTGGTCTATCTCTCATTTATTTGTGGATTCTTTAATTTCTATAACAGACATGACAGGCCAGGTTATGCTGTGGTTACTGACAATCTCGAAAGCTCAGTGGTGTAATACATTAAGGTTTATTTCTTGCCTATGCCACATGTCCACTGTGGGTCATCTGAGGATCTGCTCTGTGTTATCCTCATTCTGAAACCTGCGCTGATGGAGCATCCACCAGCTACACCTTTGCTGGTTAAGTGGCAGTTGGAAAGAGAGCTGAATAGCACATTAGTTCTTAAAGCTTCCACTTGTGTTTCATCGCTCACAGGAAGTCTCATTGGTCATGCCAAGAGCAGGAGGTATTCAGAAGAGGGGAAACAGACACAACTATGAATACCAGAGTATCTTCCAGTCAACTTTTATAGTTTCCTAACCATCTTAGATTTATTTCAAAGTACTTCATATGTTTGACGACATTGTCGAACATATGAAGTATAATATTTAACTTTCTATTTGCTTCTGATATACAGAAATGTAATTCATTTTAGTATGTTGATTTTATATTTGGCAACTTTGATAAATACTCTTATTAATTCTAATAATTTATCTATAGTCTGTTTTGGATTTTCTACATACTGGGCCAAGTAATCTGTGAGCAATAATACTTTTGTTTCTTTTTTTCTATTTTGGCCTTATTTCTTTTTCTTTCTAACTGCTCTGGCTATAATCTCTAATACAAGGTTGAATAAAAGTGATAATAGCAGATATCTTTGCCTTGCTCCAAATCTCAAAGCCAAAGTTTTTTTTACCATCAAGTATGATGCTTTATGAAATATTTTCCTTGGTAGAAACCCCTTTAGTAGTTTCTCTTCTATGCCCAATTTGCTAAGAGTTTAAAAATAATCATGAATGAGTGTTAGTGAATGCTTTTTTTGTATCTACTGGGATGATCACATGATTGTCCTTTTCCTTTCATTTGCTGGTGAATGTGAAGTGAATAACATTAGCTAATTTTCTAACATTAAATAAACGTTTCATTCCTGAGATAAACCCATTAAAACCCATTAAATTCTTGGTCTTAATAATGCATTAGCTTTTATATATTTTTTCTGCATTCTGTTTTTACTATTTTATTTAGGATTTTTACACCTGCATTCATGAGATAGATTGGTCTGCAATTTTCCTTTCTCATACATATATATCTTTGTCAAGTTTTGGTATTGAGGTTATGCCATTATGGGGTATATAACTAACTTGTCA
Organism: Homo sapiens; assembly: GCF_000001405.40. Classification (NCBI taxonomy): domain Eukaryota; kingdom Metazoa; phylum Chordata; class Mammalia; order Primates; family Hominidae; genus Homo; species Homo sapiens. The sequence goes on from NC_000011.10 coordinate 110,845,713, forward strand.
AACCATCTGAGCTTGCCTTTTCTTTGAAGAAAGATTTTTTTAACTCATTAAGTATGTTCTTGTCTTGAATGCATTTTAAATAAATTCTTAGTATTCATCTCTCTTATGTTATTTTTCCCTCATTCTTTTTAGGTCCGTTGTTTGATATTATTTAATGTTGCAATTGTCTGTTAAAACTCAGCAACACAATGTGTGTCTACTTCTCTGTGGGTACAGGAAAGATCACTTGCTTATTAAGCCAGGGACCCATCCCCTAGCCCACCAACACATAGTCTCCATTATGGACAACTTCTTAGGTAACAAAACAGGAGTGAAGTCCTGACACTTCACCTTTCTTATCTTTTAATTCTCAACAGCCCTCAGCCGCTATGTTTCCTGCAACTTCATCTTTCTCTTCTGATTCTACTCCCATTCTCTGCAAAATCATGTCAGTGGTGAAGTGCTGGAATAAGAAATTGTTGCCACCCTTAGTTGGCCCACATGTGGTGCTGACCATAGGGTCAAGGTCCAGGCTGTTTGAGCCTCTGCAGTGCATTTCTACAACTTCCAGGTTTTTCCATGGTGATCTTCTACCAGGATTCACTCCAGGATTTATGTCAACATTTCTCTCCTTTTATCTTCTTCTTTTAGTGGAAACCACCTCTTTTTTTTAATTATACTTTAATTTCTGAGACACATGTGTAGAACGTGCAGGTTTGTTACATAGGTATACACGTGCCATGCTGGTTTGCCACACCCATCAACCCCTCATCTACATTAGCTATTTGTCCTAATGCTATCCCTCCCCTAGCCCCCCAAACCCTGACAGGCCTCAGTGTGTAACATTCCCCTTCCTGTGTCCATGTGTTCTCATTGTTCAACTCCCATTTATGAGTGAGAACATGTAGTGTTTGGTTTTCTGTTCCTGTGTTAGTTTGCTGAGAATGATGGTTTCCAGCTTCATCCATGTCCCTGCAAAGGATATGAACTCATCCCTTTTATGGCTGCATAGTATTCCATGGTATATACGTACCACATTTTCTTTAATCAGTCTATCATTGATGGGCATTTAGGTTGGTTCCCAGTTTTTGCTATTGTTAACAGTGCTGCAATAAACATACAAGTCCATAAGTCTTTATAGTAGAATGATTTATCTGCCAGTTAGAGTGGCAAACATTAAAAAGTCAGGAAGCAACAGATGCTGGAGATGATGTGGAGAAATAGGAATGCTTTTACACTGTTGGTGGGAGTGTAAATTAGTTCAACCATTGTGGAAGACAGGGTGGCAATTCCTCAAGGATCTAGAACCAGAAATACCATTTGACCCAGCAATCCCATTACTGGGAAACCACCTCTTAAAAGCACTAGGCCTGAAACTAAGAGACATTGAAAGCAAAATTATGCCCATGTTTAAAAAAAACAAAAAGGTATTCTCTGATGGTAGTTTGTATTTCTGTGGGATCAGTGGTGATATCCCCTTTATCATTTTTTATTGCATCTATTTGATTCTTCTCTCTTTTCTTCTTTATTAGTCTGGCTAGTGGTCTATTTTGTTGATCTTTTCAAAAAACCAGCTCCTGGATTCATTAATTTTTGAAAGGTTTTTCTTGTCTCTATCTCCTTCAGTTCTGCTCTGATCTTAGTTATTTCTTGTCTTCTGCTAGATTTTGAATTTGTTTGCTGTTGCTTCTCTAGTTCTTTTAATTGTGATGTTAGGGTGTCAATTTTAGATCTTTCCTGCTTTCTCTTGTGGGCATTTAGTGCTGTAAATTTCCCTCTACACACTGCTTTAAATGTGTCCCAGAGATTCTGGTATGTTGTGTCTTCATTCTCATTGGTTTCAAAGAACATCTTTATTTCTGCCTTCATTTCGTTATTTACCCAGTAGTCATTCAGGAACAGGTTGTTCAGTGTCCATGTAGTTGTGTGTTTTTGAGTGAGTTTCTTAATCCTGAGTTCTAATTTGATTGCACTGTGGTCTGAAAGATTGTTTGTTATGATTTCCATTCTTTGGCATTTGCTGAGGAGTGTTTTACTTCCAATTATGTGGTCAATTTTGGAATAAGTGTGGTGTGGTGCTGAGAAGAATGTATATTCTGTTGATTTGGGGTGGAGAGTTCTGTAGATGTCTATTAGGTCTGCTTGGTCCAGAGCTGAGTTCAAGTCCTGAATATCCTTGTTAATTTTCTGTCTCGCTGATCTAATATTGACAGTGGGGTGTTAAAGTCTCCCACTATTATTGTGTGGGAGTCTAAGTCTCTTTGTAGGTCTCTAAGAACTTGCTTTATAAATCTGGGTGCTCCTGTATTGGATGCATATATATTTAGGATCATTAGCTCTTCTTGCTGCATTGATCCCTTTACCATTATGTAATGACCTTCTTTGTCTCTTTTGATCTTTGTTGGTTTAAAGTCTGTTTTATCAGAGATTAGGATTGAAACTCCTGCTTTTTATTGCTTTCCATTTGCTTGGTAAATCTCCCTCCATCCCTTTATTTTGAGCCCATGTGTGTCTTCACATGCGAGATGGGTCTCCTGAATACAGCACACTGATGGGTCTTGACTCTTTATCCAATTTGCCAGTCTGTGTCTTTTAATTGGGCCAATTAGCCCATTTACATTCAAGGTTAATATTGTTATGTGTGAATTTAATCCTGTCATTATGATGCTAGCTGGTTGTTTTGCCCGTTAGTTGATGTAGTTTCTTCACAGTAGTGATGTTCTTTACAATTTGGTATGTTTTTGAAGTGGCTGGTACCAGTTGTTCCTTTCCATGTTTAGTGCTTCCTTCAGGAGCTCTTGTAAGGCAGGCCAGGTGGTGGCAAAATCTCTCAGCATTTGCTTGTCTGTAAAGGATTTTATTTCTTCTTTGCTTATGAAGCTTAGATTGGCTGGATATTAAATTCTGGGTTGAAAATTCTTTTCTTTAAGAATGTTGAATATTGGCTCCCACTCTCTTCTTGCTTGTAGAGTTTCTGCCAAGAGGACTGCTGTTAGTCTGATGGGCTCCCCTTTGTGGTAACCCAACCTTTCTCTCTGGCTGTCCTTAACATTTTTTTCCTTCATTGCAGCCTTGGTGAATCTGACAATTATGTGTCCTGGGGTTGCTCTTCTTGAGGAGTATCTTTGTGGTGTTCTGTGTATTTCCTAAATTTGAATGTTGGCCTGTCTTGCTAGGTTGGGGATGTTCTCCTGGATAATATCCTGAAGAGTGTTTTCCAACTAGTTCCATTCTCCCCATCACTTTCAGGTACACCAATCAAACCTAGATTTGGTCTTTTCACTTAGTCCCATATTTCTTGGGGGCTTTGTTCATTCCTTTTATTCTTTTTTCTCTAATCTTGTCTTCATGCTTTATTTCATTAAGTTGATCTTCAATCACTGATTTCCTTTCTTCTGCTTGATTGATTAGGCTATTGTTACTTGTGTATGCTTCACGAAGTTCTTGTGCTGTGTTTTTCAGCTCCATCAGGTCATTTATGTTCTTCTCTACACTGGTTATTCTAGTTAGCAATTCATCTAACTTTTTTCAAGGTTCTTAGCTTCCTTGCATTGGGTTAGAACATGCTCCTTTAGTTCAGAGGAGTTCATTATTATCCATCTTCTGAAACTTACTTCTGTCAATTCGTCAGACCATTCTCTGTCCAGTTTTGTTCTCTTGCTGGTGAGGAGTTGTGATCCTTTGGAGGAGAAGGGCTGTTCTGATTTTTTGAATTTTCAGCCTTTTTGCACTGGTTTCTCCCCATCTTTGTGGATGTATCTACCTTTGGTCTTTGATGTTGGTGACCTTCGGATGGGGTCTTTGAGTGGATGTGCTATTCTTTTCTGTTTGTTAGTTTTCCTTCTGACAGTCAGTCCCCTCTGCTGCCAGTCTGCTGGAGTTTGCTGGAGGTCCACTCCTGGCCCTATTTGCCTGGGTATCACCAGCGGAGGCTGCAGAACTGCAAAGATTACTGCCTAATCTTTCCTCTGAAAGCTTCATTCCAGAGGGGCACCTGCCAGATGCCAGCCAGAGCTCTCCTATATGGGGTGCATGGAAAACTTATTTAGTTCAAAGGAGAATGAAAGTGAGACAGACTGAAGCTATGGCCAGTATATCAGTAATGATTTTATGTCAAGTGGATATAAAAATCATACAATATATTTTTTGAGAATAGCTATGTTTATGGAGAGTATGTGTCTCAGATAGTACTAAGTGCTTTGCAGGCACTATCTCATTTATCCCCATGGTATACTAGCTTATATTCAATTTATAGATCAAGAGACTAAGGATAAATGACTTGTCCAAGGCTATGCAATTAACTGCTAATTGCCAAACCTGGAACTCAAACCCAGCTCTGTTTGGCTCTCCAACCTTGAACTTAACCTCTATACGACACTGCTGCTATCACACATCAGCCCACACAGTTCAAATAATGGAGGGACTCCATTTTGACAAGAACTTAAAAATGGAGCAACTAGAAGCAGGTAGAACTGATTAGTTCCAGAGCCAGACATATCATGTGGCACATCATTCTACCTAGCAAATTCTGAAGAATTAATTATAACTGTTACAAACAGTCTGAACCTTTCAGGTTTGTGTTTGGTATTAAACCCCTGTTACTAAGGGGAAAATTTCTTTCACTTTTCACCTAATTTCACTGTCAATACACTTTTCTGCTGTCACTCATTATAGACATTCTGGAATTGCATGCTTGGATGCAACAGGGGTGTGGGTAAGGGGAGAAAATAGGGGATGGTGGACACCCCAGGTTTCAGTCGGTTTGAAAATCCGTTCAATCATTAACTGACAACTCTTCTTGGGTGTGAGAAATTATTTTTTTTTAAATAAATAAGTATACTTGGGACTGGTATAACCTGTATGCCCTTTTACCTTAGATTGGAGTTCTCTACCTCTCCTCTGTTTGCTTTGTAGGCTTTATCTACTGATTCCCAATATCAGGGAAGAAACTAATGATTTGAATGTTGACCCCTCTTTCCAAGAAGTTGGAGTGCCTTGATCCTAATAGGAGATGATTTATTAGCTCCACGCTTAAAACAGGCCACTGAAGAAAACCTCCCCTCCTGCCCCAGAATGAACCCTTCTAATCTGTGGTAAGGGTCACATATGGAGATTCAATCATCTCATCTCCCCTGATTTCCCTCAGCAGCTTTCCATGAGATGTGGGGTTTTTGTAGAGATTGTGAGATAGGGCAGTGATGGGGCTAAATGGGGAGGGGTTGTGGAAAGTAAATCAAAGCATAATTCTTACATGCCCGGGCTAGAGATAATTGCATTGTGTGTTCTCTGACGGTTGGTGGGAGTCATGAGATCAGCAAAATTCCTGAAAATTCTTGTGGCCAGATTGATATCTGTATTCTTTACGTTATTCCATCATCCCAAGTCACAGCTCTGTGTGTGTGTGTGTCTCTCTGTGTGTGTGTGAGACAGAGAGAGAGAGAGAATAAGAGAATTCAAGATCCCACAAGAGTAAATGAATGGATTTGAAGAGAATTTAAATGAATCAAGGTATCTTAACTTACCTTTGCAGTAGATAGTTTTTTTACACCTATGTTAGAGATAATCCAAGAACAAAGGACAAGGCTCCTCTAATGAAATATATCCCTTATCTCTCCAAATCATGCTCCTCAGAAGAGTCACTGGTATTTGAGGAGCTTGCATTAGTAAAAAGAAAAGGTGTCTCTCATGGGTGGCAGGATGGATCTGAGAAGCTCCGGGATCATGGATGTCTGAAAGAGTGTCAGAAAGGGGCAGCTGATCACAGTGCACCTTAGGAAGCTTCCTTTGGTACAGATTCAAGGACACACTGAAGACAGAGAACCTATTTCTGATGCTAATATAGTGACCTAGGGAAAAAAATACAAAGGATTTAATTAAACTGGAGCATGGGAGGAAGAAAATAAACATAAGAAACACTGAGAAATAGAACAGGCAGAAATTGACAGTGTGGGATGAGTATAGCAGATCCAGCACTTATATTCTTCTCTTCTTATTCCCAATAAATTCTCAATTTTGTTTAGAAATGCACTCCCAGTCGCTTGAACTGGGGAGGCAGAGCTTGCAGTGAGCCAAGATCATGCCACTGCCCTTCAGCCTGGGCAACAGAGTGAGATCCCATCTCAAAAAAAAAATGCATTCCTTCTCCACATAATTCTGGGTTTCAGGAGAAGGAAGTAGACTCCCTTCTAAGTACCTGTCGATAGATTCTAGTTATCTTATAAGTCAATTGTGCCTTCTCCGGGGATTGGTTTAGAGGTGGGCCTGTGTCCGCTTCTAGCCAGAGTGATGTGAGGTAACCTGTTCTTATCCTCATAAGGTTATTGTGAGGACCTGGTCAGATAACGCATATGAAGTGTTTGTCATTAACAGGCACTGAGTACATTTTGGCTGTCTAGTGTCTCAATTCAGTATCTGTCATGTGGGTCCAGGAAAGTGGTTTTTCCCGAACCATAGCTACTAGCCTGTCGGTGTAGACCTTAGCTTTCGCACATTGCTATACAGAATAAGGGATGGATAAAGACTGAACTGAAATGAACCAAACGTGAGAGAGCACAGAAGGATGAAGGTGGTGGTTGCATGTGGGGAGGGAATTGGCTGGCTGTGTTAGGAGGAGGGCTAAGTATTTTGGTAAAGCCTTAGTTTAACAGGGTGGTATAGTATCAGATGGGATAAACTGCAGGCTGTTTTAAAAGGGAGAAATTGAGTTAACCACCTATTTCTTCTTGTTACTACAAGCACCATATTTGAGTGGTTTTAATAGTAGTTTTATGTGCCAGATTTGTTGGCATTGGGAAGCATAAAGGAAGGGGCCATAAGAATACTAAGCCTCGGGCAGGTTATGGTGGCTCATGCCTGTAATCCCAGCACTTTGGTAGGCCAAGGCAGGTGGATCACGAGGTCAGGAGTTCCAGACCAGCCTGGCCAGAATGGTGAAACCCCGTCTCTACTAAAAATACAAAAATTAGCTGGGTGTGATGGTGGGAGCCTGTAATCCCAGCTACTCAGGGGGCTGAGGCAGGAGAATCATTTGAACTCAGGAGGCGGAGGTTGTAGCAAGCTGAGATCGCATCATTGCACTCCAGCCTGGGCGACAGAGCGAGACTCCGTCTCAAAAAAAAAAAAAAAAAAAAAAGAAAGAAAGAAAGAATAGTAAGCCTCACATTTTTTGGTTGTTACAAATCAGGGATTAAGAGACTTGGGATTTGAGTTCTGTCTAATAGCCTCTAAATCTGTCAACTAAGTGAGAAGCAAAATCACGTAACTGCTTAACATCATGTAAGAAAAGCAACTTGGTATCCTTGTTCAATTAGATGGGTGGCTGTGATGTTGCATAGGACCAACTTCAGTCTTCCTTGTTACTGCAGGAGCCCAGTTGTCCATGTTTGTAATCATGTGACATGCAAAGAGCTGGGTACTAGAAGAAAGGCTAGCTATGTGGCAATAAGCAGGGATCTGAGGGAGGCCCTGATTTCCTGTTTTTGTTTAAATCACTCATGTCCAGTCTTCTCATAGGCCATCTCAATGCCAAAAGAAGCCCCAGTAGATACTAAACATCCAATGAAACTGCAATAAATAGGAATTGACCTCATTTGCTTATTGCTTCAGTGTAGAATTTCTGGACGTAGAAGAGCAGGCTGAATACTAAAACAAATTAAATGACAATTTTGAATGCCGTAATCATGTATTTCCTGGTTACAAGGGCTTGGGTGTTTTTTTCTGCCAATTGAATAAATCTCATTCTAAAAACACAGATGTGTGTTGGCAGGTCCTGTGCAATCCCAAAACATACAGTTAGAGACTCAAATATAGTTATTTAAATTACCTGATGAAAGCATGAGTCCTTGCCCAGCTCAGCTGTTGTAAAATGCTAACAACATCCGAGTGCTTGGTCCAGGCCTTTGATCATAATTCTCTTGGATGCAGGTGACAGAACAGTTATGGGAGTAGAGATGTTGGAAGTTGGGGCAGAAGTGTTGCTACTTTGTTGCATCCCCTCTCTCCTTCTAATTTCTGTAGCAGTATGAATAGATATGTCAGATAACTTGGTTCTCCCATAGGATGCAGCCTGGGTATCTTCACAAAACCATGGGAAGTACCCAAAGCAAGCATTTCTCTGTAGAGTCCAAGAATGATAAGAACTAAAGCTGCAATTGATTATTTGTTAAGTGCCAGCCACTGTGCTTTACCTGGATTATCTCAACTAATCCTCCCAAAAAATCTCATTAAGGAGAGGACTGTGGTTATCACTGTATTACAGATTAGGAAACAGAGGTGAAGAGAAGTTGAGTACCTTGTCCAACATCACATGGCTAGTTAAGTGGCAGAACTGAGACTTAAACCTGAACTCACGTTTCTTAGATGCCAAAGCCCACATTCTTAACCCTAGGCTGAACTGCCCTAAGCCTACAGCCCAGTGGTTGTGGAGCATCTAAACCTGAGGATGGCAAATAACACCAGGACCTTTGGATATTTCTCAGTGCTGGGAGACAGATTTTTGGAACAGGACCTTGTGGCTTCTTGAGTAAGTGAGCTGTAGTCATAGGGTCAGCTTAATAAAAAGTTTCCCTTTCACCTTTCATACAAGGACAATGAAACAACATGAGCTATGAAAACTCATCATGTGCTTGGCAAAAATTCTCACAGAGTTAGCTGGAGTAAACCTTAGGTGATTTGGAGTTCAAGAAGGCTCACGAGCTCACCAACCAGAGCCTGGCTTCAGGGCTGGCTAGCTCTCCGCACAGCCTCATTCATGCCCAGTGTATGTTATTTCTTAACAGTTGCTTGTTGCTTTGCTTATTGTCAGGCACAGTGTTGGATTCTATTCCTACCTAGATTCCATATAGAGTATTTGGTTCTCTCTTTCTGGCAACTCATTGTTTCCTTCTGCTCATTCAAAAAGAAAAAGAAAGAAAGAAAGAAAAGAAAGAAAGAAAGAGGAAGGAAGGAAGGAAGGAAGGAAGGAAGGAAGGAAGGAAGGAAGGAAGGAAGGAAGGAAGGAAAAAAGAAAGAAAGAAATGGTCTTGCAGGGATCTTTTAATTATCTTGGATTGGGTCCTATTACCTTAGACTCTTCAGAACAGGAGCTTCTCTCATTTTCTTTGGTCTTTCATGCTGTGTTTAACAGAAGTTCTTCCGAAGTTCCAACCTAAATTTGTCCTAAATTTGTTTAGGCTCTTTCCCTCTTGTCCTACTTGCATTATTATTTGGAAACCAACTACATGAGAAAAGGAGGTAGCTAGAGAACAGAGAGGGTGCTGTGTGGATCGATTGAATCCTGATTCAAGCTCAGCTTTTTAGAAGTTGACAGCTGCTCTGCTTATTCAAAAGAATGTATTCTTTCTATGTCTATTTTTATATCCTTAGAGCACTAGGAAGCCTTCGTTTGAAGGGAGGTGATCTCTCTCAAGAGACTGAGCCACATGAAAAATAATAGGGGTTTCAAGCATTTCAGGTGCCTAGAAATTGCTCTCTTTTAGAAACAATCCTTCTGCTTTTGAAACAGTTAATTGAATAACGTTTACATTCATAACACTACAAGAAATTGTCCAAGCCCATGTGCAGTTGTGACAGCTGGAAAGCATTTTTCAGCCATCTTCATGCCTTAGACCCTATAGACCCCTTGGTGCCCCCTCCCTCCATCTCTGGAAGCCTATAAAATACATTTTCTTCTGCTGACATTGCAGCATGAACTTTCCATAGCAACTTATTCCCACACCACCTGTTAATAATGCCAAGAGTAATGCATTTAACTCCCTGCATACTGTGCCAAAATGTTTACACAATTCAGCTTATTTCAGAGTTTAAAGACCAGACATAAATCCTAAACTAGCTGTGTCCCTTCCAAACACTCAGGGAGTTGGTTGCAACATTTTTGTGGGTAAGATTGGGCAGATTTTTCCAACTATTTTTTAATAAAATGGGGGGTACTCCTTTGAGACTACTTTGCTAACTGTTTTGGGCTCATCAAAAGTGAACTGTTTTGTGGAATGTGGACAAGTATGAGAGCATCTTTTCAGCTAAATATCAACTTTATCGGAAATGTCCTTAAAACAAGAACCAAAGCTTCCAAACTGAAAATTTGTTAATATAAATATCTGAAGATTACATCTATAATTCATTAAATGAATTAATAAGAATATAAATTAACATTTATTTTGGATTTCATTGTTTATAATTTTAGTTTATATTTGTTATTTAGTAATTAATTCTCGTGAAAATTTGGTACTGCACAGATCAAAACCTACATTTTTTGCCATTAAATATACACTTTTAATATACTTTTGTCAACTCTATCAGTTAAAAAGTGGGGCTTTTAACCCTACCATTAACATTTTTATTACAAAAATGTATTTATATTTATCTATTTCCCTACAATGAGAATGAAAGAATTCTGAAGCATAGACACAGAATAAATAATGCCTCCTTGCTGTTAAAAATTTAATTGGAAAAAGCATGTCTATTTTATAAACATTGTTAATTTTATCCTATACTTTCTGACTGGCACAGGACAGATATTAAAAATATTATACTTTATAATCTGAAATCTGCAAAACCTACATTTTAATGCCAATAAACCTGAGACTCACACTAGGAAGACATCTGCCTAAGTTCACACAGCTCGTAGGTGATAGAGCTGGGATTTACTTTCTGATGTGTTTGCTTTTAAAGCCAGGACTCTTTCAACTACACCATAATTTTCTAAAATGGTTTTCTTCGAACCTCACATGAGGAGATAGCAATAAGCATGTCTATAAAAGACTGTGCTATGGTTAAGTTACCTTTGAAAACTTGATACTACATTTTTCTCTTAAAAATTTACAATGCACATAAGCATACTAAAGGCTCTGAGAAGTCCTGCAAAAAAAGAAACCTGTTTCATTCTGTGCAATCGAGCAGTTTCCAAACTTTCTTGAGCACAGGGCACTTTTTCCTTAGCACATCCGTCAACACCCAGAGGAGAACAGTGTGTGGAACATAAGTGTAGGAGACACTGTACTCAGCTAGGCTGTTCCCCAACCATCCTTGAATGCCCCTAGGGCCAGCCCTTTCTTCTTCACTTAGTTTCTAAGTACCTTTTAAAGGGGACATATATAATCCTATTTTCTCTCCCTCCAGTAATTCCTTATTCATCACTCCAGGCATCTCTCTTAGTAATGCTTTAAACTGACTGCCTAAAAGAGATCATTTCTTCTCCCTTTCTGCATATTTTGAAACAAGTAACAAAATAAGGCATGGATTAATATAAGCTTAGCTGGTTTATTCAGATCCTCAGAGAGTCAAACACCATATTTCCATCTGAAAACTTCTACTTAGTGCAGCAGAACTCTCTGCTTGAGCACACATTTTCATGAGACCCCACATGGTGACAAAGCCAAATGAATTGGTCAATTCCTTTAGAAAGTATTTGGTATCATGTACATATGGTCTACATCTAAAATGATGTCACTCTTGGGTAAATGGCCCCATGAATGTGAATTAGTAATTCCCAAGATTGTGAATAATAACTTTTTTATGAAAGACTATTGTCCACTAAATACCTAGCACTTAAAACTAAAAAACTTGTTTACAATCAATCTAAATATTTGAAGATATCTTAAGTTCTAACCGGAATGCTCACTTTCCTTCCAAATGCCTAGCACTGTACAGATGTAGCCAAGAATTTTGAATCATTGACTAATTCCTTCCTTTCATTTCTTTAACTTCTCCAGTTTATATTGTACTAATCTGGGTGCTTTATATTATGTAGACAATCTTATTGTTAGTTGGCTCCATGCCAAAGACATTTAGTTATAAATGTTAATTATCTTTTTTGGTAGATGAGTAAAATGGAAACTAGGTAAAACCAAGAAAGAATAGCCATCCGTGCTCCTCCTGAAAGAATTTTGAAGTTAAAATCCACTAAAGCATGCAAAGTTCTGTTTTTACTCCTTGATCTTTTCACTCTTAGCCACATACATCTAAAGTTATATTTCTCAAGGGACCCTAAAACAAGATTCAAAAGTGAAAATGTGGAACCATGGTTTGGAGTATGCAGCATAGAAAAATCACCTGAAACTAAACTAAAATGAGCAATTTAAAAACATAAAGGGGCGAAATGACCTGACAAAGAAAGATATCAAATAATTCTGAGCCAGAGTCCCAGGTAAAAATGTCGAAAACTTGCAGCTAAGAATAAAATTAGGAATTAGAGAAAATGTTGCTCTATTGGGCTGGATTTCCTCCAGGTCAACAATCACTGAGTCATTAAGAAAACTGAGAGTCCAAGAGTTCCTGATTCCCTGTGACAGGCCTCCATTCCCCAGATGAAGTTAGTGTGCTGGCTTAGCCACCTCTGCAGGGTGTGGACACCAGCATGAAGAGCAGAAGTCAAGTCTCGCTTTATCTGGCTGTGTTCCTGGTCAGTTTGCATTCTCAACCTCAGAGTGAGGGGGTATGATTTAAATGTGAATGTTTCTTAAAGTTCAGTTAATCCAGAGTGCTTGCAAAAGACCAAATGCTGCAGACCAATGATGGTTTTTTTTATACCAAGAACAAAATTAAATGTTGTCTATCAGCTGGACTAGGGAAAACATGATCCAAGCCACATAATATGCTAGTAGCATAACTACATGCTATGATAATCACCATGATCATCTCACCATCAGGGTTGTAATGATTCCAGAGTAATGATGAGGTTGGATCGTGCTAGCCATACCCTTTCAGCTGACCAGGCTGATCATCCTTGTGATTAAGGACATTGTTGAGTTTGCTTTCATCAGATAGACCCACATTTGCCCTCTCTTTGGAGACAGCGGCATCTGTGAGTACAATTTTTCTTTTATATGGGAGTTCTGCTGACTTTTCGATGAGCAACTTGCCGAAGTCTGCTGTCATAGAATCCCAGAGCCAGCAAGGTCCCTGGGGAGTCATGGAGGCTGCATGTCCATGCTGCACACAAACAGGGTCAGGACGGTCACATCTGGCCATTGTAGCTCATTTATACAGCTGGGATCCAGAAACATCAGTTTCGCTGTGCATGCTGTGCTAACACCCCACAGAGCCCTGGCCTCAAGGAGATGTGAAGAGCTCCATCCACAGCACTGGGTCCTACACACCCAGGTTACTCATGGGTAACCCGGTGGCACGGCATGTTATGATTTGAGAAGAACCAGAATTTGTGTTCTCAGAATTTCCCCATCTGCTGGCACCATGCCTGAATTTCCAACTATTAGATTCACTCCTGTGGGTTAAGAGGATGATTTCTGCTTTTTTTTTTCTCCTTTAGCACAAAAAACCCATTTAACATCAAACCACTTTACAAATCTTCCACATGATAGTTATAATTTTAGTTTCTGATGACTCAAAAAGAAGTAAACAACTACTAAAAATTTTTGTTGTGCTTTTATATGGATTTATATCTAATAAATTATAATAACATCTTCATATGTTAGAAAAATAGTCACCCATGTATTTATGAGCTATATTATTTACTAAGTCTAGAAACAGTGCTTGGTAAACACATGGCTTCATGGATCTCTAGTTCTGCATTCTTTCTCCCCACTCTCCCACCACACGCACCCCATGCTTTATCACCAAGATTTATGATCCACCGATTGGGGCCACTAAGTTAAGCAGCATTTTATAAGCTTGTGTTCTCTGGGACACTGTTCCACAGGGTACAAAATAAGTGTTCAAAAAAAAGTTTGGAAACAGCTGGGTTATTCAAAGTCAAATAGTTCTCTTTCTTGCAGGACTTCTCAGAGCCTCTAATTGCTGACACGCATTTTACATCACTAAGAAGTTATGGATTTCAGCATTCACTAAACCTCTTGAACCATGGAGGCCTTTCCTAGGCATACCTATTGACATATCTGGCGACAACATGCCAAAGAGCAATGCTTTAGGAAACACTGTCTCCAGAAGATTTCTGTTGAATATAAACATACAACCTGGGTATTTATGGCCTCCAATAAAAGAAGTTGTTGAATTGCCAAGAGGAAGGTCTTAAACGAATAGCTTCTTGGGTGTCTCTCCTCTAAGGAGCCTGACACACATAAACAGTACAGCTTATTGTCTCAAGTGACATTTATGGTGATAATTATTATCTCATTAATTGTTCCCCCTCCCTCATTAAAGACAAAACAAAACAAAACCCAGAGGCTAAGAGAGTAAACGGCTTAGAGTCAGTTAGAAAATCAGGCCACACAATGAATGGAAGCATTTTGGTACCACTAAGATAAATGTTCTCTAGATGTTATATAAGAAGACAGCTGTAAATGACGAGTTAATGGGTGCAGCACACCAACATGGCACATGTATACATATGTAACAAACCTGCACGTTGTGCACATGTACCCTAGAACTTAAAGCATAATAATAAAAATAAATAAATAAATAAAAAGAAGACAGCATGTAAAATTCCTGTCTAGACTGGATTCAGGTTTTGCTTGTTTGTTCTGTACCTCATTCAAGGTACATTGCAGTGACAGAGTGGAGACGCCTTTGCCGGCCTTTGCTCCTTTATAGCAAATGCGTCATGGGCAGATGTGGGCTGGCTAGAGACTGCCTTCTGATGACTTCACCAAGTGTCTCCAAGCCTGAACTCCCTCCGATTGTCCACATTCTTTCACCTCAGACATATGCTCAGTTCCCAATTTCACTTGTTAGAGCTTCACCCTCTTTACACTCGAGATTTGGATTCCTGTTGAAATTCTGACCTCCTTGGAGCAGATAGAAATTTAAATTCATATTCTTTAACAATCTTAGCATGACACCAAAAACAGGACATTAGAGGAATATGTAGCAAAGCAAGGAGCATTCGGGTACTGGAGCCACCTAATAGGGTGTCTGTCTCTTCATAGAGACCCAAGGAACCTTCAGGGGGTCTTGTTTTGTCCAAGTTGAGTGGCAAGCTTAAACAGCCAAGTCAGTGAAGGTAAAACAAAGGGCAGACCATCTGTGCTTGCAGACACAGCTAAACTAATGTGAGGGAGAAAATACGGGCAATTACTTAGACATTTTGGAGCCTCAAGCAATTCTTCCTCAATCAAGTGAATATATCAGGTTGTAGAGATTTTTGGACTTGAGGTTACTAGGAGAATTGCTTCAATTTGTCATTCTTTGTTCATGTGTAGACGGTGCTAATGATAACATGTTTGCCACTCACTTATCTCAGTGGAGACATAATTTTGTTTTATAGACTTTTCACACGACATCATGTTGATCAGTTAATAATTTATCAAGAACCTCTAGCCAAATATTAAAACAAATGTGCACCATAACATATCACTATATCTTTTCTTTGAACCATTCAGAGACACAGGCAGCAAGTCAAATTGCAAAACATCTGTGCTTCTTCATGGTCTTAATATAATGTGATTTTAACTTTCCATGCAATTAGAATGAAAACCATTCCAATTCAAAGGCATGAACCAATATGGTGCACCTATTAAGGTTTTAAAACATTCATTCTGTCAAATAGGGAAAAAAATTGGTTCCCTTTGAGATTTTCTCCATTAAACTAGTTTCCTAATTACTACATGCTATTTAAATAGCTTTGACTGCACTTTTTATCTCAAATGATACAGTTTAATTAGCCTGTAAAAACTTGTATGCCTCTAGTGAGAAAAAAATCTCACAACAAATCTAATCTATATCAGAGGACATAGATATTTATTAAAATATTTTTGGTAGCTACCATCATTCTTCTTTTCCCTCCTTATCACCCCAAACTCAATTCCATTCTGTTCTCTAAATACAAAGTATTATAATTAATAGTAATAGCAGTGTCAACTATAATTTATTAAGCATCTACTTGGTACCAGGCAGGTTATATGTATTATTTTACTTAATTTTTAATTGTAGTCTAAGATTATAAATATTATCCACATTTTATATATTAGAAAATGATATTGAATAGTAATTAGAAAGCTTTTTTCATTTGCTTAGTGTCCAAAGTGAGATTTAAACCCAGGTTTTCATCACCAAAGTTTGTGCTCTTAATCACAGGGCCTGTCCTAATCTTTGTTGGCCCTTCAAATATAATTTATACAATGTAATTATCTATTTATTTAGTTAATTAAACTGCTAATATAAGGTTAGAGAAAAATTTTTCTTTCTTTGTATTTTTTCAAATACACCCAAAACTAGAGAGAATAGTGTAATTAATCTCCATATATACCCAATTGTATATAATCTCCAACCTATCCCACTTGTTTAATTTTTCTCTGCATATCTTTTTCAGGAGTATTTAGGGCAAATTTAAGCCATCAGGTCATGCTATCCATGAATATGTCAGGATATATCTCTATCTGGAGACTTTTCCGACATAGCCACCACGTCATTATCACACTCAACAAAGTTATCATCTAACATCTAGTCTGCAGGGGTTAAGGTCCTGGTAGGAAACAGATGACATATTCAAAAGAGGTAATTGAAGATTTTTTAATAAAGGGACTATTTACAAAGGTGTGGCCAGGATAAAATGAAATCAACCAGAGATGGTGCAGTACCTGAAAGCTCATAATTATGAAAAGCTGTTACCACCCATGGAAGAAGCAAAGGGAAGACGCATGCTGGGACTTGGAGTCATTAGCCTGATAAGAGGAAAGGAGCTGGGAGAATAAACAATTTCATCATTCTCCTTTCACCCTCAGAGCTCCTGTTCCTCCCTCCAAATCTGAATCTAAAGGACAAGGAATGCCAGGTAATTTAGCTCAGGAGTTGCAAACTTTTTCTGTAAAGGGCCAGACCATTCATATTTTTAGTTTTGGGGCTGTATACAGTCTCTGTCCCATTTTCTTCTTCTTTTTTCTAATAACTTTTTAAAAATGTAAAAATCATTTTTAGCTCACAGGCTGTATGTAAACTGGCCACTGGGCAGATTTGGCCCACAGGCCATTATTGGCCAATCCTTTTTAGTTTGTAAAGACCAGCCTCCTGGGGCACAGAGAGAGTCAAGTAGGGTTTCAAGTGGTTCTGGAAGAGCAAGTGGAAAATACCCAGGCAGTCACAGACAAAGACAGCTCGTTCAAATGACGATCCCAGTGAGATCCACACATCACACTTAGTAGCTATGTCTATTTATTCTATAAACCTTCTCCCATCCTTTTGGATTAATGCTATTGATTTGTTGGAGAGACAAAGTCTTTTGTCCTGGAGAAAAAGATTTAGCTAACTGCTTCCTTGTTGTACCCTTCAAGGTGTTTCCCTACCTTTTCTGTAAACTGACACAAGGCTTAATTAGATTTAGATTCTAACTTCTAGGAAATAATTCAAAGTTGGTACTATATACTTCCAATTACATCATATCATGAGACGTGTAATGTTTCTTGGTGTCCCACTTTCAGTGATGCTAAGATTGATCAGTGGGCTCAGGCACTGTCAGCCTCATGTCTCCATGATCAAATTTCCTATTAATCTTGTATCTACTGTTTTACAACTTCCATTGATGAATATTTCCTAAACCCATTATTTAATGAGGTTTGTAAAATGGGGATATTTAAATTCTATTATTGCTTCTGCATTTATTAGCTAGGTTTCTTCTGTAAAGACTCTCCCTCATTAGCTATTTGTTTACCTTGAAATATAGTTCATATTGGAAATGGAGAATACATGCTTAATTTTTTTTCCTTTACCAATTTTAACTTAGTTCCCTAGAGATCCTCAACAGTGATCAATGAGATTTTAAGAAATATTATTTTGAATCTATGAGATTGTGTGTATACACACACACATATACACATATATATATATATACACAAACCCATAAATATAAAATGTTTACAACACACACACATATGGTATATCAATTTATTGCAAACATTATTCATTGTGTTTCTTACATTATTCCATCTTATATAAATGACACTTCTTTATGTTAGCTCCTGTGTCTTTTTGTTTGTGACTTAAAACAACAGAAATTGATATTCTCACAGTTTCTAAATCAACATGTTGGCACAGCTACACTACCTCCATAGGCTCTAGGGGAGATTTTTTCCTTGCCTTTCTCAGCTTCTGGTGGTGTCAGCATTCTTGGGCTTGTGGATGCCTTACTCAAGAGACTGTATAGGCTTCTGTCTTTACATGGCCTTCTCTTTTTCTATGTGTTCCCTTTTCTATGTATCTCTTGTCATATGGTCACCCATTACTGGATTTAGGGCCCACCAGATAATCCAGGATGAGCTTATCATAAGACCTTTAACTTAATTACATCTGCAAAGACCCTTTTTCCAAATAATATCACATTCAAAGGTTCTGGGGATTACGACATGGAAATTTTAGCAGGGGCACCATTCAACCCACTACAAATGTCTTTTTGTTATTTATTTTGTAATAATTGATCTATTAACAGAAAATGTGTTTTTGAGGACCATTAATGAGTTACAAACTACAATATCTTAAATGTCAGGGATATTGGTTGGCATTTTGTTTTATATCAACATTACCGATAGTAAAACTTTACTGGTGACCTATGACATATAAAATTATCAAATTGATGATAATAAAGCAACTACAAACTTGAGAAAAATTACATTATTTTTGCTAATAAAATTATTTGTTTTTTCTGCCACTGTGGTTCTGTATATGTTTAGGGAGGGAGGAAGAAAGGTCAAAGGTTAAAAATATAGTTGAATGCATTAAATAGTTTTAATTCCACTTGATAACAAAAACTTGAATCGGCTTGTCCAATTTTCAAGGATTCACGTTTTCTCTCTATTATAAATTTCCTAACCAAATGCTGTCCCACCTCTTTTATATAATAGAATGGCTTATCCATTCTGTAATAGCATAAAAGCGTTAGAAGACATAGAGGAAGCAGATGCGTTTTCTCTATATCTTTTCAAACAGAAAAAAACAGATAAAATGTTAAAATTTTTGTTTGAAACACATATGACTCCGCTTCAAAGAATCACCATTTCCAAGGGAGAAAACTTTTGAGTGCATTACAAGCATTCAGAAAGATGTTACATTGTCAAAAGCTGCATTTCATTCTCCAGTGTTATCATAATGACTGCAACGCAGACTCCTGTGTCCTTTTGATAGATTTCTTATCCCTGGAAAAGCAAGATAGCTTGGGCTCATTTTAGGCATTTCTTGCCCTACATCTGAAATCAGCTATTTCTCCCATCAAACCTTGTTCGTTTTAGTAGGAAATTGTATTTAGAGATGACGATGTGAGTGCTAGGGTTATTTATTCTAATGGGTTGTCATTGTTTTCTAGCCTTTATTTTCCTTAAAAGTAAGCAGTCTCTGTTTTTCTTATACTTGGGTGAACTTAAATCTCCTTTCTGTCATCTGCTTCTCTTATTATCCAGACTCTGTTGTCTAGTCTTTCATGCTTCTTCTAGTTTAGCCTTCATTCTGAATTGCTTTTTTTTTTCTCAATTTATTTCCCAAACCCTGACAGAACTTTTTCACATCTCCTGGATTTCAACCAGGTAATTTCTGAGATGTTCTGCTCCTTAGTTATGCTAAATTTTCATAGCTTCCATTCTGTTCTTAATTTATCTTAGCTCCTTTTGTAATATTAAGCTATAGTTTTCATCAGTTTTGTGGTCATACGTTTCTGATATGCTTCATTAATTGTTACTTTTAGATTCCTCTTTTTTTTCCATACAATGTCAGCTTTTTCATTTTCTCTTATTTCTTTAAGATGTCCTTTTTTCCCCCTTATTCTTTTAGAAGGAGATTCCTATGGAGAAAGGCTAAGGTAGTTTTCCTAGAGGAATGTCTCTAAGGCTCCCTCCTCTACCGTGACCTTGAAGTATTAAAAACTTCAGCTTCCCAGGTCAACAGGCCTGCTTCCCCTCACCTCTGCTCCTCTTAGTATTCAAGCCTTCTCTCCAGTTTCCACCATTGTTTCTACACAGCTCAATTTCTGTATGCATATCCATTTGTTCTCACAGTAAGAGTCTGTCTTTATAGAGGGGAAGATCTGGCCAGATAACTCTGTGGCTCCTGAGGATGTCAGCTGCCTAGAACCTTCTGATTTTCTCACAGGTGATTACTATGTGTTATTTGTACTCATCTGCACACTAGAGTCTGTGGGGCTTTACAACAGTTTATCAATGGGTTATTTCTAGGTTCTGAACTCAAGGGTTTCACTCCCGGTAAGGTCATCTCTTTTTAGGTATGAGCATTTGATGGCAATGTCTGTGTTTCGAAGCTTTTAGAACACCAAGACTCTCTCTTCTATCCTCTCTACTGCGTCTACAACTGGTAACCCTGTGCGTGTCCTGAGCAGGTTCTGCTGTTGATGGTGGTTTAGCTCTGACCATTTGTACTCTGGAGTTTTCAGGGCCTCAGGGAAACCCATTGTCATCTTATTTTTTTGAAGATGCCATCCTTTTTATTTTTATTTTAAATCTTGCTATTCTAGTTTATCTGTCTGTACTTGTGTTTCATGACAAAATTTGGGAATATTAAACAGTATGCTGCCATAATAATTTTGTTCCAGCTGAAAGTCTGAGGTCACTCCTAAAAACCTGACCTAACATGGTTAGGTTTGAAAGCATAAAAAATAACACAGGACCTTGCAGAATTGAACCTCGTGCCACATGGGGAAAAATTCAACTGGTTCTGGAATTAGCTTCCCACACCAGGCATGATTGTTTGCAGCTGTCATCAGTGCTTCAGGCAAAATAGCAAAGAAGGCACAGCTCGTCTCTGGCTGCCTTCCTCCTGCCTCACTCACATTGCACCTGGGCCAGTGGGCACAGGGGCTCGGGTCTTCTGAGCCTTGCCGTGAAGGGTCATTACTGGGCAGACCCTGTGGGGTATAGGCCATGCATTCAAAGTCAGGCAGGTACAAGAAAAGCTAGGGAGTTGGATAAAGGCAGAGGGATAGCATCTGTGAGCCCAGCCACAGGCGAAAGAGTTCACAGGCAGGGCCGGCAATTGCTTCCGAAGGCCAATTACCCAGAGTCAGAGCAAAGGAGGGCCCATGAGAGCTAGCTGTCCAGGCTGAGGCCACTCAGGCTCCCATTTGCTCCTGTCCTTGTTGCCCAGATCTGCTGCACTTAGAATGCTCGCTCAGTGTCTGTTACTCAGCAGGGCTATGATCTTGAGCTATACTGGGAAGCATAATGGAGCACCTTTTCTACCTGGAGCCGTAAAATCTGGTCATAACTTTTATCCTTGTCCATGGAACAGCCTTTCTTTCTGATTGCAATAATTATCTCACACATGGCACTGTTATGATTTGGAGATTCTCATGCTCAGTATCTGAAGGCAGATGAAAACCATTCCAAACAAATGTCCTTAACTACCTTTTCCTTTCCTCAAAGGGCTCCATCTCTGCATAATTCTTTTTGTCCCTGAAGTGTTGGAGAAAAAGGTGGGTCTGTATGGTAGATGCACTCTGAGAACAACCTTGTATGGCAGAATGTGTGTTCAGAGTTCTGAGCATGGCCAACCGGAGATTCATTCCTTATCTATGAAGAACATCTGAGCCCTGTCCCATCCTATGGAACATGGGCCTTATAAGGAATCAAGGCCCTTTGTTTTAGGTTAAATGGAAATTGCCAGGTAGAGGTTGCTAAGCCAAGGTGCAATATAAACTGCATGCTTTTTTCAGGCAGGGAGGTTCTCCTATCCAGCCTGTCACTAAACTGCTCTCTGCATGTAAGTTCCCCTCAGAATACCCTATGTCTTGTTTGGTGGCTCTGGGTCTATTCTTTGTCCTCTTAAACCTGGTGCCTTCCCTATTGAAATGAATACGGGTCTGGCATGACAAGGTCTCCTTCTCGTGATGACTAAAACCTCAAGTGTTCTGCAGAAAATATATCCAAGAGATAGATGCTCAATGGAAAAACAACAAAAATCCCAGCATTTACTAAATACTTAATTTTGCTAGGTCCCGCACCGGGAGCTTTATTCACATTATCTAATTTCATTTACACAACAAAGTTGTGTGGTGGGTCTATCGGTTAAGGTTTAGTTGTAGGTCACATAAGCCACCCATTTTAGGTAAGAAGGGATTTAATACAGGAAAATGAGGTGCCTACCATAATTATCAAGTGTTAGAGATGCAGGCTCTAGGCCAGTCTTCCAGAAAAATGCCAGGGAACTGACCATCCAACCAGGAACTTCTAACTCTGCCACAATCGAGAAGCTACTCTAAGGATTGCAGACTTCAGGATCCTTCTCTTTAGCTGTCATAGAGGAATCGGGAAGCTGCTGCTGAAACTTGGTCCCAGGAATACGCCTCACCACCCATGCCTTGGGGACCAGGCCAGGTGCCAAATGCGCAGGACCAAAGTGGATGTCTTAGGTGCTGCCTCCCCTCTCCTTACTAAACTCAGTTCCAAATGCCAGTCTGATTGGCAGAACCTAAATTACTGCAGCAACCCTTGCGAAAAGGGAGCTGGGAAAATGTAGCTTTTAGTTTTCTAGCCTCGGTCATACAGACAGGCACACTGGGAAGGCGATTGGTCACGTTCAGAGGAGGAAATGGAGCTGGGCAACAACCAGAAGAACTAGTCCCAGGAGTAGAACTGGAAGAGCCAGGATTTAATCCAGAGCTAAGCTGGAGTTTCCAACCACCTCACTCTTCCATCTGCCCTCAAAGGAATCTGTGGTCAAAGGTGTGAAAGGCCATTTTATGAACATGGTCAGAACTTCACTATCAACAAACATCTTTTCCTGACCATGCTGCCTTTTCAAGTGTTGATTCTACTCCATTATTTTCACTTCCACTAACTTCTTCATATGCAGGAGGAATTTTCTAGACCTCATAATTTATGAAAATTACTGCCCAGCTTTTGGTCTGCTGCATGTGGGTGGATAGACAGGTTCTTCATTTGACTGAATTATACTGGTGGCAAATTACATTGCTTTAATTCCTCATGGGAAAGTAATTATCTTTATTAGTACAAATTACGTTTAAGACAGGGAATAAAATGAAAACCCTGGTTCCTTCTATAAATGGACCTCAGGAAATTCTAATTGATATCAAAATGGCTCCAGGGAATTTATTGATTCCTTTGCTTCTTTACTTGCTTATTCATCAAACAAATGTTTATTAAGCATTTACTATGTGTCAAGAATACAATGGTATAGCAACATGCACCGTCCCTGCTTTCAAGGGACTTATAGTCTAGAGGAGAAAACCAACATTAAATAACTATGTGAAGAGGGTTAATGTAGGAGGAAATGGGTATTATAAGAATAACAGCAGAAAGGTGAGCACATTCTTCCCTAAAGGAGCTTCATCTCAGCTGCTACCTGGAGATGCATACAGGTTAGCCATGACGAAGAGGGAAGGGATGAGTGCTTAATCAGAAGGGGGCTGCCATGCTGAAGTCTTGGAAAGGAGAGAGAGCAGGGTGCATTTGAGATGGTGAATGAGGAACTGTGTGCTTGGAGTGTAGGGGCTAGAGGTAGGGAGTGGAGTGAACCAATATGAGCTGTAAAGTGGGGTGTTGGGGAAGTCATGTGCAGGATTATAGTTGATTGAACAGAACAAGAACTCTCCATTCCATTCAGTATGGTCAGTTGATGTTGCTGCTGGCTGAGCCAGATAGAAATACAGGTTGAAATAGTGAGCAATGAGGTTAGTGAGGTTAACAAGTCTGTATTAATAGAGAGTAGCAGATGCTACTGAAACATACATGCAATTTTAAGATCTTTTCTTTTTCAGTGCATACTCTACCTTTGTAACACAGAGGTAAAATTTTATAAAGATCCACTCTTTGCAAAAGCATTTTTCTAATGTCCAATGGATATTTAGAGCAACAATACAAAAATTATCATTTTTAAAAAACTTGCTCATATATTTCTGTATTCTAATAATCAGGCCTTCTCTGTTCAGTAGGGGATGGAGGTTTCTATTTTTAAATAATTATTTTTTTATCTTTCACATTTATTCGAAGATTCCCAGTATTATTCATGAAAGGCTGATTATTTCATAATAATTATTATTTAAAAATGAACGTTGTAATGGTAAATGGTAATATTTAACTACTACTTTTGGAGAAAAAAGTGTATGTTCCCCTTCTCTTACAGTTTTTGTTGTTGTTGTTGTTTATGAGATGGAGTCTCGCTCTGTCGCCCAGGCTGGAATGCAGTGGTGTGATCTCGGCTCACTGCAACTCTGCCTCTTGGGTTCAAGCGATTCTCCTGCCTCAGCCTCCCGAGTAGCTGGGACTACAGGCGCATGCCACCACGCCCGGCTAATTTTTTGTATTTTTAGTAAAGACGGGTTTTTACCCAAAGTTTTGAATTTAGGATAGCCTACTGTTGAAGAAGGTGCTGGTGACTGGGAATGTGATGGAGATGTCCCAGTTGTAAGCACAGAGGTAGATGGAGGGAGAATAGGCAGGCAGGTGGCATGAGGTCTTCAGAGAGTGTGGCAGCCCACACAGGATAGTAGCAAGGCAGCAGATGACATCTGCAAAGCTGATACAAAGCAAACATCTGTGGTGTTTCTGGGCCATGGACGGAGCCCAGGTCTACAATCCTGAGATTACTTATTTGACTCTCTGACTCTCAACAGTGTACAGAAGGCACCAGAGCAGGTTAGGAGACATTAAGGTCCATAACAAATTTACTTCCACGTATGTAGGAATGAAAGGAATGACTGTGAGTAGCAGGCAGGGGTGATACAAAACCAAACCATACTGGATATGAAGTTTGGGTGTTTTGTCCATTTCCACCTTCCATGGACTCAGTGAACTTTTGCTGCTTTCTCCTTTGTCCCAATTCACTCATTCTCTCTACGTATCTAGGTGCAAGGCACTATAGTAAGTATTGAGTCATCAACAATTCATTAAATCATTTGACAATTATTTATTGAATATCTATTATATGCCCACAATGTTCTACACACTGGTGAATAAGACAGAAGATTCTGTATTCATGGAATTTATATTCTGATGGAGGAGAAAAATAAGCATATACACAATGGGTATTTGAAAGTAATGTAGAAAAAGCACTAAATAGAGAACTTTAGGTCAGGCAATGAAATAGTAACATGGTGACTACTTTAGTTTGAGTTGTAGGGAGGGCTTCCTGGAGGCAATGAACCCTGTGCTGAGATCTGAAATAGTAAGTCCTTGGAAGATCAGGGAGCAGAGGATTTCACACATAGGAACAGCTAGTATAAAGCTCTGTATCAGGAAAGGTTTTGGCATGCTCAAGGAAAATGTGAGCCTTTGTAGCCGGAACACAGTGAGGGGGAGAGAGAACAACAAAGATTGGAGAGGCAGGGAGAGACATTTGGGGTCTCATAGGCAAGGGAACAACACTTGACTTTAAGTGCATTGGAAAGCCACTGGGAATTTCTTTATCCTGTCTGCCTATTTATCAATCATCTATCTGTCTATCTATCATTGCCATAGAATACATTGAAATGTATTGTTTGTTTGCTATCGCATAGATGATATGTTATTGCAGATGTCATTCTGAACCTTGCTTTTTTCACTTCACAATATGCCTTAGAAGCTAAGCTGCTCTGGGGATTTTTAAGCAGAGAAATGATATAATCTGATTTACAATTTAAAAAAAAAAACATGAGCAGGTTAGGAGACATTATGGAGGAAATGTGCTATGGGGGAAATGCATGGTATAGGAATAAGATTGCATGGAATGTGAACAAGGGAGAATGAGGAAGTGGAACCCTGCCCTCAAGAAGCTCAGTCTTTCTCTTTTCCCTTCTTCTCAGCACGTTCATTCTCGGTGTCAGTGTCAGTCTAGTTGCCTGCGTAGCTGTCATGGGTCTCCCACACTAACTGTAAGATCCCTGGGGGCCAAGTCAGTGTCTTTCTTGTTCATCTCAGTGTCTCCAGCACCTACCAAGTTACCTGATTTTTCTATAGGTGCTCAATCAACACTTGCTGGAGGGATGAATTAGCAAAACTAGGTAGTTTTGCTAACAAATCGTCTTACCCCAAATAGCATGACTTTATTCCGCTGCTTAGTCAGTGTTTGTGATGAAATGTCTAATGTGAGATGTCTCAGAGAGATACCTTTATGTGACAATAAAATGAAGAGCAGTATTCAGATTTTTGCATCATGTTTTCAGGATGATGGACAACAATCTGGGTGGTGAAAGGCACAAAAACTAATCCATATAAAATGGCTAAGAATATGAAGGACGTTGGTGCTGGCGAGCATAAGACTCAGGGGAGCATGACAGCTGCCTTTGAATACATAAGGAACTGTCACATAGAAGAGAGAGCATGCTTATTTTATCTCATTCCTGGGGAAGAAGAAGGAGTAAGATGTGTCCATCTCAAATAAAGAAAAATAATTTTCTACAGTTATCCAGGAATAAAATAGGTTCCCTGGTGAAGTAATGAGCACATTGTCACCAGAGATACTCAAATACTGCAACAGACATTATGCTAAGGACTTTCCCAACATGACCTCTTTTAATTTTTATAACAACTCTATGTGGTAGCAATGATTGATTTTTAGATGAGAAGTTTCAGGCTTAGAGAAGCTAAGTGACTTTTATAAGGGCATATAATTAGTAAATGGAGGAACAAGGAGTGGGCCCAGGTCTCTCTGACGGAATCCTTTGTTTTTCACCATATTAGGTGCCGGCATGCCCAGGAAATTTCCAGACCATGGCCTCTATCTCTGTTCTCTCTCAGGCCTAGGTTACAACATTTAATTCCCCTCCATTACCAAGAAGGAGGAGTGGCACTTAAATGCAAGGATATTTACTGGCCAATGTTTGTAGGTGCTAAAAGCTGGATGCAATGGGAAAAGTCCTTCTGTTTCTTCCCTCTCTAAAGCTGAATGGAGGGAGATCTGGGGCAGCTCTTCCTGAGAGAAGCACCAGCCATTTCTCTCTCTCTTTGGCCTCCTCTAGTCCTTTCTAATTCTTGCTTCTACAAGACAGGTCCCCAGGTTGGTCTCTGCTGGCCCTGTCAAGAGTGCCAGGGCTGGGTCTGTGTCCTTTAGGGATCTCACAGGGAGACGGCTGCTTAATAGCAGGTCTCAGATACTCCTTGGTTCCTAGTCCAAAGTCATCCCCATCTTACCCCCACATCCAGACACACCCTGCATCCTCTGACAGTTAAGTTTCTTCTAACAGTTTGGCTTTCTAATATTCTTTTGATATAAGATGATTTCTATTGAGAATTCAGAAAGGGAGAGTGACAGGAAAGATTACTGTTTGTTGCTTTGTTTTGTTTTACTATATTCATGTTTGTGGAATTATTGAATGAGAGGAAGTTTTTTTTTTCTAATTCTTTGGGGTTCTTAGTTTTGTTTATTGGCCTCTGTGAAGGAGAATGTAAGGCTTGTGATCTCCACAAAGCCAAGGAGTAGTCGTATTTGGATTTCTGATAAAGTAATGATCTGAAAAGCCTATCTAATATCCTTGCATGATTGATGAGTTGTTGACAAGCTGGCACAGTGTCCTTCCTTTTCTTATACTGTCCAGAGCCCTACGTGGGCAGTACTGGTGGAAAACCCAACAGAGAGGTGCTTCACTCATGGGCACCAGAAAGGATAATCCCTCTAGCTCATGTAGATGGATCACCTGAGGTCAGGAGTTTGAGACCAGCCTGGCCAACATGGAGAAACCACGTCTCTACTAAAAATACAAAAATTAGCTGGGTGTAGTGGCATGTGCCTATAATCCCAGCTACTTGGGGGGCTGAGGTAGGAGGCACTTCAACCTGGAGGCGGAGGTTGCAGTGAGCTGAGATCACACCACTGTACTCCAGGCTAGGAGACAGAGCAAGACTCCGTCTCAGAAAAAAAAAAAAAAAGAAAATAAAAGAAAATGAAAGAACCAGTTTCCCTCAGTCTAGAAAGAGCCCAGGGCAGCATATGACATTGTAAATGCTACTCATTTATATACCAATATATTAGATTATCTTAAGGAGCAAGACATATTTTTTTCCTCAAGGGAAAGAGAACATTTGAAAAGGAGACATATGGATTATTATGCGGATGAGATCAGGGAAAGAGAATATAATCAGCATTTATTGAATGGCTATTCTTCATAAGGTATTTCATGTGTTTGGACAAGTTCATCCCTCCACCAAACAACCCTGTAAGGATATATTATTTCTTTACTCACCAAATGGTTAATGAACCTCAACTATATGTTAGGCTTCCACCGAGAATACAGTTGTTAACAAACCCCATGAATTTCCTTCTCTCCAAAAGCTTACCTTCTTAAGGATATAATGATAATGCTAACGTTTATTAAATAAACATAATACAGCTTCTTTTCTATGTGTTTTACATGCATTATTTCACTTAATTATTTTAAAACCTCACAAGGGAAGGAGTATTATCAGTCCCCAGTTTACATCTGAGGAAACTAAGGCACAGACAGGAGAATTAGCTTGCCCTGTTCACATAGCTAGTAAACAACAGAACTCACATTCCAGCCTAACCCAAGGGGTCTAGTATCAGAGCTTGTGCATCGAACTGTAAACACCACTGTCTCTACAGCATGAAGACAGTGCAGATGAAGAGGGTGGATCTCATATGGTCAATGACTGGCTAAGGTGGGACTTGAGCCCTGTCTGACTTCAAAACCCAAGTTCTTTCATCAGGTTATGAATAGTTGTAGAAATACTGACTCACTGGAGCCAGATCAGATTGAGTTGGAATTAATTTCTGTTTATATTAGTAAAGCTCTTCTATAAAGTTAACAAAGAACAACACACAATTTGAGGAACACTTATTTTATAGTAAAATGTTTTGAAACTGCACATAATTATAATAATGTATCTTTACCCCTCCCTCCCTCCCTTCCTTCCTTCCCTCCTGCCTCCCTACCCTGCTTCCCTCCCTCCCTCCCTCCTTCTCTCCCTCCCTTCCTTCCTTCTTCCCAGTTTGTGTTGACTGCGCTTCAACTATCTCAGACAGTGCTAAATGCTACATTCATAATGCAGATTCAAAGTTTCTTTAGAACTGTGTTTTTTTGTTATCAAATGTTGTATAAGCAGATAATAACGTTTTTCACTATTCAGTGATTTAGTTAATATGTATTAAGCTTGAAACATTTTCTAGCACATTCAGAGAAGATAATTCTGTTTCCACCAATGGCAGTTATTTTTAAGTTGGCAAATGTTACTTCACCCTGTCTTTTTCTATCTCTTGGATGTTTTAGAATGCTTACAAGTCAGCACAACTTGGGTTGCTTTTCTTTTTTATTCTCAGAGAGGTTTTACCCTAGAGGGAAGGGCAGGGCCAGGCATTCCGGAGCTGGGATTTCCAGTGTATGTTTCTTCAGCTGGTCCTGTCGCTGATGAGTGTGGAGCAGCAGAGCGGCCAGCCTGAATCAAGGGTCTACTGTATTTTAGCTCTTATTGTATTTGCACACTCAAGTAGACTGATCAATGGAGAGGGTCTCTCATCCAGCATGGGGGTGGGGTGAATTGGAAAAACAAAGACCCATGAAGTGAAGATGGAATGATGCTCTTACATTGTGAACCTATATTTATTGAGAGCTGAGTGTGAGGCACTGTCTATGAGGCATTTCCTCACAGACAAGGAAGCATCTCTGTTGTGGCATCAGCAATCCCAGAGAGGAGAAAAGCCACGAACACATAATGTCATGTAAGAATGCGAGGAAGGTTTGGTGAGCATACCCCACTCACTCTACTAGCACTTCCGGGAAGATCTGAAATAGCATGAGGATTCTCATCACAGACTTGCATTGACAACTTTAATCAACATAAAACAACATCAGTCCCACAGCTGTTACATATGACTTCCCAGACCTGTGAGGATTTCCCATCTTGCTCAGGATGGCTGAGAACCTGGAAAGTTCTTCCACTCTCATGTCTGTCCCTGAGGTGTGCCTTTCTGAGGACCTTGCTATGATTTTCCCCTCCGTCTGGAAACCCACAGCTACTCAGAGTGGTCATCTGTCTGAGCCACTTGTAATAGGTCACACCACCTACTCACAAATTCTACAGATCAGACACAGAAGACAAGTTGGCCACATATCAGGAGAACACAAAAATGGAATTTTATTTTATAACTATGAGTACTTTTCCTAAATCTGAGCCCTCAGGTCTGCCTAGAGCAAATAACTTATTTTATGCTATTTATGTACCTTCAATCCAGTTAAGTGCATTTATCCAGTCTAATTAGGCTACTGCTGTTATAACTCAGTCATTGTTCAGGTTCCCCAAGACCAGTTCATCTCTTTCTCAGTCACTATTCAGGTCAAAGCTCTCTCTGTGTGAGCTTGCCCTCCTCCTCCCCATTCTGAGCTGCACAGAAGCCAATCCATGGCTGCAGTAAGTCCAGGCAAAGCCATGCTAGGGCTGGTTGGGACTTGGTAATGAAACATGGAACCTACAGGAGAGGAAGGAGTCAGAAGTGGCACTTAGACTTGTATCCCGTGTGGTCTGGGAAATGATGTTTCCATTAATAAACACAAAAGGAAGGCATGGAAAACACATAGGAGAGAAAAAGAGCTGGTTTATAAAATGGAAACATACAATATGTTCATTTTGGGGCATAGTGAGTTTCAAGTATGGGCCAGACACTCTGGTAGAACAGCAGGTCTGAACGTCAGAAAAAGATGGGAAATACAGATTTGGATGCCTCTGCATAAAGGGGTGGGTGGATGCTATTGGAGTTGAGGAGATCATAGAGAAGATGAGAAAGTCAAGTGAAACCTGTGAGTGGCACCCCCATTGGGGAAGGAAGGAAGGATTGGAGGGGCACAGGAGGCACCAGGGTTGCACTAGGCCACTGAAGACAGGGGAGAGAATTTCAGAATGTCCAGACCAATTGTTAAAGTGGACATTGTGGTATGAATTGAGTGGAAGAACAAAGAAGCTACTACAAAATCCACGTAAATGAACAACAGCAAAGAGAGTCTGGAAAGACACTTGTGACATAGATGTCTCTGTGTGTATCCACATAGATTATATGGCCACAAACAAAGTGAACCTGAAGTAACCACGCAGATGGAAATAAAGAGTGACACAAGCCCACAGGCCTGTCATTAAGGCTTGGTGTGATGGTCCACATGCCCGGGACATGGCCAGGAAGAGGACACTTTGTTCAGAAGAGCTACAGCTCATGGACAGGACAAGGAAGACGACAACAAAGACAGAAGATTTACCCTGATATATGAGCACAGATCTCAAGGTTGAAGATTCATAGAGAGCATTTAGAAAGGATAAAAACATCCTGTAATGCAGAGGTATGACTGCCATAGAATGATTCTATAGAAGGCCTGGTTAGAAGAAACAGAAACACAGAGACAATGATTTGCTTGTATATGCCACAGATCTGGCATACTGTAAGATATCATGAGGGGTAGGCAGAAGGGTTTCAATTCTGTTGACCTCTGCTCCTACATTTAGCTTATTAAAAATTTATTTAGCTAGTTTATTAGGGATGGACAGGAGAATTGCGTAGGCGAATAGGAAGTATCATTTGGGTTTGATGTGGGGTGGAGTGTTTAGGGGGTTAGCTAGGGTATAGTTGTCTGGGTCACTTAGGAGGTCTGGTGAGAATAGTACTAGTGTTATTAGGGTGAGAAGAGAAAGGAATAGGACCTGAAAATTTCACTTCTTAGAGACAGAGAAATAAGTTTAAGTTACTCTTAGTCTGAGTTTAACTCCTACCCACAAAGCTTTCATTGGCTGGTCAACCTCCCTTTGGCAATTACCTCTCCCCATCTCAGTCCACGCAGTTTAAGTATCCTGGTCCCTCTTCCTGGATCTTGGTTGGGCCCGTTAGAACTGATCTTGAGACATTTGCTGGAATGATCTGTGACGAGAAACCCTCACTTTCTGCAGGACTTAGAACTCTGTGTATTATCACCTTTGAAAAATCTGCCTGGGAATGAATTCAATGTAGAAAAGCAGACCTTAGATGCAGACATATTTCTGATCACGTAATTTGAACATGTTGATCAAGCCTTCATTTCACAAACCATAAAGTAGCTGGGATTTTTCAATTAAATGAGTCAATAAATATTTTTCTACTAAGGCCAGTTTGAATGACTATTCTTGTTATTTGTAAATGAATGACACCTAAATATTATAACTTTTTACTTGGTCTTCCTGATTTCAATTTTCTACCCCATCTTCTACTACAAGGTTGCCAGTGGTTTCTTCCTAAATCATAACTGTGACAACATCATTGCCTTACTTAAACACCTCTCCAGACTTCTCAATAACTACTGAATCAAGGTCAGGCTTTCTTAGATGTTATATAAAGTCTGTTATCATCTGGTCTCAGACTCCTCATCTCTTGGCACTTCCTTCCACCTCTTAAATTCTAGTTTAAATGACTTTACTCTTTCATTTTGAAAAGTTTTATTGTTTTTGTAAACTCATTTGTTTCATCATGTTATTTTGATATTTTATTTTGGTAGTTTGTTTTAGCCTATAGTTTGTAATTTTGTATTGTGTGCTCATTTTCAGCAGGGGTGTTTTTCTCTGTGAGAGCCCCATATAAGCTGGGGCTTCCTTCAAAATATGCTTCCATATATATGCTTCCTTCAAAATAGTTGTATGTTGGCTTCTGCCAGTGTTTTGGGGGATTTCAGCCTAGGACAAGCTTTTATGCTAACTTATTTGCTTGGGGGTATGGCACAATGAGGAGGATTATCAGTTTGCACTGCACCTATTCATGACACCCAGAATTCTCCTTGGGGATGACTCTTTTCCACCTGTGCACTGTCTTGGTGGGCAGAAAGTTTTCTTTTTCCTTCCTTTGGCTGGTGGGTAGAGTTTTATTAGTTTTCTTTTCACAGTCAGGGAAGCCCTTTGAGGCTCAGGTTTTATGAAGGGGTTTCTGTCCAAGATCCTCTCCACTTGGGTGGGCCCAAGGCCATGTTCCCTGTTCTTTCTTAGGTATTAAAGCCCTAGACCTCATTCCCTAGGGCAAATAATGTTTGTTTACTACCCCTAGAGCTGTAGCAGTGTCAGAGCCTCTTAATTCTCCAGCTTTGAGCTCCTTCATTTTTGGCACACGGAGTTCTCTTTCTTTTTTTAAAACATGACTATTCCTTTGAAGTTTTTTTTTTTTCCTGGAGTTTGCACATTTGACTATTAGTCATTTTTTTTTTTCAATTTGTTTGCAGCTGGAGGAGGATTCTGACTTGTAAGTTCTTTTTGCCATATCCCACATCTTTAGCCAGGTCATATTGCTCACCATTTCCTTAATGTGCTATTGCAACTATTTATTCATTTATTCCACCAATGTTTCTTGTGTGTGTAGTTTCAGTGCACTGTTCTAGATAATGCAACATTGAAAAAAAGACAAAAAGATTTCTGAGCTCATGAAGCTTACCTTCAGACAGCAGGATACAGATAAGTAATAAATATAATAAATAAGTAAATTACATAGTGTGTTGGAAGATAGTGAGTCATATGGAAAAATATAAAAAGCAGACCATAGTAAGGTATATCCAGGCTGGGGGTAGAGGCAAGTTGAACTATTAAGAAGGGTGGCCAGTGTAGTATCCATTGAGAAGGTATTTTTGAGGTAATTGTGATATTTGAATGAAGACTTGAAGGAGCTGACCTACTGTCTGTCATATATATCATTTACTCTACCGTAACCAAAGTGGTAGCCCTAGGAGAATCTGCACGAGTGAATGTGCTGTAGAGGTAGAACTGTCAGGATTTGCCAGTGAAGAAATGGGGACAGTCTAGAATGCATGAGAGGTAAAAAAATTGATGTTGTTACAAGTGAGATAGGAGATGGAGGAAGTTGATCTCGTTCTAAGGGAAAGATAATGAGCTCCTTGATTCTTCAGGGAAAGCAAAGTTTATCCTGGAACTTCGGTCATAAAGGCAATTCTGTAGGTGTTCTTCATGTAGAGTACAATAATTTATGTGTGGGATATGTCTTCAATTTTTTTCAATCAATGTATAGTAGGTTTTTAAATAGATTGCCTCCTGTATAAGATGAAAATATGATAGAAATGATGTTAATGTAATTTTGCAAGGGTCCAAAACCATGTCATTCAAGTAATTTGCCTTTGGATTAGCACTCTTGATCTAG
Organism: Homo sapiens; assembly: GCF_000001405.40. Taxonomy (NCBI): domain Eukaryota; kingdom Metazoa; phylum Chordata; class Mammalia; order Primates; family Hominidae; genus Homo; species Homo sapiens. The sequence continues at coordinate 110,879,628 of NC_000011.10, forward strand.
AGATTAATTTAAGAGTACTTAGGCTTTAGACCCGGCTGTATAGAGTGACTTCAGTTATGTCAACTAATGTTGCTCTGATTTCCTCCCATTCTTCTTTTACCATCATTTAACTTTCCACCTGGTTGTCTCTCTGGAGCCCCATTGGCTAAGTATTATCCATTTTCACATAGCAACCTTTAAGTATTTGAAGTAGTTACCATAATTCCCCCAGTCTTTTCTTCTCCTGTGTAAATGATCCTAGTCCTTTCAACTGTTCTTAATATGAACCATGTCATGTTTTTCAGAGCCATCCCCAGCCCCACCACACTGTGCACCTTCTTGTAAAGACATTCCATTGTGTCAATGTTTGTCTTAAATCTCCAAGTTGTGGTCTGACAACACAGAATACAGTGTTTATATTGCTATTAATAGACTAATGCAGTCCAAGATTATATTAATGTTTCAATTAACATTAACATATCATTTTCACATGAACAGCTACTGTATCTGTGTCTGCTATCCTATTAACAGTGAAGAAGTTTAGAACTAAGGACAGAATTCTTTCATCTACTACGAGAAGCCTCCAAACACTTTGTGGATATAGTTGTTCAATAAGCAATGTATCTTCCAAACCTCCCTATTATTCAGGTCACATTTCTTTATCTTGATTGCAAAAATATATGAAAGACTTTCTCAAATGCTTCAGCTAATCAAGAAACATTATGTCATTCCCTCAATCTATTGGAATCGTTTCAACAACACAAATAGAACAATTTTCTGAGACCCTTTCTTCATAATCCATGCTGACTTCATGGAACAATTCTTTCTTTTCTAAAAGCTCACATACCACATACTTTAAAATTTATTCTAGATTTGGATTCAAATTGATGTCATATTGAATGATCTATAGTTTTTGGAATTTATTTCTCTTCTTTTTGTGACTTCTAAAATAAAATTGTCTATGTCTCACCATTGTCCATTACCACTGGCGCAGGGGGAAGAACAATGCACCAGCAATCAAGAGGTCATGGTTTCAGACCAGATTTGCTCTTAGCTAGTTGTGTAACCTTGAGCAACTTGCTTGACTTGTTTGTAAAAATTAAGGGTTTGGGCCAGGCATCATGGCTTATGCCTGTAATCCTAGCACTTTGGGAGGCTGAGGCAGGCAGATCACTTGAGGCCAGGAGTTCAAGACCAGCCTGGCCAACATGGCTAAACTCCCCATCTCTACTAAAAATACAAACATTAGCTTGGCATGGTGGTGCGTGCCTGTAATCCCAGCTACTAGGGAGGGTGAGGCAAGAGAATCACTTGAATCCAGGAAGCGAAGGTTGGAGTGAGCCAAGATTGCACCAGTGCAACTCCAGTCTGGGTGACAGAGAGAAACTCTGTCTTGAAACAACAATGACAACAACAAAAATTCACACACATTAAGGATTTGGACTATGACCTCTAAGTGCTTCCTGCTCAGTTTCTTTAATATGTTTTTCCTTTTGCTAACATACTACCCATATTCTTCTGACTTCAATATACAGTGTTAGAGTGAATTGCTTCACCTTACTAATAACAGATGTGCCACACTATAAGGCAGTCAATATCCAGGTTTACTGGATTCCTCTCATTCTTTTTCTTAAAACAAAATGTTATGGAAATATAACTCACATATCATAAAATTCACCCATGTTAAGTATACCATTCAATAGTTTTTGGTATTGTCACAGAGTTGTGTAATAAGAACCACAAGCCAAGTTTAGATCACTTTCAACTCTTGTTCTTTATTGAACTTGAACATAGTTCACTCAGAAGCCCATGTGTGCTGGAGTGATAGACTAAGATTCCGGGTTCAAAATCTTCTTTCAATTGTTTCTCCCATCCTAGGTTGGGTTGCCTCATTCAGAAGCACAGCTGGCACTTAGAACAGCTCTGGCTTACTTCATATGAATGAAAGCTTTTGGAAATGCCTACCAGCCTCTTCATGGGTCTACTGAATTCTTATTTGTTATATTTTCCCAAGATGATATAAATTACATGACTGTTGCAGTAGCCTAAAGAAATGGAAACTTCCTCAATGATCTAGAACTAGAAATACCATTTGACCCAGCCATCCTATTACTGGATATATACCCAAAGGATTATAAATCATGCTGCTATAAAGACACATGCTCACGTATGTTTATTGCAGCACTATTCACGATAGCAAAGACTTGGAACCAACCCAAATGTCCATCAATGATAGACTGGATTAAGAAAATGTGGCACATATACACCATGGAATACTATGCAGCCATAAAAAGGGATGAGTTCATGTCCTTTGTAGGGACATGGATGAAGCTGGAAACCATCATTCTGAGCAAACTGTTGCAAGGACAGAAAAGCAAACACTGCATGTTCTCACTCATAGGTGGGAATTGAACAATTGAACTTGGACACAGGATGGGGAACATCACACACTGGGGTCTGTTGTGGGGTAGGGAGAGGGGGGAGGGATAGCATTAGAGATATACCTAATGCAAATGACGAGTTAATGGGTGCAGCACACCAACATGGCACATGTATACGTATATAACAAACCTGAACGTTGTGCACATGTACCCTAGAACTTAAAGTATAATAATAATAAATAAATTTTAAAAAAAGAAAAAAAAAGAAATGGAATCTTGGTAGCATAACCACTTTCCCTCAATCTTCAAATGAAACACACTTAAGTCTCTCAATTTATGAACAAATATTTCTTGAACCTACTACATACCAGGTTCTGGAGATTTATAGGTGAATAGGATGGGCAATGGTCAGATGTTGTAACACTGACAGTCTGATGGGGGAAGACAAGTAGGAAATAATGATAAAACAATATAATTTCAGATAGAGATAAGCATTGTGAAGTACATTAAACAAGGGGGCATAAGTTACTGAACAAGTGTCATTCAATTATAGAGTTCAGAAACATTTTCATATCCATTATCTCAGTCGGTCTTTACAACCTCTGCAACATATAAAGGGCATATTTTATTAGAATTCCCATTTGAAAGATGAAAAACTGAGGTGCAAAAATAATTGAGTAACTCAAAGAAAGTCATACAGCTAGTGACTGAGAGAGCCAGGATTTGCTTCCAGTTGTCTGATTCCAAACCAGGGTGCTTTCCACCATGTTATTCAGAAAACAGAAATGGCTGTGCAAATTATGGTGTGTCTATCTCATGGAATATCATGTCATCATTAGAAGCGATGATTATGGAGACTCATGCTTATGATATAACATTAGGGTAAAATACAAAATACAAAATTACATATGTAACATGTAAAAATAAAAATGCCTATGTGGATGAGGACTGGAAAGTGATACACAGACTTGAAAACAGTGTTTGCACTAGGGGTGTCTCATTTTCTGGTTTTCCTAAATTTTAATTAAAATCATAGTTTGCTCCCAAGATAAAATGAAAATAGTGGGTGAAAATTATTTTGGTAATTTGACAACAGCACATACTAGTAAATTGTAGTTTCTTCAAAGGTCAACTATATACAAAATACATGCATACACACACACACACACACACACACACACATACACATATATATAGTCACCATAACAGTTGTAGGAGTAACAAAAACATATGTTGAAAATGAAGTTCGTAGAAGGAAAAGGATCAGTTACCTGACCTTTAAAAGGAGAGAGCTTAGGAAAGGCCAGTCTCATGATAGAGAAATCACCTAAATCAGAAAGGAAACACTGAAAGGCTGTCTTCTATCTTGCAAGCAAAGGAATACGAATGGGAGAGCCTGTCGGTGCATGGAATATGCCTGTCTCTTGAGAAACACTAGAGGCTACTCAATTGCTCTGAGTCCATAGAACAAAAGACTTTTCAACTAATGACTCCCAGCTGGCCTCACTGGCAAAACTGAGTGTAATGTGTAAGTCAGAGTTTGGACAGGACACAAATAATGGCACACACATTGAGTAATTTGCAGAGCCTTGAATAGAAGGACCGTGTTCAAAGGTGGGGTATACATAGGGAAACCCCAGAAAGTGGATGCTGCAGTAGCCTGAGGCTAGTCACAATGGGACCTGGCTATCACCCCCAGGCTGAAGGGCCAGGAGTCTGTGAGGAGAAGGCTGCCCTGCAGAAGGAGATGTGAACTATGCCCTCCCCAGGAAGGAGTTGAGGGATTAAATAACTTCGCTTCCCACCCCTGTCAGCTTCCTCTCTCTTACCAATGTTTCCTGATGGGGGAACTCTACAGGAAGCAAGAGGGAAAGAGAGCTCTTTGGCGAAATCCTTGCAGGTCAGTCTTCCAGGGCGCAGAACAGGATGGAACAGCAGGGAGAGTGGATTGGAGGGAGCATAGGAAAGGTGGCAGTGCAAAGGAAGTTGTATCTTTTTTATTTTTTTCTTGAGATGGAGTATCACTCTGTCACCTAGGCTGGAGTGCAGCAGTGAAGGAAGTTGTATCTTTTTTTTTTTTCTTGAGATGGAGTCTCACTTTGTCACCCAGGCTGGAGTGCGGTGGCATGATCTCAGCTCACTGCAACCTCCACCTCCCAGGTTCAAGGGATTTTCTTGCCTCAGAGAAGCTGGGACTACAGGGCATGCACCACCACGCCCAGCTGATATATATATACAGAGAGAGAGAGAGAGAGAGAGAGAGAGAGAGAGAGAGAGAGAGAGAGAGAGACAGGGCTTCATCATGTTGCCCAGGCTTGTCTCAAACTCCTATGCTCTAGCAATCTGACCGCCTTGGCCTCCCAAAGTGCTGGGATTACAGGTGTGAGCCACCACAGCTGGCCAGAAATTGTATGTTGGCTCATCCTGTCTTCACAAATGCTCTCTTCCTCCACTTCCCCCTACTTCCCACTCCTAGGTCCTTGGTGGTGCAGAAGGAAAAGCAAGAATGGCAATGGTCTAGAGTCCAATACTCAAAAGAGTCAAAATCTCCTAGTCCTTTAACATGTAAGGGACTTCATTTTGAATCTGTCAACTTCATGGGCTAGTAAAGAGCCCGGCACTGGAGCCAGATGATCTGAGTTCAAATCTTGCCTCTGCAACTTACTATGTGACTCTGTGGCAACATTTGTTTTCTTTTTTTTTCACCTGTCATTTAATTTCACTTTATAAAAAGTGCTTGAAGAGTAAATAACAAGTATTCACAGTTTGTGTCTGTAAATGGGGATTACAGAATTTATGTCTTGATTTTGTTGTGAGAATCAAGTTAAAACATACGAAAGGGCTTCAAAGATTATAGAGCACTATATAAAGACACCAATACCGTATGTTTTTCTACTTTCTTTTGTATCCCTTCCTCTCTCCTTTCCTCTTTCATCCATTGGGAAATAATTCTTGAGCTGACCTGGGCACTGAGGAGCCAGTGAGCTACAAGAAAATAAGATCCTTACTTTCCTGGAACTCACATCCAATATGGGGATACACAGATGATCAGCAAACAACCAAACCAATGTAGAGGTGGTGCCCAGCGGTGATAGGTGCCATGAAGAAATCAGAATAAGGAACTGGGTTAGAAAGTGATTGTGAGCACTTCAGTATGGAAAAGACTTAGTGTGGTCAGGGTCCGTCTGCCAGTGGGAGAGATTTGAGCTGAGATAGGAAGGATAAGGAAGATTCCGACACAGGAAGACTGATGGCTGTGGGGGTATGGAATGGGTGTGCGGAAGGATTTAGGCCAAAAGAACAGAAGTACAAAGGTTCTAACACAGGAGCAAACTTGCTGTGTTCAGGGAACAGGGAGGAGGCCAGTGTCTTTGGAGCCTGGTAAGGGATGAGGTTGGAGATGTGGTCAGGAACCTCAATTGTAAGGTGGTAAGTAAAGGCATTTCATTGTCTGAATTCATTTTTTAAATTGTGGTTCAGTGCTGTCAAAGCGGGTTTGAGGATTGAGATGGCACAGGGAAGGCATCTAGCACTGGAAATGCGATCGCTGTTTTGACGAGAGAGCCAATGCGGAGAGCTGAGACAATAGGTGATGTGCTGCCCAAGCAGGGGGCACTGGAACCAGGCCTTGAAAAAGGGGAAAGTGACATATGCAGAAAGTTGGAGGCAGAACATCATCTGCAGGAAATGGGGAACACCTGGACACCATGGTGGGAAAGCATAGAACGTTTTTGCAGAACAGAGAGAAAAACAATCAGGTCATCAGCATTGAAGGCAGATGCTTGGAGTTGGTTCTCAGATCCAGGCAGCAGGTTTGCATGGCTGGGTCTTACAGCCAGGCCCCAACCCAGTCTTATTGTCCGTGGGTATAGTGGTCACTAGGTTTGGCACTGAAATCTTAGGCTCTGGGACAGAGTGTGGCTATGTGTCCACTGGGTCTCTTGACTTATCTCTTGCACCCTCAGTTGATCCCCAGAACACCAGTCACCATCTAGAAAAGGACAAATCATCACACTTTCATTCAATCAATAAGGATATTAACTTATGTCACATGGCAGAAAAAGTCTTAGAATTCAAGCCTGACTCTGTCCTGTATTTAGCTTTGTGACCTTTTATAAACCACTTAAGTCTCAGTTTCTTCAGTTGTAAAGTGGAGACAACATTAGTTACTTCCCGGGACTGTTGGAAGAACTCAATGACTAATGTATAAAAAGCTATATTTTAATTTCCATTCTCTCTACCTCCACCCTTCTGTGACCATTGTTTATCACCTATAAGTAGATTTTGAAGCTTTGGATATCCTGTAATTGTCAGTAAAAGCAGCAATGCCAGAGAAGGTGAAGCATCCAAGCGGGTTTCCTCTGAATTAAACCTGGCCAGCAAAATAAGCTCCTCCATCTGATATCCTTCCTGCCAGGTCAGATATCCAAAAGCAATGTGCTTATTCTCCAAGGCAACAGCAGATGCTTATATCAACAGAAAGGAGAGGGTCAGACAGTTTAAAATAGAAAACAAGGTCAAAGAGCTCAATTTGACCAGTGAATACTGATCTCTCACAAACATTTTTAAAACCCCAAGTGTAGAATTGGCTCAATTTCATAAACTGCTCTAGATGCAGTTTCTCCTGTCTAAGTAGCTAGGCTGAGTGTTCCCAAGAACATACAGAATGATTGAATCTATGATCTTCATAGAGCACATATTAAATGTACTTAGACGGAATATTTTCTGTTAGCCTTGCTGCACAAAATGTTTCATTCTGACTTCAGCTCAGTGGGTTGCTAAGGTGAAAGTGTTCATGATTAATTCTGTTCATAACCACACTGAGAAAAAAAGGGTGGGGGTGGGGGGAACCCTGGTGTATATCGGCATTTTAAATGCCATGCTTTGATTCAATTTAATTATTTCCTCCCCATGGCTTTAAATTGAAGGGCTTGAAAATCTGGAGTGGCTTCTCATGAACTGAATTACTTTCCCCTAGTAAAAAAAAAAAAAAAAAAAAAAAAAGATTGAATTCAGAAACAAAGGTCTCCGAAGTGGAGGCACTTTGAGGAGAGAGAGAGAGCAAAGGGCACCAAAACGGGAATCCACAGCCCTGGGTTCTAGGCCCTGGTCCCATGACCACCAATTTGCTAGGCCAATCTTCCTCAATATCTTGGTCTCTTCATTATTAAAAATGAGACAGATAATCTCCAAGAACATTTCCAGTCCTCAAAATTATGTCGTACAATCGTGGCAATGATATTCAGAGATTGTCACTTTCACCCAATACCATAAATCTTTCTGGGTCCAAGAGTGTTAGAACTAGCAGCTGATTTGTGCATTCACAACTTATTGATGAAGACTACAGGGAATTAACCTCCCTAAGCTTTGCTTTCCTCACCTGTACAATAGGAGTAATTGTATACTCCCCCAGCTGCCTCTCAGAAGTGTTGTGAAGATCAAAAATCAAAATAAAGTCATGTATGTAAGACAGGCTCAGGAGCACTGTAAAGAGATTAGGGTGTCGAGATTCTGGATAGGAGTGTGAAGCGGGCGCTGGATGGAGGTAGAGAGGGTCATTGGTGGCTTCCCAAGGATGTGGAGCAAAATGGCAATGCTGATCTCTCCTTGGGGGCTGCAAAGGCTCAGTGGAAGACAGTCCATGAGAATGACCCATTGTTCCCAGCATAGTCCACTGTGGGCACCTGGGCAGGGCCCAGAGCAGAGCAGATTCTGCCCCACATTGCTGTGCACAGTGAAGGTGACCCCAAGGAGGCTGCATTGCCAGTTGGCCCTTGCCACCATGACAGCCACACAGAAGATTCAAAACAGCTTCTACTGAATTGATATTGTTAAAATGTCCATGCTATCCAAAGTGATCTATAGATTCGATGCAATCCCTATCAGAATTCCAATGTTCCAATGTTATACTTTACAGAAACAGAAAAGAACAATCCTAACATTAATAATGGAACCACAAAAGACCTCAAATAGCCAAGGGAATTTTGACCAAAAAAAACCCACAAAACTTAAGGCATTGCACTACTGGATTTTGAAATATATTACAAGCTATATTACAAAATATATGTTATGCCATATATTTTGGCATAAAAATGGACAAATCAACAAATCCTATCCAATGGAATAGGATAGAGAGCCCAGCAATAAACCCACACCCCTACAGTCAATTGATTTTTAACAAAAGTTCCAAGAACACAATAATGGGGACAAGGACTGTCTCTTCAGTAAATGTTGGAAAAACTGGATCTTCACATAAAGAAGAACTAAAACGGACCTTTATCTCAACCCTTGTATGTGAGCCAACCCAAAATAGATTACAGACTTAAACGTAAGATCTGAAACTATCTACTATAAGAAAACAGTCAAAAAGCTCTATGACATTGGCTGGACACTGATTTCTTGGCTACGACCCCAAAGGCATAGGTAACAAAAGCAAAAATAGATGAAAAGTATTGCACCAAGCTAAAAAGCTTCTATACAGCAAAAGAAACAATTAATAGACAACCTACAGATTTGAAGACATTATTTGCAAATGTATTAATATGCATGAACCAACCTGAGATTCTGAATTCAATATGTTGACTCAATAGATTTTACCTGTTTGCTTGATTGCATAAAATCTAGACACAACAGTGGGCTATGCTAAATGAAAATAAGTTGCCAGAAGTCCCTGCGATAATGGCAAAAGAATTTAAAGACCTGGGAAGACAGCAATGTTACAACGGATTCATCCAGTAAGACTCACAAAACCACACCCTAACTGTGTGTCCCTGGGGAGGGGGAAGTGTCCAGAAGACACTCCGTTTACCAAGCCATTATGAAATACACTGGTTTGGGAATCACTTGTCACTTGCATCTTTTTTTTTTTTTTTTTTAGGCGGAGTCTCGCTTTGTCCCCCAGGCTGGAGTGCAGTGGTGCTCACTGCAAGTTCCGCCTCCCGGGTTCACGCCATTCTCCTGCCTCAACCTTCAGGAGTAGCTGGGACTACAGGCGCCGGCCACTATGCCCGGCTCATTTTTGTGTGTGTGTTTTTAGTAGAGACGGGGTTTCACTGTGTTAGCCAGGATGGTCTCGATCTCCTAAACTCGTGATCCGCCCACCTCAGCCTCCCAAAGTGCTAAGATTACAGGCGTGAGCCACCGCGCCCGGCCACTTGCATCTTTTAAAAGCTCTGTAGTGACCATTCTCTGTAGGCTAGGGATGCTGGCTTCTATTTTCCTTATAATAGTTAGTGAAATTATAAACTAAAACTTAAGGAAATAAATAGATAACAGTTCAGTGAGATTAGAGATTGATTTGATATAGTTGCTGTCGGGAAAGAAAAAGAGGACTAATTAGAAAGATGCACAAGTATTACTCAGCAACATCAGGTGGCTGGCTGCTGAAAAATATGAAGTGTTGGTGGAAGCAATCTACAGTGTGTGTGTATTTTCCTGGAAGCAATCAGCAACGTAGTTAGAAGAGCTGAAATGAGAGTGGTTAGATTGATCTATAGCTGGTACTTTTCAGGGATATGGGAGTTGATGGCATTGAAAGAGGGTAGTTCAGGTGCTTCGTCACGAGGAATAGGCTGGAATAGGAGGACAGGAACCAGGAGAGAGCAGATGAAAGGAAGGAAAAGGATAAAAGGATCAGATATCTCAATAAGGCTGAAAATTGAAGATTAGGTGGGTTAATAGAGTGGAAGAGACGGGCTAGATATTCACTAAACCCTGTTTATTCTTTTTCCTGTCTGTTATGAACATGTGTCTCAGTTCTGGCTGGTGGACTATAGATGGAAGTGTTGTGTGCCAATTCTAGGCTTGACCCATGAAAATTTCCATATGCAATTCTCTATCCCCTTTCCCTTCTTTGGCCCTTGGAAGCCACATGTCGAAGATGGTAGAGTCGCAAGACAGAAGGAACATGCATCTTGGAACTGCTGCTTAGATGAGAGCTGCCCACTAATCAGGAGCACCCAGTTTAAATTTTAAGAGGTTGAGAAATACGTTTATATTGTGAGAAATATAAAATTTATATTGTGAGAAGTAAATTCATATTGCACTGGGATTTTGTGTTTTGTCTGTTGCAGCAGCTAGTGTTCCTAAACTAACATAGCTGTTTAAACAAAAAGGAAGGGAAATGGTGATTCTTAAGTGGGATATTCCAGAGGTGATGCCATTTCTAACAAGGTCCAGGGAGTTGCTGTGTAGCTGAAGTGTAGAAGAGGCAAATGTTACCAGAAAGGAAAAGATCAAGAACCTGGGAAGTTAGGGTGTTGGGTGTTATCATATACATATCATATACATTATATCATATACATATGTATATAATGATATGTGTATGATATAATGATATGTATATGATATGTTATGTATATGATATGATGTTATCATATACATATGATATGTACACATATGATATAATATGTATATGATGTTATCATATACATATTATGTACATATAATGATATGTATATGATATGATATCATGTACATATAATGATATGTATATGTATATGTATATCTGTATCTGTATCTGTATATGTATATCTATATCTGTATCTGTATATATGTATATGTATGTTTATATGTATATGTATGTATATGTATTTGTATATGTATGTATATGTATTTGTATATGTATGTATATGTATATGTATGTGTATATGTGTATGTATATGTATGTATATGTATATATGTATATGTATGTGTATATATGTATACGTATGTATATGTGTATGTATACGTATGTATATGTGTATGTATATGTATACATATGTATACGTATACATATGCATATGTATACGTATACATACGTATACATATGTATATGTATACGTATACATATGTATATGTATACGTATACATATGTATATGTATACGTATACATATCATATCATATAACAATATGTATATGATATGATATGTATATAACATACATATAACGATATGTATGTTATATACATATAATGCTATGTATATTATATACGTATAACGATATGTATATGATATGTATCATATACATATCATATACATTAGTGTCATCCAAGGTGATGACAGGAGCTATGGACAAGAGTAGGCTATGAATCAGAATAATCTGATGCCAGCTAGTATTTATTGGCTTGTTACTGTGCCATATGCTATGCTGAACATTTTACTTGCAGGATCTCCTTTAATCTTTATGACTACCAAACATAATAGCTATTATGATCAACTTATTTCATGAACAAGGAACTTGAGCCTCAGAGATGTTGAATGACTTGTGCAAGTTTCCCCAAGTTAACTTGAACTCAGTTTATTTGACTTCAAAGTCCATACTCTTAAGTACTGCATAAAAGTTAATCTGAATGACATATCTTTAAGCAGAAAACAATGTAACTATGTTATAGATTAAGATGTCCCCAAATATAAGAGCAAAATCTCTGGGTCAAATAATAATGTCAAGAATCCTAAACACTGTACATAGATTAATCTCTACATTATAACTACGTTGGTGCAGACCCCAGAGTCTAGGCCATAGGAGTCTTGGATAGTTACCTCTATGTTATTGTGAATATTTTTTAGTATTTTACTAAAGATTCTTCATTGAATTTCTTGGAATGACCACATCATCCAGTCATTTGAGCCTTACAACACTCAAGAATAAAAGGAATAAGAAGAGTCAGATGAAATGACTCACACCAGACCCAGATCAACAAAGTCAGGTCTCCTGATCCTCTGTACTTTTTCTCTGTGTGAGTTGGATCTGATGTTTACATTTATAAAAGCCATAGAAGCATTTCTTAAATACATATTCAGAAAACTAATATGTATACTGGATGAAAACAAGTTTGTTATTATCCTCTATACTTGCCTGTATGCCAATAATATTTCATAATAGTAAAAGCTGTTCTGCTTGGATGAACAAGATGAGGGGGAAGCACCGTACTCCTACCTTCCTTCTTCAGCAGGTCCAGAGCCACCCCATCCACCCAGCCCCTATGTCTATGATGCTCTATGGAGCACAGTCTGGCAACATGTGTAGCTTTTACTATTCTGGCAACCAATGCAAAAAGGGACTCATCACTGTTTACAAGAGTAAAACCAATCCACTGATGGAGAGAAGGACAATAGAAGCCTATTCTGAACACTAGTCCTTTAGAAATATATACTTTTCCTAAAAATATAAATAAGTAAATATATACATATAATGTACATATAGAAATATTTATTTCAGTTCCCAGAAATTATAAGGTACATATTCCAGAGAAATTATTTCATGTGCATTACAAGAATGTTAAGAGCATCATTGTTTCCAATAACACCTAAAAAGAAATTACTCAAATATCTACCAAATGTACAATGGATGGATAAATTAGGATACTTTGGTACACTGGAATAATATAAGCAATGAAAAGGAACAAACTACAGCTAAATTCAGGAATGCTAAATGGATCTTAATACTGAACAAAATAAACAGATAAGTATATATATATATATATATATATATATACACATATATATATATATATAGTGATTCCACATGTATATTATATATACACACACACAATACAAATAGTTTAAAAACTATATTGCTGAGGAAAACATGATGAAAATCAAGGAAGTCATCGCAATATGAATTAAGGTAAGGCTAAATTTCAGGTGGCAGAAAGAAGATTGAGAAGGGAGGAGGGAAGGGGCTGCTTGACATAGGAGGGCCTTCACAAGGCTGCTCATTTGTCAAACTGTTCTGTTTTATGCACTTTGCAATAAATTATACTCTCCAATTAAACATTTTTTCAATGACACACACGCTTGTCTATTCCTAAGGAGAGAAATCTTTGGTGGATTTCCCTACAGAAGACACTGTGCACTATAATATCAAATACTGATCAATATCAACTTTATATTAAGCCTATCATGTTCTTCCCTCAAAGATATTTCTTGCAATGGTCCTGCTGGCATTGTGCCGGAGCACATTCTTTTGGCTGTTTGGTTTAGGTTAAGATTAGATTTCACAGAATCTAGAGGAAGAGAGTTGCCGACTATTTCCCCAGAGGAATTCTATCTCTTACCTGAGCTTTTGAAAGGTTTCCTGACAGTGAGTTCAAGATTAGCTCTCTTACATGCCCCTGGGGTGGCCCTGTTCTCAGTTGCCAGGGATGAGAGAGGATCATCCCTTTTCTGTAAAAATTGAGGCATCATAAAAGAATGTGGGCCTGAATAGAAGGTCATTTCCAATTTTGAATAAGGAGAGCTGAGAAAGTGCCTGTAAACGGGGCCAAGGTTTTACTCAGAAGGTAATTTTAAGTCTGCTACAATTCAAGGAAAAATGGAAAATTGAGACTCAACAATTCTTTGCCATAAAGCATGGCTATATAATTTGAACCTAGATGAAAGCATCCACAGAAGATTTACATTTGGTAAATTTAGCTTCCTGGAATAGTCTTCAAGATGAAGTAGATGTGAAACACCCATCTGCAAAGAGCAGTGCCACTAGCAATTCTGTGAGGCGTCTTCCTAAAGTGCTATCTTTGATTTTAGCATAGTTGATCCAAAGCCTCTCTGAATGGTGATAATTAAATGTTAAGTCCAATTATCTATTTAAAACAATGCTATCTCATGATGATAAAACCATCTCACCTGCAACTAAGAGAATCTAATTTCTATTTCTTTTTGCAGATATATGTGTATCCCGCTCATCAAGAAGACTATTGAGTTACTTAAGGGACAAAGTAAAAATAAGGGAGAACCAGACTATATCCCAAATGAAGTTTCCTGCCCTCTATCCATCTCAAGGGTGGAGATTGGTATAACTTCATTATGTGTATTCATGATCTGGAGTATTCATGGCCAACAGTGTATAGTGAATACATGTAGCTTAGTCCATAACTGGGTCCTAGCTGCAGAGTCAAAGACCCTTGAAACATCTTTCCACACAGAGCACACACTACATAGCATATCAGGCTTTTGCAGTGGTAACCATGCCTAGAGTCATCTTCCTAAAGAGCACAGCCCTAGTCCTTCTAAAGTTCTATGATATCTGCTTCATCAAAGTCCACCAGAAAGTTTCCCTGAATCCCTTGCTTGCTTTTACTTCTGAATACTCTTCTATTCTGGCCACTCTACTATTTTATCTGGAGCCAATTCTGCACGTGCCAAACATTGGGAAAGGTCAGGAAGCCACAAGTGGGCAGAAGCCCTCCTGGTTTAAGTATTCACCCAGATTATTTTTCCTGCTTTTTGATTTAACTGTAGTGCCCAGGTCTCATTTTTTGGATGTTGATTTTTCGGCCTCTGCTCTAGTTCCTGGCATCTACCTCTGGCCCTCCTTGTCATTGCCAATCTAGATTCTTCTCTGGCTTACCAACATATGTCTCTCACCCAACTAATATTTGCACTTCCCCAGTCTTAACACTTTATCTATGCTCCTGTGGCCAGCACGGGACCTGTGGTTACCCACATTGCCGGGTCACTCCTGCCTCATCCCTTCAGGGCAGCATAATCACACTGAGACATCTAGGGTAGCTCTGGCCTCTGTGTTGCAAATATTTGGTCTCTACAGCTTTAGTAGACCATGAGCTTCCAAGGGCAGGCATTATCATATATATCTTTGCATCCTCTAGCACAATACGTGGCACACAGTATTAAGCTCATTGTGTGAACAGTCCTAGTCAATAAGAGGGGATGAAGAAGTTTATATATATATACTTTATTAACATGCTAGAAGTCCACTTATCAGCTGGCAGAGAAGGTCATTCAGGTTGCTGTTTTATTCATGTGTAAATATTAAGTTATTATATGCAAAGCACTCAAGTACAATACAGGAAAATGCATGTATTTGTCTGCTTTTTACTCATTTTCTATTGATTCCTGTCCTAATTGGGCTAAAAAAGGAAAAAAAGACTAGGAGCCCTGTGTGTATTTGTGTGCATGGGGTGGGAGGGGTCTGTGCACTAGGAGCATGCTCTCCCAGTCTACCTTTCCTCTTTGATGTCCCCACACCTCTGCCCCCAGACTCCCTTCATCAGCCCCCAAGCAGCTTGTCTTCACACCAGAGGAGCCTCAAGCTTTAGATTGGAGGTTGGAAAAGATTACCTTTAAGGATACTCCTAAATCAGCAGATTTTGTAATTTAAATAATAAGTACTTTTTCATCTAATTTTTTAAAGAAGCATAAAATTGTTGCCCTTTTTTCCAGTAGGCATCAATAATGAAGGCTTTTGGTGCTTGCAGTGCTTCCCTTAGAAGTTATCTTATGCTCAAAAAACTACTGTATTTTAAAAAGCTACCAAAGCCAAGCTTATACTGCAAGAATGCCATTGAAACAACAAAGTTAGTGTTTAGAGTGTGCGTGCAGTGATTTAACTCTTTAATCATTAAAAGTTACTTACTAGACATTAGTCTTCTATCTAGATCATGAGTGTGTTGGTAAGAGCAGGGTAAGAACGAATTTCAAATTCTCCATCTTGTTCACTTTTTAAATTTTCTGCAGTCAATGCCATACTTGGCATAGAGTTGGCCTCAGGCAAACCTTTTTTGTGTGACGGTATGGGCTTTAATATCAGGGATACAATCCCTAATTAGTCAGCTAAGGAATAACTCCTGCTTAGATGGATTAATGTATTAATGGTGTATAGGTGAGCAGAAACTTTGGAAGGGAATTCCAGCCAACAAGATAATTATCATACATGGATAGCAGCTCATGGATAAGCCACATGGATGAGACTGTCCTTAGGAGAAACATAACTTCTGAAGCCAAACCAGGGACATGTGTTAATAAAAACATTTCAAGTTGCTTTCATATACAAGATGAAACTCGCACAAGAACTCTCTCCTCTTCCCACTACCGCACGTGGAAATCTACCTCTCCTTCAACCGATTCCTCCTTCACCCTGTGTGTTAGTCCATTTTCACACTGCTGTAAAGATACTACCCGAGACTGGGTAATTTATAAACAAAAGAGGTTTAATTGGCTCACAGTTCTGCATGGCTGTGGAGGCCTCAGGAAACTTACAGTCATGGCAGATGGTTAAGGAGAAGAAAGTACCTTCTTCACAAGGCAGCAGGAAAGGCAGAGAGCCTGTGAAGAAGGAACTGTCAAACACTTATAAAACCATCAGATCTCCTGAGAACTCACTATAAGGAGAACAGCAAGGGGGAAACTGCCCCCGTGATTCAATCACCTCCCACCAGGTCCCTTCCTCAACACATGGGGATGATAGGGATTACAATTCGAGACAAGATTTGGGGGAGGGGCACAGAGCCAAACCATATCACCCTGTTACAGTAAAGGAGCCATTCCTTCTTCCTATCAAAACCTAGTCCCTTCACCTGAATTTAAGTTTATTTTTTTCCCTCCAGCTTCTCAGGAAATGTATGCTATCATCTTGTATATTAAAGTGGTTGTTCACTTTTAACTCTCAAACAGACTCAGATAGTTCTCACTTACAAATATTAATACATAAATAAATAAAACTTTATCTACCCCATGATCTCCTCAATTGACTTCTCTTTGCAGCCAAACTTCTAAAAAGAGGCCCAAATACTTGGTGTTCTCAATTCCACCCCAGCCCTCAGCCTGATCTGGCTGCTTCTGACACCATACCAAGAGACAGATGCCAGTGAGTCATCATTGACCCTCTGTGATTAGCCGCAATGGATATTTTCAGTCCTTTCATGTTTTAACCCTTAGCATCACTCTAAGTTGCACTGGTGACAACTTTTTCCTTTTCCTCTTGACTTCTGTAACCCTGCATTCTCCTAATTTCTCACTGATCTCTCTGGCCATTGCTTCTTTAGTTCCTTTGCAAGTTTCTCCTCCTCCATCAGGCCATTAGGTATTAGAGTTCCCGATTCTTCCTTCTAGTGTCTCCTTGTTTTCTACTCTGTATTATCTCTCTAGGCCAGTAGTACTCAAACATACCTGCACCTGGTGAATCATCTAGGACCCTTAAAAATATTAATTCCTATCCCCAGAGATATTTTACTAATTGGTTTTGTGGGGAGCCTGATTGTTAGGATTTTTTTCTCAATAAAATTCTCTCTCTAAATTTTACTTTTTATGTGAAAAACTTATTATTTTTCAAATTGACAAAAAATTGTATATATTGTATATAAGATACTGTTTTGAATATGTATACATAATGGATTGGCTGTCATTGGGATTTCTAAAAGGCTCCCAGAATATTCTAGAGTTCAGCCAAAGTTGAGAATCACATCCCTTAGTTAAGCCATTCTCACACATGGGTTTAATTACAAGCTTGATCCAGATGACTCAACAGTTTTTATCTCCATCACAGAAACTTCCTGTGAGCTCCTGACCCAAATAGTCCACTACTTACTTGGCATTTCCATTTGCGTGCATCAAAGGAACCTTTCTACCTTCCCAGACTCACCTCACAGCGCACTCTCCCCCTACTCTGGCCGTCCTTTACACTGATCTTTCTACACCTCAAATTCTCCCCTGCTCTGAAGCCATTGGACCTGTAGTCCCCTCCACCTGGAATACTCATCCTCTTACCCTTTACTGAGATAACTCTTACTCTTCCTGTATTCTTAGTTCTCAGGCTATTGACACTTTCTCCATGAAGTCTTTCCTGGTTCCCTAGATGTCTTTCACAGCACCATGTACCATCCTTTCAAAGCACTAATCACAGTTATAATTTCATTTGCATGATGGCTCATTTAATTCCATCTCTCTACCGGGCTGAAGATCCACATTTTCTTTTGTTTCCCACATTACCATATTTTGTGAGATCTAAGACGCTGACTATAAGGTGAATGAGTTTATATATTACTAAGGAAGAAAAAACACTGCAAAGTATAAGATGGACATCTATTTTAAGATAAATACAAATTTTTATCTTAAAATGTAAAGCAAAAGCAATATGTGTCAATGAAACAGTGTTACTGTGGCTTCACACAACACCTACTCCATTATGGGCACTTAAATATTTCATATTTCTTTAAAAAGCAAAATAACAATTCTTGGGTTGATCTGCTAGTATGTTTTGAAATGTATGAAGCTAATGGGAGAGAATAGTTGAAAGTTAGAGAACCTAATTTTTGGATACAAAGATTTCTCAAAGGCAGCTTATAATCCAAGATGGCACTTTAACCAATTCCTTCCAGCTCATGTGTGTCAGATCTGAATCAACTCCCCAAAGGTCTGTGGAATCAACTACTCCCTGACTTATTTCTTTTATATGTGTGTGTGTGTGTGTGTGTGTGTGTGCGTGCGCGTGCGTGTGTGTGTGTGTGTACATTCTTTTTTAAAAAGACTTAATTTTTTTAGAGCAGTTTAAGGTTCATAGCAAAATTGAGAGGAAGGTACAGAGAGTTCTCCTATACCCCCTACTCACAAACATGCAAAGCCTCCCCCATTATCAACAGTGGTATATTTGTTACAATTGATGAGCCTACATTGACACTTATGATTACCCAAGTCCATAGTTTGTTTTAGGATTCACTACCCAAGTCCATAGTTTACATTAGGATTCATTCTTGGTGTTAAACACTCTATGGGCTTGGGCAAATGTGTAATGACATGTATCCACCATAATAATATCATTCAGAGTGTTTCCACTGGCTTAAAAATCATCTGTGCTTCACCTATTTATCCTCCCTCCCCTCTAACTCTTGGCAACTGCTAGCTTTTTTACTGTTTCTATAGTTTTGCCTTTCCAGAATGTCATATAGTTGAAATCATACAATATGTAACCTTTCAGATTGGCTTATTTCACTTAGTAATATGCATTTAAATTTCCTCCATGGCTTTTCATGGCTTGATAGCTCATTTCTTTTTAGCACTGAATAATATTCCATTGTGTGGATGCAACACAGTTTATCGATTCACCTACCGAGGGAAATCTTGGTCGATTTCAGGTTTGGGTAATTATGAATAAAGTTGCTATAAACATACATGTGAAGGTTTTTGTGTGGACATAAGTTTTCAAGTCATTTGGTTAAATACCAAGGAGCATGACTCCTGGATTTGTATGGTAAGAGTGTTATAATAGTTTTGTAAGACATTGCCCAACCATCTTCCACAGTGGCTGTACCATTTTGCATTCCCACTAGTAACGAATGAGAGTTCCCATTGCTCCACATTTTTGCCAGCATTTGGTGTTGTCAGTGTTTTGGATTCAGGCCATTCTTATAGATGCATAGTGATATTTTATTAATTTGCAATTTCCTAATGACATAATGTTGTGCATCTTTTCATATGCTTATTTACCATCTATATCTCCTTTGATGAAGTGTCTGCTCAGATCTTTTGCCCATTTTTAAATTTTTTTTTTTTTTTTTTTTTTTACTGTTGAGTTGTAAGAGTTCTTCGTACATTTTGGAGAACAGTATTTTATGAGATAGGTCTTTTGCAAATATTTTCTCCCAGTCTGTGGCTTGTCTTCTCATTCTTTAGAGATGGTGCATTTTTTGGTCTTCTTGTTCAAGTTCTTTAGGTTCACTTTCTGGAGAATGGTCGAGAGAAGCATTATGATGGCCTCTTATAGAAGATCTCCAAGAGGAGAAGGAGCTCCTATCGGTTGGTTTTCTATATCCAAGTGTTCTTTTCCTACATGCAAGATGTGGGACCAATTCCCAATTTTGCATTCTGATTTAAATGAGAGGAGACATCTTTCATGTCTGAGTCAAGAAGGGCAATACCTCGAAAAAGTAATTTAAGAAAAATGATGATGGCCCAAGAACTCAAATCAATAAATTCCCACACCTCCCCACAAGTCCTGGCTTATTCATTCCAGAAGTAGCACATTTCCAAATGCTCTGGCCAGGTCTGACTGATGTCCTAAAACAGATCAGCTCTAAGCTGTACTTTCTTCAGCCTCTTTTCACCCCAGATCTCTCTTGTTCCAATTTCCCTGTAATGGCAGCCTCCTTGGCTAACATTATTACCATTTATTTCTTTTCAATTTCACCCCATAGCTCAGCAAGAATTGGAAGGAAAGGAGGCTTGAGGTTGCCTCTATTTTAAAACAAACATCTTGGTCCCAGAAAGGTGCAAACCAAATAGAAGGAATTTTTTCAAAAGAGAAAAAGGCAATTCTATTTTCTCAGGGACTTTAAGAAAAATAATAATCTGTGAGTTAGTGTTGTTCATTTGCAATGGAGCAGGAAATAACCAAACAAGGAGTAGAATGAGGATGTTGGTTGGATACTTCTGGGTAAAGTCTTCTGTGTGATTTAATTAACCTGATTGAAGAAAATTAGCAGAATTTTTGTCATTCACCTATTCAAATATAAATATGAAAGTGAAATACTATGTCAACTGTGTTTTGGGCATTATCTCCTTTTTTTTCTTTGATGACCTATGCTAAGACTTTCTACATTGAGGACAACAAAACGGAAGTTTCCTCTAGGGTCATTGGTGAATTTGTCACGTGAATAAGAAAGCCCTTTTTGCTCTCTCCGTACAATAAATAATGCATATTACAAGCTTTACAGGAAACAAATGAGTGCCTTCTAAATAATTGATTTCTATCTTTTTCTTTCTTTCTATGACCTGGAACATTATGACTTTATGTGCACATTTGATGGGTTTCCTCTCAAATATAAAGAAAAATACAATTTTCAAGTAGCTCTTTTAGACATTTGAAGTATGCACAAAAAGGCAAAAATCAGAAGGTAAGAGACTTGAGACAGCCAGTGGGAGGACGGCCTGATTTAAGCAAGCTTCCAAGGTGCTTCTTTTTAAGTCTGTTGTCAATAATTCTGCTTCATATCTCCTTCTTTCCTCTGTCTACTTTGAGAGAAAGGAGTTTGCCTGATCAGTGGGGATTTTTTGTTTGTTTTTTCCTCAACTAATATTTAATTATTAATCATAATGTTTTGGTAGGAGTAGGGGATAATTCATGGGAATTAAAGTTTCTTTTTCTCTCAAGTATTGGCCTATAATTGTAAGGCACTTCATATTTGAAAAGCCTTTCCCCAGAGCCCCATGAAGCATATGTCTGCCTTCCTACCCATATCAGTCCAAATGAGCTAAGTTGTGCTGTGGAAACAAACAACTCTAATATCTCAGGGTCTTAAAGCAGCAAAGTTGTTTGATTGCTTGTGGTCATAGTTCACGAAGGTGACCTACTTATTGTACACACTCAGGACCAGGCTAATAGTGGTGCCATCTTGACAGGTGCTTCCATGATAACAGAGGTAAGAAGAGGCCTGAGGGCATACCCATCATGTCCCCTCCTTTTTCACTGGTCAAAGCAAGTCATAGGGACAACTGAGATATGATTGGGGTCAGAGATTGTAACATCCCCTGAGAAGAGCAGGAAATATTTGTGAACAACAACACTATCCTCCAGGACCCTTTACAGGTAAGGGACTTAAAGCTCAGAGAGACTAAGACAGTGGCCCATGGTCATGCAGATGAATAGAAGGGGAGCTGTGTTTTCTCACCTCAGGGTTGGGTTTGACTGATTCTAGGTACCTGACCTGTATGTGCTGACTCCTCTCACCCTGCTGGAAGAAGCAGGGGACAGCATTACTTGGTTCTGGATATCATTTGCATCTTGTGGCTCAGCAAACCCTTTTATTTTCATGTTAAAATTGATATTTTCTTAGATTCTCTAAGACACACAGGGGTCATGTGGTTATTCGGCTTAATGGAGACTATAAATGTGACTCAAGAGTTACATAACCGAGTAGGCAGCTGTCTAGTCTAATTTCAGAGAGCTGAAAAGACTCCATGCACACGCCCCCACCCCTGTTCCTCCATGCCTGAAGCTCCCCCTAATAGGTACTATTTTTAATAGCTCTCATTAATGGAGGTGCTTATCTGTCAGGAATTGTGCTAAGTGCCTTCCTTTTACAATCTCACCTAATCATAGAAGTTGAGGAGCATTAGTGCCCCATTTAACAGATGAGAAGTTCATGCTTCTTTAACTTCTCAAAGTCCAACAGCCAGGAAGCTATTAAACACTGTGCTTTCTGACTGCCAAGCCTATGCTTTCGACCTCCATGTTTTATTGCTTCCAAAACAGGGGACAAGACTCCACATTTCACAACCACATATAAAATTTCCATGCAGATCGCCTTAGGAGAGAGATGAGGCCTGAGCTAAGTACAAATACGGTCCTTTAAGGACAGCCCAGTTTTAGAAGGGGAAGATTTAGGCAATAGTGGAGGAAGACTCGGAAAGGGATTCTATGGACTTGGAATAGGAGAAAAGTTCCCTGCGTTCATTTCTTAACAAACCAACAAAGTAACACAACCTGGATGGCTTGCAAAGCAGAAATTTATTGTCTCCTGCTTCTGGAGGCTAGAAGTCCAAGATCAAAATGTAGGCAGGATTGGTTCCATCTAAGGGCTGTGAGAGAGAATCTGTTCTAAGCCTGTCCCCTAGCTTCTGGTAGCTGCAGGCATTCCTTGGCCTGGAGATGATGTTCTCACCTTGTCTCTTTATACTGTCTTTCCTCTACACATGTCTGTGTCCCAATTTCCCCTTTTTATACAGATCCCGGTGATAATGGATTAGAGACTCATTCTACTCCAGTATGACCTCATCTTCACTAATCACATCTACAATCACATCTAATCACATCTTTATTTCCAAATAAGGTCACATTCTGAGGTACTAGGAGTTAGTACTTCAATATATAAAACTTAGAGAGACACAACCCAGCCTAGAACAGTCCCCGATAAGGAACTCTCACACCTCTCTATCACAGGACCAAGTTACTGCCAAAGCTTCCCCAGAGGCTGCCTGAAGAGGCCATGACCCAGCCCAGAAGAAATGAGGAGTTGCCTATACCCTGGGGCGGTGGGGTAGGATTGGGGGCGAGGAGACAGGTTCTGACAGTGGGAGGCCTGAAATTGGAGATCTCTGACTCTGTGGCCTTGGAAGCAACAGGAGTCATTGAAGAATCACATGGTCCCCAAAGCCAGGCCAGTATGTGCTTCTGGAGACTAAAACAACCACATGAGCTTCCTAAAAAGTCCCTCCATCCTACCCAAAATAAGTAGTCTGCAATATAGGGGGAAGGGCACTTCTAATTAACAACACTTTCTTCTATTTTTAAGAGCCATTTTATATCTTTTTGAAAATCCCCACCCCATCCTCCCCTTAGGGATGGTATCACATCTCCAAAATCATCATTTTTACATTTTATTTTGGATGGTTCACACTGAATGGAAAATTGAAGATAAAATATTTAGGCAGCACATTAGTATTCATTGTGGAGCTTTTTCTTGTTTCTCATTAGTGAATATATTTTCTGCTGAAAATTTTCTATTATGCTTCCCCCAAGGTAGCATTATTTTGAAGCTAGAATGAGTAGAGATAAAGAACTATTGATAAAATAAAAAGTTTTTCTGAGCTGGTTTGTGCAACTTCTATTTTCTTCTCAACCTTGGTCTCTTGTACATCTTTCAAATACATGAGAGACTTATGGGTACATCACTTGAAGAGAAATGTGCTTGACCTCCTTGAGCTCAAAGGATTTCATAGAAAACTGGTGTGTACCAAAGCAATTGCAGTTATTCTTTCTGACGGGTTAACTTTGTAAAAGTGTAACGTGCCTGTAGTTTTGGTGCCCAGGCACTGAGGACAGCCCTCAACCATTCTGACTGATATGGGTTTATGATTGAAGGGCTGTGTGGTGTGGGCGCTTAAATATAGGACTTGAAAGTCAGGGGATGGGCCAAGGTCTGACTCCACTGTAAACTGGGACTGTGACCAGGCCAACTGCTTCATCTCTCTGGGTTCCAGGTTTCTCCTTCTTTAAGATGGGGGAGAAGGGGTGTGAACAGCCTTTACAGGCCTTTGCAGGATTAACATTCTGCATTTTTTGATTCTCATTGATTACAAACGCTTTCAAATCACTGGTGTATTGATTGAGGAAAAGCAATCATTCCTATTTCATGTGTAACTAAATCTGCTTACAATTTTTTGGAGTTGAGAACAGATTTGTTAAGACCAGCAGGGAAATTCTTATTGTCTAGTTTAGTAGAAGGAGCCAGTTTAGCCAGAGGGGGTCCCCTTCTAAGGGATAAGGTATCTCTTAGTCAATAAAGATCGCAGGGCTGGCTGTTCGGACTAGTGACAAATGAGTCACAGCCAATCCTTGGAAGAGTCAGAGTCGTAACAGGAGAAGGAGGCCATTCAGCCTGGGAGCTTTGCCAGGAGCCTGCTGGAGCTAAAAGGATAGACCCCCAGTTACTTCAGCATTGAGCATCTGGGTGCCTGGTACCCAGGCAGCCTAGGATCATCGTGACAGAAGAGAACAGGAACGGCAAACATCCCTCCCTCATATGCCCTCTGGGTTATGTCTTCTGCCTTCTAAAGACAGAAAGTGTGGGTGAGGTGGCCCTCTGAAAGACCTCACTTATTAAAAAAGGATCCTTAAAGGTTTAGAGTAAACTAAGTGTAAACTGCTCTGGATAGCTACTTAACTTTCTTTTCCCAGCTTGCAATCAGATGAGGCCTCTTCATCAGGATCAGCTAGAGACCAAATAAAGAAACGATACTCTCCTTGTGTATCTGAGTTGTGTTATAAATTTGGTGAGCTCTAGACTTCAGGAACCCCACCATATGTGAAAGAGATAAAGATAGGGGATGCTCTGCACAAGCAGAGGGCAATAGCCTTGACCTGTGGCTCATAGCACCTCCAGCATCCCAAGACACCTCCAAAAGACAAAGTTTAAAAACTCTGGTACTGAGGGTTTGTAGCAACATGGCCCCCAGTGTCAATCCTAGCTCCTAGACTTACTAGCTGTGTAGCCACTGACATATCATTTAACCTCTCTGGCAGGATTACTATGAAGCCTATATGAGAGAATGTGTATAAACTCTGGCCAAGGGCTGTGCAGAGAGAGGGCAGCCATAAATAAAGTGGGACAACAGCATGACACTGGGAATTATGGGAAGCCCCATGGTTGGCTTCTGCAAATTATGTTTCATTTACCTTGGTGATTTACCAGCTCCTAACTGATGTAACCAAATAGCTAGACTTCTGGGAAAATCAATTTACTCTCAGTTAAAAGTCTTAGTTTTGTCCTCAAAGAGAAGTTTTCATTTTGAAAAGAAAAAGGAATCTCACTAAGTTAAATTTGCAATTGGCAGATATTCCTATAGCTCAAGCAAATACACATGATTGAAAACCATTTTCCTGGCTCTTTGCTTCATGCTCTATCACTTTGCAGTAGTGAATGAAATGATCATCTTGAACACCACCATTGAAATCCAATTTCCACCTTGGCAGAATTGTTTTCACACCTTCATTCACCTGATTTCTCAAGAGATACTTTTTATCAGTAAACATTTCTCACTGCTCAGGTACAGTGAAGATACCTAGCTAAGTTATCTCAGTTGCATTCAAAGTAATTTACTTACTCAAGGGGGTTGCATGCCATAGTGGACAGAATCATGGGGTAGAGCAGACAGAAGTCTCAGTTTGGCTCATTCACTAATAAGTGGTCCAATTGGAACAGACTCCATTATCCTTATTTATAGAATGGATGTCAGTATCAACTTCCCAGGTCTTTGTGAGTTTTTGTGACACAGGTAACATTTTAGGAAAGGAAGTTATAGGCTATAAAGCTTTGTTAATTTGTATTGGTTTTTGGACTATCTACTTGCCATCCAGGAACATCCTACGTACTCGTTCATTGTAGAGGCAAATATAGTCTCTTTTCGTGGTTTGAGTATAATTCCATAGTCCAAGTCAAAATTCTTTGGATTTCTATACTTTGGTGTTGAGCATTGAGTAGAAATACAGGGAACCAAAATAACTCTCGGTATGATGTCAAGAGAGCCTCATTCTCTCTAGAAATTTTTTGAGGGCTAATAGGTTGATGCTACTTATTCCAAGATTCTAGAAACCCGCACAAGGAAAGGAAAGATTGCGTGACAAGACCTCTGAGTCCAGGCACCTCAGAACCAGGGGTGAAGGCCACACTTGCAGACTTGCTCTTTCCAACTCCCCACATAAAGCTACTTTTTCCCCAAGCCAACCAATCCTGCCTTACCACCTCCCCTTCGTTTCTCTGAGGGAATGAGGAAAAGCACTGTGAAACAAGCAAGAGAGTTCACTTTTTAAAACATTCGTCAAAGCTGATACTAACTAGCAATGGTGTTGAGGAATCATGCATGGCTAATGACTGTCACTGCAGTCCATGCAAGAAAAATTCCAGGCTGCAAACCAGAGAATGAGGCTGGTGAAAAGACAACAGATGCGGTGCCAGGGCCATCAAATCAAAAGGAGGTTTCTCCAAGGCCTTCATGCCATCAACATTTTAAAATCTACCTTGGCATTGTCAGAGCTTCTTTTCTTTTTACTCATCAAATTTGTGTTAGGTACGCCACCAACTGCTTTTAAATCAATTTTCTTTCCACACAGACAGCTCTCTGCATCATGTGATCAGGAGTCAGGGAGCCACAATCCTCACAAATTTCTCTCTGCTCTTCAAAAAGAAACAATATTCATCACCATAAAACAACTACTATCAGGTCAGTTCTGTGATTGTCTCCCATCTTTGAAATATATAGCAATGCAGGCATTTGAGGAGGCAAGGGTGGATTTCCCTACTCAACTGAGAAGAGGTAGTGCTTGGACACTGTTTCCAGTGACACTCCTTTATGCCCCAGGTATTTGTCCGAAGTCTAGTTCGATATACGATAAGAAATAAGCTTAGAAAACAAACAAACAAAAGAAATAGGCTTAGCTCCTAAGATATCCTTAAGTAGTCTTTGTCACTTCATAACTGATTACTTCCTTTTATCTCCAATTTTAAAGAACAAGCTGACAAATTACAGTAATCAGAGAGAATTTGAGCATAAGTTTGCTTGAGAATCTTCTAAATTGATATTTATGTAAAGCCTAAAGCCCGACTCTTGTAGAAAAGGGTCTATTTCTTAGTATTTAGAAATATGTGTCTGCCATGACTCTGATTGGGAAAGCAATAAATAAGTTCTGGTTATCAACATAGAATGTTGTCCTCATTTATTTTTCTGGAAAGAAAAAAAAAATATATATATATATATATGAACTTATTGATTAAAGAGACAGCTGTCTGCTAATTAAATCTCTCAGCTCCCCAGAGAAAGAAACATGTATTATACAATTTGAACTGTTAAGATAATGATAAAAGGTGACATCTACGATGCAAATGTTTTACACTTCAGAAATAAAAATCTAAACACATTTTTCTCATAAAATTATTGGTTTTTTTTTTTTGCCTTTCAAGAGGCTCCTCAGAATAGCACTTGCTCCAGGGCCATTGGCTCAGTGCAGACAAAGCTCATTTACAAGTCCCCCAGTTGTAGGCTACAAGCTCAGTGACTCGGGTTCCAATGTGTTTTACTCATCATTATATTCCCAGTACAAGATATGATGCTTAGCACAAAGTGGGTACCAATGACCAAATGAATAATTTTTTAATAACTTTGTTCATGTTCTTACCACTGTCTGGGATAACCAAAACTTTTCTACCATCCCAAACCGGCTATTTCCTAACTTAACGCGTGTATCTTCTTCAAGGTCTTTCTGGACAAAATCCTATCCCCATTCATTGTGTTCTTAGTATTAATTCATATAGAACTCTCCTTTCTCTACCTTGGTTCTATTTACTGTCAAATATTGTTCCCTAATTATCTTTTCCCCAACTCAGTTGCAAGTCCTCTAATGACTGAAAACATTTATTATTTGTCTACCCTACAGGGCATAGCATAGTGCACACAATTAGTGGGTACATTATGGGAGCATGGAATGTAAACGACAGCAAGTCTTCAAACAAAACATACCAAGAGTGCAATCTAGTATTACATGGTGCCATAATCTCTTTAACAAGATCCTCTTCCTCATCCTAGCCACAAACCACTTCCTCCTCCCTGTTCAAACTTCTAAATCACAAGGTCCTTATGTTTTTGTAATGAGAAGCTAGTTATTGCTGCCTTACTTTCAGTTCTATCACCTTATTCATGAGGTTGGTGAGCCAACTCATCTGTCCAGGCTGTCTGCCAAGAGGGCTATAGATTCCAGGGAAAGGTTGTGCTGAGGTTACAAGCAATAAGAACTCAACTTTAAGTGCTTAAGAAAACAGTCAAGCTCTGAAATCATAAAGTGCCATTTATAGGAAAGTGATATGATTTTGGGTGCACATGCAAATGTTTTATTATCTTGTGAGAAAACAGAATAATTCTAATCCTTGCTTGAAACTTAAGTCTTATGAAAGAAAATATGACCCTACTTAAGGACCTTAGCAAGAAGGGTAGGCTTATTTTGGATGACAGTCCAGAGAAGTTGTCTGAGACTGGGTTCTCCCCAAAGCAGACCCTGGCACAGGTGTGTGTTCAGGGAGTTGAATTAGAAGGGAGCAAGAGGAAGGGACAAGGAAGCAAAACAGGGAAGGAGGAAAATAAAAAGAAGGATGGATGTTGAATTGGCCACTATTACGCTTCATCCCATGAGACTATCTGAGGGGTCTACAATTACCCAAGAAATGAAAGGGAGTAGCAATTGCCCATCAACTCTGATCCCCTGTGTCCCCACAATTCCAGAGAGGCTCGAGGGCAGGTAGCAAGCATGAGAGGGCCAGAAGTAGTTGATGTCAGGTGGTGCCTCCACAAACCTGGTTGAAGCTTGCCTGGAAGTGGTTGCCTTGTCAGGGACAGGAAGCAGAGCGGCTAAAGAGACCTAAAGCTGTGCACAAAGATGGTTCCACTCCAGGAACATAGGCTGTGGCACTAACACTCCCAGCAAGTGCTAAGGGCCCTGATGGTGCCCAGGGACCTGGCCTCTAGCATGGTGACTGTCCTCTGACATGTTGATTGTCCTCATGTTACCAAAGGCCTTCAGTCAGATATGGCTCAGACACAGAGCCTGCTCAATTTTTTATGAATTCAGTTTTGCTAAAATAAGCCCTTTTCCTCTAAGCTAAGGCATCAACCCAGCTTAGAGAGGAGGTGATTCAGCATTGCTTACTAAGAAGGCTAACTCCCATGCAACGTTGACAGAATTTGTTATAACATCTCCTTGGAAACCATTCCAGTGTCTGAGCATCAGAGCACCCAGGCAGCCCACAAATACCAGAGACAGGTGCTAACAGGGATCACATAGGCCAGAAATCAAAGGCTGCCCTTCAAGTTGCATTATGCTTACTCAGTCTACTAAAAGTTTTGTGTTTGCTGATTTTTCTTCTCTAAATTCATCCAATTGCTGATTTGACTATGTCCTTCATCTACTCAAAAATAATTTTTAAAAGCCCATCTAGTCTTTTGACCCAGGCAATCCATGACAAATTTATTGTCAGTAATATTTAAAATAAAACAAATTTATCTTCCAGACCTGTAACTAGGAAAAAGCATCATTTTTAAACGATGTTTAGAGTTTGTATATTCTTAATACTTCAATAGTAGGCAAGTGAGCCCCAAGTGCAGAATATTAAAATTTAATAAACAGGCATTTCCTCTAGCAGTTTCCACCCCCAAATATTAGGACCATAGCACTTTGAAGCCAAAAAGTGAGGCGTATTCCCAGCCAGTGGGAGGATAATCGTGTCCTTGAAATAACTCAGTCAGGATATTAAGACGTGATCGTAAACAGTGAAACGCTAATCCGCACCAACGTTTTTAAGCTTTTTGGACTATGAATCACATACTTCTCCCGACTGACAGGTAGTTCCTGGTCCTAGCAAAGTTAGAGCTGATTTGCTTTTAGTCCTTGCTGACATTTGGTTCTCTAGATTTTCCTTTGATTTTGTGAGTTGTCCTCACTGTGATTTCCCCAGACATTTTGTTTTTAGCCAGTTAGTTTCTAAGGTTTGTTTCCTTATGAACAAATAAGTTATGTTTACTGGTAACTGATACTTCTTAAGGCAAACTCCAGCAAAAATACTGAGAATGTCCTTTACAGAAGGTAAGTAGGGGTAAGAAGCTTACTGAGAGGCCATCTGTGCTCCTAGAATATAGTCTGATTTGAAATTAGTATGTTTTTGAAACAAGTAATTTGTGTGTGTGTGTGTGTGTGTGTGTGTGTGTGTGTGTGTGTGTGTTACAAAAGAAATGCTTCTTAGCAAAAATATTATAACACCAAGCAGCTACTACATACCTCAGGCACTGGGCTGGCTAGGTACTGTTAATCTCAACTTATTTAATTCTTGCACATTTACCCCCCAGGTAAAGTTTGTCATGGTCTTTTTGAAAATGAGCACACCCAGGTTTACAATCATTAAGCAACTAGACTAGTGGCTTATTTCTTGCAGATTGTTTGAATCTAGGTCTCTTTCATTTCAAAACTCATACTTTTTCCACAAAAATTTAAAAAGACAAAGAAGTTTAAATAGGGGCAGGAGGGAAAAGCAGCTGCTTTCAAATTAACCACTTTTTAGGTCTCTTTGTACGGTTTTGGTTCAACCAAATGCAAAACACATTTTGCCCAGAGAACCTTTCCCTTTAATTTCAAAATCTCCATAATTCATAAGGAACACAATCCACAGATCTCTAATCTGTTTACCTTAACATCGTCAAAATATCACATGCCAGAAACTTCTTGGGGTCTGAGATGCCTTTTGTCTTTTTAATCCCAGCCTATTTTCCCCTAATCCCAAACTACTTGCCAATAGGAGTGATGTCCAAGTCTAAAAGACATGAATTTGATTTAAGACTGTCACCTGCTTAGAGAAAAACAGATCGTAAAATTTGTAATGTAATTGTTATTCTTCACATGTTAACTGCATCAGAAACACCAGGACAGCAAGACACCAAAGAACTAGGCTGGGATTGTTCCCCTTCCTTAGATTTCTTCCCAAGAATTCCTCTTCCTTCCCTCTGATGATACATGTTCAGGAAATCAAATCCCAGATCTCTTAGAAAGAAACTCAAAAGAGCTTCCCATCTTTACATTTTAAAGGTATTACTATTCCCTTTTGACAAACAAGGCACCTGGGGTCTGCGGATATTAATCTACTTGCCTAAAACTACTGAGAAGCAGAGTAGGCTGGAGCTTTTACTGCAGTATATTTTGTTTTCTTTTTTCTTTGTGTTTTTTTTTCTTTCTTTAAGATGTCAGTCCATTTTCAAGGGTCCAGCTTTTGGGTTGGAAGAGACCAAAAATAATTGGGAACATCTGTACAAAGAGCAAATAAAACCTTGCCCGTGTCAATGAGCACTTGCATGAGGGAGACTCTGAGCTCGCGTTCTGAGGATGCCATGGCAAACAGTAAAGACAGGCCCTGGTTGCCCAGACCTCATCCTCTAATGGGGTATGCAGATAGGTGAGCATGTGGTTGTTGCATACCAGGATGAGCGCCCTGAAAGGAGAAGCTCAGGACGTCCTGGGGCCCAGAGGAAGATCCCCTAACCCTGACCTGCTGGTGCAGAGGGGAGAGGGAAGGCTTCCTAGAGGAGGCAACGTGTCTAAGCTAAGACTGAAAGGACAAATGGGATTTCACTAGAGGAAGAAAAGAAGAGATACGGAGGAGAGATTTGGGGAAAATATTTCAGGAAGAGATTAGAACCTGTGTAAAAGTCCAGAGATGAGAGAGAACCAAATGGTTCTAGAAACATGGCAAAGGAGTCTAATAGAGAGGGCAACGGCCCACCCTGCAGAGTGTGGAGTCAAGAAAGACGGATCCCCCCTTATAAAAGCACCCACCTTGGGTCTCCCTGGTGGGCCAGACCTCACTCAAGGGACCTGTCAGGATCAGTTAGGAAGCTGGTGTGGAGGCCTAAAAGCTGTGGCAGCATGCATCCTATCTCTGCAGCCCAATAATGCCATGGCAATCCTGACTAGTGTCTGCTACAACTAATTAAGCGCTGCTGAGAGGCTTGCTAATTGGCTGAGGACCATTTTACGAGGACACAGCAGAGAAAGGCACTGAAAAGTGCCTTTAGATGGTCAAAATGAACTCAAAGTATATTTTTAGATCCACCAGGGCTAGTCTGAACCAGGGATATCTGAAGAAGTAGAAGAGGAACATTTTAGCAATCTTGATTTTCTGGAAGGAATGTGTTTGCGGCTCAGGGGAGAGAATGTATTTTCAAGGTTTTTTTGCGGTGCAGTGAAATAACCCCTTTCTAAATGCACGCTGCAGAGTAAGGTGCTGAGTGCTTCCATGTAGCAGCTGCCTATAGACCACTAGCTGGGGGCATCCTGCACTTTCTGCTGCCACGGTCTGAAGAACTGCCTTACAGAATTGGAACTGCATGCCATTTACCTGCCAGCACACGTATCGGGCAAGGAGTGGCCTAAGCATCTTGAATGGGCTGCAGGACTCCAGGTACCCACTGAACTCTCACTTAAAAACACAAACCAAACCTAACACACCTACAACACACAAGAAAGTTGCTTGTAATGGAAATATTTGCTCTTTATACAAAAGATAATTTTACAGATCAGCCAACTGGCCTACATGTCCTCTTAATGGAACTTGATTTAACTTTGACATCTTGCCCAGGGCCGCATAACACAGAATAGACAAACAAACAAACAAATTACAAGAACCATCTTTGAGCATTTAATATTTACAAGGCACTAAGCACTTTGATCTTTATTATGTCATTTAATCCTCACAATAACATCATGGGATAGATATTATTTCCCCATTTTATAGAAGTAGCTGAGAAACAGAGAGGTTAAATAATTTGCCCTAGATCACCGCTGGAAAGAGACAGAGGCAGGCCAGTCCCAGAGCCTGTCTGATTCCAAAGCCCATGTACTTTTTATTACATCACGTTGCCTCCAAGAGGGGCAGAAGAGATTTTCAGGTCACATGAAACATAATACTTTAAGAGCAGTCACTTTTGGAAGACTTAGTAGCCTTGGCCTTTGTTGGCAAACTGATAAAGCAGAGGAAATTAATCAGACAATTTAAGTTAAAAAAAGAAAAAAAAAAAAACTACCCTCTGATGAGTAAAAAAATCTGATTCGAAAAACACATTCTTTTAAAATAGTTGTAATAGTCCTGGAAATGGTTGCAATTGATGATCCACTTATTTCAAAGAATTTTTTTCCCTAGGAAATTTTATTTTAGTTCGTATTTTTTAATTGATATGTCATAGCTGTACATATTTTGGGGATACATGTGGTATTTTGATACCTGTATACAATGTATAATGATCAAGTCAGGGTAACTGGGATATCCATCTACCCCAAATACTTTTCTTTGTGTTGGCAACATTCTAATTCTTCCAGCTATTTTGAAATATACAATAAATTATTGTTAACTATAATTTCCCTATTGTACTATTCCTTCTAACTGTATTTTTGTACTCATTAACCAACTTCTTTTCCATTTTCAACCTAACAGCCCTTCAGTGCAACAGAAGTTGATGGTGTCTGGAGTTTGAAGTATTGCTGTTGCATCTGTGTCAGAAAGAACAACTCTGAGCCCTCCACCTGGGCCAGTGGAGCTTCAGGGGCCATGGGGGACAAATGCCTTCTGCTGGCCTGTGGTCCCAAGGCCCTTTCCATCCTACCAGAATGCACTGGGCCTGTGATTTGAGGCATTAGCAGCTGGACGAAAACAGCTGGAGAGTTTAATCAACTCAAGGACAAAAGTTGGCCCAACTTTTTGAACACACTGACAAATCAATTCTGTTAAAATGGCCAATCCCAGAAGCCCTGTTTAAAAACGATGCCTAAAACTTAATTGGAATAGGGAAAATCCACACTGACCCAAGTACCTTCAGGCCAGCTTCACCCACATGCTCAGCATATGCCAATAAACTCAATGTCTGCTTTTAGGTCAACTCTCTGCCCTCCCCCTGCCCTTTGAATTCACTCTTTCTCTTCTGGGCAGTGTCCAGCTTGAAGGTAGGAACGTGCTGGCTTAGGTAGGTATATCCTAGCCAGATGCCAGAAACAGCAACACGTCAGGCCATACGTAAGTTTTTCTTCTATATCCACACACCTAAGCAGCCAGCAATACCACTACACTGGTTCCCTCAACTGGTTCCCTCACACTACAAACATACCAAGGGAAGCTCAATATTTAATCCTCTTCAAAGAATTGTCACATACTTTTAAAAAAAAACTGTCTCATTTTACACAGATGGGACAAAAACTGCAAATGTGGCAGTATTCATAGTTTTTCCTTTTCCCTTTGGTCTTTATCTGCTAAGCACCTCTCTCCCTTCACTCCCAATAGTTCTTTCTCAACACCATTCGTTCACTAATTGGTGTTTTTTAGCCCCATTGTTTTGTGATAACACATTTATCATTTATTAGGTTCATATACATATATAAGTGCACCTCCAAGCACTGTAATTTTTTCATTGGTCTATTTGTTTGCCTTTGCACCAGTACTATACTGTTTTTCTTACTAGGCTTTGTAGTATGATCATAGCTGACAGGGCAAATTCTCTTTCTTCTCTTAATCCTCTTTTTAACCAAGTTGTCTTAGCTATTCTTGGAAAAATATATTCTTCCACATGCGTTGTAAAATAGCCTTGTCACACTTCTCATAGAAATATAACTAGAATTTTAATCACATTGCATTAAGTTTAGGCTTAATTTTGGCAAGAATTGACCACTTTTATAAAACAAAGTTGTCCCATGCAAGAGAATGAACTATCTCTCCATTTGATCAGAATTTTTTTATATCCTTTAACAGAAAAGGGAGGCCTTAGTCATTCTTAATTTTGTGCTATATACTTTGTAACTTTTGTTGCTATGGTGAATGCTAATTTCTGACTATATTTTATGACTGGATTTTTCTGCTAAAGAGAAATGCTATTGATTTTTTCTGAGTTCACCTTGTACCTGGCAAACTTTATCTCTCTAATTAGGGATCAGTTTTTAGAGGTGGAATTTTATTTCTACCCCCTCAATTAAGATGGTTCTATTTCATACAAATGGCAAGTAGGTATATGAAAAGGTACTCAACATCACTAATCATCAGAGAAATGCAAATTAAAACCACAAAAATATATCACCTCACATTTGTTAAGATAGCTATTATCAAGAAGTCAAAAGGCAACAAGTGTTAGTGAGGATGTAAGGGAAGGGAATCCTTATGCATTGTTGGTGGGAATGTAAATTGGTATGGCAATTACGGAAAACAATATGGAGGTTCCTCAAAAAATTAAAAATAAAGCTACCATATGATTCAGCAATCCCAACTGGGTATATTTCCAAAGGATATGAGATCAGTATGTTGAAGAGACAACTGCACTCCCATGTTTACTGCAGTGTTATTTACAATTTCCAAGATATGTAAACAATCTAAGTGTCTGTCAACAGATGAATAAAGAAATTGTGGTGTACATGGAATACTACACAGCCATAAAAAAGAATGAAATAATGAGCTTTTCAGCAAGATGGATGAAGCCAGAGGTCGGTATCCTAAGTGAAGTAATTCAGAAGCAGAAAACCAAATATTGCATGTTCTCACTTATAAATGAGGGCTAAACAATGAGTATACATGACATAACGATGGAGATAAGAGACACTGGGGATTCCAAAAAGTGGGAAGGCTGAAAGGGGGGCCAGGGTTGAATATTATTTATCAGATACAATGTTTACCATTTGGGTAATGGGTAGACTAGAAGACCGATCCTCACCAGTACGCAGTATATCCATGTAACAAGCATGCACATTTAGATCCCCCCTGGAATCCAAAATAAAATTTTTTAAAAATTGCGGTGTATATAAATATATGCAATAGAATATTGTTCAGCCTTAAAACAAGAAGGAAATTCTGCCATTTGCAACAACGTGGATGAAACTGGAGGACGTTAAGCTAAGTGAAATAAGCTAGACACAGAAGAGACAAAAACTGCATGATCTTGCTTGTATACGGACTCTTAAAAAGTTGAACTCATAGGGGGCCGGGTGCTGTGGCTCACGCCTGTAATCCCAGCACTTTGGGAGCCCAAGGTGGGTGGATCATGAGGTCAAGAGATCGAGACCATCCTGGCCAACATGGTGAAACCCCGTCTCTACTAAAAATACAAAAATTAGCTAGGCATGGTGGCACATGCCTGTAGTCCCAGCTACTTGGGAGGCTGAGGTAGGAGAATTGCTTGAACCTGGGAGGCGGAGGTTGTAGTGAGCCAAGATCGTGCCACTGCACTCCAGCCTGGGTGACAGAGCGAGACTCTATCTCAAAAAAAAAAAAAAGTTGAACTGATAGAAATAAAAGGAAGAAGGGTAGTTACCAGGGGATGGGGTTGGGGGAAATGGGCAGATGTTGTTCAAAGGGTACAAACTTCCAGTTATAAAATGAGTAAGTTCAGCTGGGTGTGGTGGCTCATGCCCTGTAATCCCAGCACTTTGGGAGGTCAAGGTGGGTGGATCTCTTGAGGCCAGGAGTTCAAGACCATCTTGCCCAACATGGTAAAATCCCGTCTCTACTAAAAAATAAATACAAAAAATTAGCTGGATGTAGTGGCACACACCTGAAGTCCCAGCTACTTGGGAGGCTGAGGCATGAGGATCAGTTGAACCTGGGAGGTGGAGGTTGCAATGAGCCAAGATCGTGCTACTGCACTCCAGCCTGGGTGACAGCACTAGACTCTGTCTCAAAACAAAGTAAAATAAAATAAAATAAGTAAGTTCTAGACACCTAATGTTCAGCAAGGTGCCTATAGCCAATAATAATCTATTGTATACTAAGAGAGTAGATCTTAAGTATTTGCACCACACACACAAAAGGTAACTATGTAAGGTTATGTGTATGCTAATTAGCTTGAGTGTGGAAATCATTTCACAGTGTATACATATATCAAAACATTATGTTGTTTACCTTGAATATATACAATTTTTGTTTTTCAATTATACCTCAATACAGTTGAAAAAAAGATTGATTCTATTTGCCTTTATAGTGAGAATTTCTTACAATCTTGGCATTTTTTTTTCTCTTAAGGCCTATACTGTCACAATCAAGACTTGTCTCTGCAAATGTGAAGATCAATCTAGATGTAAGACTAGCATGTATCTGGGGCAAATTGATAACAATTTTTCCATGGCCAAGGAATATACAAATACTTGAGTATAAAACCACAAGTTACCCACTGGTACAGGGCTTATGCTCAGAGAATCAATGATAATAATTCCTACACACCATCTAACTCCTTACTTTCTGCATACATCCTTCTTTGTTTCTTCATTTCAGAATGTCCAGGTCTCAACTTCAAGCAAAAGAAGCCAAAAGTAAACAGTCAACAATGGGTCCAAATCAGTGGCAAATACTCTAGAAATCAAGACAGAAACCCTCTCTCCTCCACCTCTTCCCAGAGTGCCAGAACGGGGCCAGACTTGCAAGTCCTAGGAGGAGGAGCCCTTCCTTTCAGGATATTTGCCAAGCATTCTTGTCTCTCTGAATTGTAACTGGTATCGTTTTGGGCACAGGAAGGACATAGAAGGGTTAAGTAATGTGCCAGATGTAACAGAATAGGGAAAAAATAAGTTATCTTTCTGGAATTTGATCTGCAGTAAAAGCCAGTCTGGTGGAGGCTGTGCCTGTCCTTTTTTCTTTCAGTAGTAGGGTTTTTAACCCAATTATCCAGACTTTTTTTTCAGCTCTTTGTTTTATTTTACTTGTACAATTAGTCTTCAAGTTGATTTGAAAACAACAACAAAAAACAAAATGTAACTTTGAAAGATGTGGAAAGTTAATATTCTCCTGCGAGGCTTTAAAGGACCACCAAAGTTAGCACATACTTAGCATTTGAATATAGGCCCTGCACTCACTGCCTCCAGTAATAATTTGCTTCAGATAACTTTGCTATTGGAGTGTGTTTTGGGATAGGTGCTCCGACACCTCTTAAGGCAAATTCCAAACTCTTCTGGAAAGTATTTTTGTAAAAGAGAAACAGTCATAAGGAAGGATTACCAAGGGGAATTTTGGAAACCAGCCACACAATTAGACAACTTTTCTTCTCCAAGGACCTGTAACTTCTGCTCAGTTTTAGTATTTATATGGACATAGCCCTTGCACTCTGACATTTTTAGAAGAAATTACACTGTGCCAGAGATCTGGGATCAGTGACAACCACAATGGTCTCCTTGGAAAGCAAAAATGCTCCCAGGAAAAGTCAAGTCACTTACCCGTTAATCAAACTGCCAGTCACTTCTCACAAGTAAGACTGCTAAATGGATAGGAAAATACCACCTTTGTTCTAAATTTAGGAGATGAAGGAGGACAAGGGAGAGGAGAAGGAAAGATGATAAAGAGGGAGGAGGTGGAGAGGAGAGGAGAGAAGAGAAGGATTATGACAAAGAAAACTCCAGCTAGGTAAAGGGAGACAGAGCTGAAAGGAAAGAAGTATCAATGTAGAATGGACAGTCAAAGGAATCGGACAGTAGAGTATCTGGTAGGTAACAGTAGGGAGAGACAATGGCTATTTTAAGTCACATCTCAAGCTGAGTTGAGTTCAAATTCTGATTCCACTTCTTTCCAGCTGAGTGATCCTGGGCTTGTTCTTTAAGCTTTCTGAACTTCAGTTTCCTCATGTGTAAAATGAGTTTTACTATCTTCACCTTGCCATGCTGTTAGCAGGATCAAAATTATGTGTATAAATCCTTGCTCATTACAGTTCCTATACCATGGTATCTTGGCTGAGAACAAACCCTTTGTCTTTCTTAAGACTGATTAGCCTGGAATGTTCTAAGCTAACCTGCTGTGTTCTTGGGTAATTTAGTTGTCTTGATGGAAGCCAGAGGATAAGACCACACCCCTGAGAGTGGAGGTGGAGCTTCTCTGAGGGAAATGGAAATCACAGCTGACATCTACCCTTGGTGAAGGCTAGGTCAATCCTGGGACAGGAAATCAAGACTGTGGAGGTGGGCAAGGATTGCAGGGAGTACGTCTTCCTCTGTGGAGGTGGAGGTTGGTCTTAAGCCTTTCTTTAGGAGACACACTGTTGGGTATTTTCCCTGGAGAGAAGAAAGACGATTCCTTCAAGATGGTGGCCAGCTGAGAGAAAGTCAGGAAGAGCTTGCTCAGGACCTGCTGGGCCCAGCAGCTCTGAACATCACACAACAGTAAGTCTGTTTTGTGCTTTCCTTCTGCCATCCCTGACTTTCAGTGAAGGTTTTCAAAGAATTGCAGCCTACTCTCCACCATCCTTGTGGGTAAATGAGCCTAAGGGAAGGATCAAGGGGAACAGGTGAAGGTAACTGAGGCCAGAGAGAAGCTGGTCTCCAGAGGCAGGAGGGGCGTGCATAGATGTCCGTGGGAAGCAGAGGGCAGCATTCCAGGGCCTGAGCAGTTGATGACAACTGGGTGGACTGAAGGGGACATGTTCACCTGCTCCAGGGAGCCCAAAAGATAGGGAGGACATTCTGATAAACACTGGGCTTTATGTAATCAAGTGGGTGGAAGCAAGTATAAGCTCCTTTTAATTGATACATTTCCCAAGTATTAACTCTAGTCTAGAAGCAAGATAGTAGTTAATTATCTTCCAGCAAAAGATTTTTTTAAAAGTACTCTACCATTACTGGCTTTGGACGTGAGAAACTTCCTGCCGTGTTGGTCAGCTTCACATAAAACCCATGAGAAAAGCACCTGATCAATCCCTACTTGTTCTGCAAAGTGGCCAGCCACAGAAAACCCTCTGCTCCTGACACTGAACAATGTTTCCTTGTTTGAAATGTCCCCTAACTGCTTGCTTGCTCCTTTGCAGCAGACCAAGAATTGCTAAAAATACCCCAAGATCAATGAGTCTCCCCTGCTTCTCCATCCCACCTTAGCAGAAAGCCGGACAATCAGATTCTTGTCCCAGCATTTCTCCTTACTGTCTAAAACTTCCTCTTCTCTACACCCTCAAAGCCCTGCTGAAATGAAAGTGATAGCAGATGGATTCCCTTGCTGCAAGTTTATGAATAAACAGCCTATGTTAATTTTGTCCTGAAACCAGTTTGTCTTTGCAAATGGGAAGTCAGTCACAGAAATACGGCATTTGCCAAATGAGAAATTTGGAGTAGAGCCCCTAGAGAAGCAAAGGGCTTCTGTTTCTTGTAGTTTTCTGGAATTTAAAGGAGTTTCATGCCCTTTACCCCTCCTCCCTACTCAAAGCCTTTATAGGTGAATCATGGGGCCTCATCATAGGTAAACAGGCAAGAGGTTCTCTTGATGGTGTGAATAGTTGGAGAGGTATCAAAGTGTTAAGAGAGAGAGGATGTCACTGCTCCTCATGGGACCAGCTAATGCAAACTTCACGGTTTAATATATTATAATGGGACCATAGCTAATGCAAACTTCAGGGTTTAATATAATTTTGAAAAATAAACTATATGCACTGGATTGACATATCAAACCAAATTAATAAGTGTTAAACATCTCCCATGTTCAGGGCTAATATATAGATAATACTATGTAATGGGAACTTAAATTAATTAAAGCAACTCTGGCCTCCCTAGAAGTTGTTATCAAAAAATCCACATTCTAATAGTGGGAATTCCATGGAACCTAGTGAACAACACATCAGAATAGGCTATGGGATTCTAAGATGCTCTTTCAGCTTTGCTGGAGGGCTTCATCTAAGGTGACTGGGCACCTTTATTTAAGGAGTTTTAAGTTCATTTTCTCCAAATGAGCACTGGTTAGCTTTATGACACACCAGCTGGGATCTCATATACTATTCTTTCTGCAACTAAACTGTCCCCAGGTACCAGGAAAGTATAGTACAAATGAATTTTTATTGACACTAATACCCAGATCCTGGTGACTTTCAGTCCACATTGCCCCATGAAGGACTTCCACGTCTGCCCTCCCCTAGTCTTCCCCAATTATTCCCCAGTTCTCACTGGTACCATCCAGATGCTTTCACTGGTGGCCTTCATGAGGAGGCAAATCTCTTGAAGACTGCCTCCTTTGCTCTCACTGCCCTGGGCTGTCAGAGCAGCAAAGCTGCCCTCAGGTTAATGACCCTGAGAGTCTAGGGGCCAGGGAGGAGAACTGGCTTCTCAAGTCTGGAGGGCTCACCTCAGCCTGAGACCACCCCGCCTTAGTCCAGACACAGACTTTCAGGATGAGCAAATCCTTCTGGCCTCTCTCCTATGGGCCTCAAAACCAATCCCTCCGGACCCTGAGGTCTAAGGGCGCAGGGATCACGTCACAACCAAACCACCCATTTCTTACTGCTTTTTCTCCTTCACTCTTCCTCTCTTGCATAAAATCCCTTCCCCTTTCTTCAGCAAAAGCCACAAAGACCCAGGCTTATCTAAACTGCAGAGAGGTCACCAACTAGATTTTTCTTAAACAGCTACATTGAATCCCAGCTTGACCTAGCTGGCGGCACCCAAAGACAATTTGAACTGAGCCTCTGAACTTTAGTGTGGAGGTATGGTCTAAATCACCTGTTTCACTCTGATCAGCCTATAGATCTTGGACTGGTGTGAGAGCCACCAATGGATCTGTGAGGGCTACATGTGGATTGGTGAGGGCTTCCAACTGGCTGCCTGAAGTTCTGGGGTGTCGGGAGGGCCAGGGGTAATAGGACACCTCCTTCTTTAGGACTGAGGACCTCTAACCTCCTGACCCCTGTCCAGAAAGAATTTCCTATTTCTAATACTTGTAGGCAGCCTCTTTCTATTTCAGCTCACCATAGCTCAATCTGCCTCTCAAGCAGCTCATGCCTTACTCTGCTTTAGGATTTGTGTGAACAGCCTCTACATATACACTACTTGATTATATAGTTCACAGTGCAAGAATCCATTCACTAGGCTGAAGCTCTGCTTATGGCCATTGTTGAGCAGCAGTTGTTCATTTCACTTAAGTTCTGTTCAATTTGGTTGTGCCCATTTGTGGCCAGCTCTTCTGGAATGTGACAGGAGAAACTGAGCTCATGCTGTAGCGCAACATTCACCCCTCCCTCCCCACGGCCCCCCAGCACCCTGGCCGTGTCCTGGCAGTCGACTCCCATATAAACTCACCCCCACCCCTGGGCCAGCTCTCTCAATTCTTTTGGATACAGAGGAGTGCTCATTCTCCTGCTCAGCTGTGGTCTTGGAAATGCCTTGTGCCTCCTCCCACTATAGCTCCTGGCTGCCCTCCCTAGGCCTGGTGCCTAAGGCCCCTCCTTCCTCCTAACCAGGAGCTCCCACCTGGCCCTCTGACAGGAAGGTGAGAAATGCCCAAGTAAATCAACAGAGACTCTCAAATTGGCAAACAGCTTTATTTTCTTTTTAGAATTCCAATACCTAGTTTGGTGAGACAGGAGGTTTCATGAGCTGCCTGTGGGAGGGTAAGTTGTTTCATCACTTCTGGAAGGCAATTTGGCTAAGTGTCAAGCACTGCTAAAATATTCACATCCCTTAATCCAGCAATTTTTCTTTAGAGCAAGTTTCCTGCAATTCACAGGGGAAAACAGAAAGAAATTTTAAAAGGCACTCAACCTCACTAGGAATAAAGAAAATGCAAATCAAAACACCAAGATTTTTTTTTAAGCACTGGATTGGGAGAAATGTAAAAGGTTGATAAGGTGGTTAAGGGTGTGGGGATATGGGCATTTTAACACACTGCTTCTCTGAATATGAACTGGCCCAGCATTTCAGGAAAATCACTTGGTATAATATATTAAAATTAAAAATGTACATCCCCTTTGGACAAATAATCCCAATTCTCCGGACTACCTTAAAGAATTAAAAAACATCAGCACATAAAGGTACATGTGGATGTTTAATGCAACATTATTAGAAACTTAGAAACTCCCCAAACTTATAAACATGTATTTCTATTTATGGGATACAACTTAACAAATTATGGTACATTCATATTATGGACTATTATACAGTTATTTAAAAAGAATTAGTGCTATATCTTTTGCCCTGGAGCATTGCTTGATATATATTCAGTGAAAATAATTTCAGAGAAACTAGTATTGTTAAGACTACATTTTTACTAAAAATAAAAACCATTCAATGTTTCACTTATTTTTTAAACAAATGTTTATTAAGGCCTAGCTAGCTCTGTGCCAGGCACTAGAGATTAAGTAGTAAAGAACACAGGATTCTCATTTTCCTATGTACTATTTAAGCAAAGAAAATGCATAGAAAGAAAATATACCTCAAGAAATTATAGAAGGAAAGGAAGGAAAAAGTCTCACTTTTCTTTTACATTCCTGCATGGCTTGAATTGTTTACGTGAACCTGTATGACTTTTGTTGTTAAATTTTAAAATTCACACACAGGCAGAAAAAAAAAATCTGTATCCTAATGAAATCATCAGAGAGGTACCTGGGACTTATGTACAAGGAGACACTGTCAGATAGTGGTTATGAGCGTGGCTTTGGAGTTAGAGCCTAGTGTGGTTGCTTCTCTGCCACGGACTCAGCTGTGTGATCCTGAGTAAGTTGTTTGACTTTTCTGTGTCTCAGTTTCCTTCTCAATAGAAGGAAAATCACAATAATGCTCAGCTTGAAGTATGATGAGTGTGAGGATTAAATGAGATGATGGTGTCAGCATAGCATTTACTATAATGTCTGGCATATAGTAAATGCTTAATAAATGGTAGCTAAAAAGGTATGAGGATGTTTATCTTAGTATTATTTAAAATGGCAACAAACAAATGTCTTATAACTGCTATATAAATAATGAACATTATCTGTGTGGAGTACCTATGAAGACAATAAAATCACATTTTTAAAGAATTTTTAATGAAATGAGAAAACCAATTATAATTTTGTAGTGAACAAAACATATATATATTACTTCTATATATTAATATATATAAAACATATATTACCTAATATATATAAAACATATATATATATATTACTTACTGTAATTCCCATTTCCATAAAACATATTTTTGTGTATATGTATAGGAAGAAGCCTTGGCAAGAAATGTCCAGGATATTAACAAGTTTTCTGAAGCTTTTATAATTTCCCCTTGTCTATTTTCCAAATGACAAGGAGTAAAACCTTTTAAAGAGAAAAGAGCCTCTGTGCTTGCCTCCAAGCTCAGAAGATGGGAAAGGGCAGGTTTTCCAGCTTCCATTTTCCTTCACCTGGTTGAGGAGGAAAATCCCAGGTGACACAGGAATTGTGGCACTGTTAAATTGGGAAGGAAGGCAGACTGCGTCTAAAGACAGAGGTCAGCCTAAGCCAGAAGAGGAGGGAAACTCAGAAGGGCTTACGTGAGCAAGTAGAGATTCTGATTTAGCAATCAGAACCTCTGAACTGGAAGGGAATTTGGAAATTATCGAATTCCTTGCTTCTCAAAGTGTGGTATGTGGATCACCCAGGGCTTTTAAAAATTCAGAATCTCCAGTTTTACCGTAAATCTAATATATCAGAATTTGCATTCTAACAAGATTCCCAGGTGGTTCTTTTGCACATTGCAGCTTGAGAAGCAAAAGACATTCCTGTGATTTATAATATTAAGATGGGGAATCCGCAACCCTTAAGAGGCAAAATGATGAGTTCA
Organism: Homo sapiens; assembly: GCF_000001405.40. Lineage (NCBI taxonomy): Eukaryota > Metazoa > Chordata > Mammalia > Primates > Hominidae > Homo > Homo sapiens. The sequence goes on from NC_000011.10 coordinate 110,924,278, forward strand.
AGGCCACATAGCCATTTTAGTGGTAAAAACTGGACCAGAAAACATGTCTTTTAACCCCCGACCCATTGTTTTCTCACTGTGTCTTGCTGCCTGTCACTACATCGCCCAGCTATTCACCCTATTTGGTATATATTATGTGGTACTTCTTCCCAAGCCTTTTCCATTTCAGTAATTTTCACAGGTATGTATTTTATTCATTATGACTTTATTGCACTGAGACAAATTATTTTTGCTATATAGTGATGGGTGAACTCAAGGTCAGCTGCCATTGCTAGCATTATTGAAAGTGCCTTGGTCTAACTCCTTGGAAGCTTTTTAAATGTTTGTTGCAATTGGTCTTTAGCCTCTTATAAATTTGCTGTCGCCAGATCCAAGTGAAATCATGGTCCAAAAGACAATTGAATGGCTCAGAATTTCTGACCTCAGACTCAGCACAAACACCTTCCCCATCCTACTCTTCCCTTTGTTCTGTGTTCCACCTTGCTTCTGCTCCCAATCTCTTTTGTTCTCTTTCACTTTTATCAAAGGCTTAATTATGCGCCAGGATTTTGATCACAGATTTATTAAATGTTTAAGTATATGTCCCTTGAATGATAGTTTCTCAGTAATGAGGTGCATTCAGAAGGAGAAGAGCAGGTCAAGCATGGGTGTAATTTGGCAGAGTTTGACATCAGCCATTTCATCTCTGACAGGGTTAATCACAGCTTTAGTTTTTCAAGACCTGGACTTGCTGGACTGTGCCTGCCAAGGTCACTTGGGGTGTTCCAAATTAATTTTAAAGACACATGGCTGCTTGGAGTTCACTGAGTTAGCTCACAATATTTTTTTTAAATTACTCATTTTGTTTCCCCTCAAATTAGGAACAAAAATATAAATTACCTTGAAATGGCTAGAAAATAATACGCCATTCTAACAGAAAAATAAAATGAATAGATATTGTATTTACAAGGCAAGGCAAATTCTTAGAGAAAATCTGCCTTTTTGAAGACAACATACAGGGCATGTTGGAAAAATTGCTGAATATTGAGTTAATCCTATTCAATAAGGATTTAATTGGTACCTCTTCTGTATAAGGCATGTTTTCGATATTGTAGGGATTCTAAAAATAGCTCTCTGATGGAGTGTATAGTGTAAGCATAAGAATAAGGATAAGAGAAACAGTCAACATCTGTCATTTCAGGAAGAATATCAGAATCATGAGAGGTCTACATTCTATGGGGGTTTGTCCACAGAGTTCAACTGTATGTGAAAGGCCAGAAGTGGTAGTATTCAAGAAGAGCTTTTTGCCGGGCGCGGTGGCTCACGCCTGTAGTCCCAGCACTTTGGGAGGCTGAGGCAGGTGGATCACGAGGTCAGGAGATCCAGACCATCCTGGCCAACACGGTGAAACCCTGTCTCTACTAAAAATACAAAAAATTAGCTGGGCATGGTGGCGGGCACCTGTAGTCCCAGCTACTTGGGAGGCTGAGGCAGGAGAATGGTATGAACCCGGCCGGGAGGTGGAGCTTGCAGTGAGCCGAGATCGCGCCACTGCAGTCCAGCCTGGGCGACAGAGCAAGACTCTGTCTGAAAAAAAAAAAGAAGAGCTTTTTAAATATAGACTGTGTAACAACTTTCCACCTTATTTATAAACCTAAAAAAGTCACAACTGTAACATGTATACTTCCTAATAAGTTAAGTCAATCAGAAGTTGTGATGTTTAATACTGAATATCAACTTTATTGGATCGAAGGTTGCAAAGTACTGATCCTGGGTGTGTCTGTGAGGGTGCTGCCAAAGGAGATTAACATTTGAGTCAGTGGGCTGGAAAAGGCAGACCCAGCCTTAATCTGGGTGGGCACCATCTAATCAGCTGCCAACATGGCTAGAATATAAAGCAGGCAGAAAACTGTGAAAAGACTAGACAGGCCTAGCCTCCCAGCCTACATCTTTATCCCAAGCTGCATGCTTCCTGCCCTCGAACATCGGACTCCAAGTTCTTCAGTTTTGGGACTCAGACTGGCTTTCCTTGCTCCTCAGCTGGCAGAAGGCCTATTGTGGGACCTTGTGATTGTGTAAATTAATACTTAATAAACTCCCCTTATATAGATATATCTATCCTATTAGTTCTGTCCTTCTAGAGAACCCTAATACAGAAGTATATAAAGAAAATATTAACTGTCTACCTTTTCCTCTCTCCAAGTCTACCTCTCCAAAACCAAAATAATCAATGTCAATTGTCAGGTATATCCTTCCTCCCTTATACATATACCACTGTCTCAAACTCAGCTGCTGCTGTTATTACTTGTGGGTATTTTTTAACCCAAATGGTATATCATGTATACTATTCTGCAATTTATTTTTCATTTCATAGAATCCCAAATATTTTCTCAGCTTAATACACATTGATTCAACTCATTCCTTCTAATAGATTCACAGTGTTTCCTAGAATGACTCTTCCAGGATTTGATCTACCATTCCCATAGTGATAGACATTCAGATCGTTCCCAAGATTTTATTACATAACGAGTTGAATTTTGACAGGAAGGGATGGAATCAAAGAGTCAAAAAGGCAAAGAAACATAAGTTTGGCTTAAAGTGGTCATTGTCCCAATAGTTTCTCTATAGTCATGGATTTGTTTGCTGCTGTGCTAATAGGGACCTTCTTGTTGGTCCCCCCTGGTTTCTGGACTTTTCAGCTATCACTGACAATTCTCATAGGCCTTCTTGTATTTCATGCTATACCAGAGACCCATTATTCCCTCTTGTAATTATGTCTCCTTATTCTCACACCCTGTTAAGGATCTGTGCATACCTCTTTCTCAGACAGCAGAGATCAATGGAACAAGTTACCTATCCCTGTAGTCACCACTGATTGAATTGTAGTGGACACATGATCCAAGCTGACCAATCAGATTTTCCCTTCTGAAAATGAGAATTGGGACCTTGAGGTAGGGTGAGGACCATGTGAAGTGCTGAAACTGATAAGCAGTGTGCAGCTGAGGTAGGGCCTTGTTTGTGAGCCAAAAACTTACCAAAACAGAGAAACAGTGAAGGTCAGACTGCACAGAGAGTACAGAGAATGAAGCCAAGTGAGGGGAGAAAGAGACAGAAAGACAGACACAGAGAGAGAGAGAGAGAAAGAGAGAGAGAATCCTTCTTCACTTCCCATTGACTCTTCAATTCCTGGCTCCAGTTCCTTATGAGGACTGATGAAACTTTCTAACTGATGAAACTTTCTAATTCCATAAGACACTTCTAATAACTTCCTTTTGTATAAATAGGTTTGAGTGATTTTTGTTTTAATCTTTGATTGTTTGGTTTGTTTTTAGTAACTTGCAACCAAGTGATTCTTAACTAAAACTTTTGGCCAGGAGTGGGGTTGAGGGAAAATTATTCTCTCACCAAATTTAAGATGAAATAGAGAGAGCATAGCTATCTTACTTGGAGATGTGATAGCCTACTTTCTTTCTGTGTAGAGAGAGATATAAATTGTGTGATCTATTAATAGCAGAATGCTTATCATATTGGATATATCCCCATAGTGTGAAAATTAATGTGTCTGTTTCAAATAAATGTTTTTCTAAGAGATAGTGAAAAAAAAAACTCAACACATTTTATTTAATGAACTTATTTGAGGCTGCACCTCTCGTGAGTATTGAGTCATCAGAAGAATCAGGACACCCATCCTGGTATCGTAGAAAGAGTGTGGACCTAGGAATCAGAGATGGCTGGCTCGTGTTCTGCCACATCTTAGTTGTGTGACCTTGGAAACTGGAACCTCAGTTCCTTTTCTGTAAACTGAGGACAATATATCAGGTTATGGGGGGATGGTAAGTGAAATAATGTATGTAATGCCTGGCACATGGTGAGCACTCAACAGTAATAATTCCATCCATCTCTCTCCTCCCCACCCCCCTAACTTGTCTGCCTGCTACTATCTAGGAATCAGGTCCCTTTGCTCCCCATCTTTTCTAAGGTTGAAGCCACTCATCTCTCCTCTGATGTCATGGAACAAGGTGCAGACCAAAGCTAATAGGAGACCATGGCATGCAGCCAGAGACAAAGATACCAGGAGAAAGTGACAGAGTCCTGAAGGGGTGGAGGAGAGGGGAAGGACTGCTTGTGTAGCCAAGATCCTTGGGCATATTGCTCACATTAAAAGCTATCAGGCTAAAAAATTTTTGGACCAACCATTGAGCTCTTTTACCACTCCAAAAACCAACTCTGCCAAATAATTAAAATGCCAGGTTGTTTGGAGACAAAGCCGTAGATAATGGCATGTAGCTGATCCCTGAGCTGTTTGCTCATTAGCTAATGGTCGCTCCCTGAGCAATTTTCTAAGCTGACAGCTACAGGAACTTTAATTTAATGTTGATTAAATATGGCCATATGCTGGAATTGTATCATTAAAGATTGACCAGTCCTCTCTCCAAACAGCTTACAAGCTAGAATGAGTAGATAAAAAGATATACACACACATACACATGCACTTAAGGGACAATAAAAAAAAAAGCAGCTTTAAAAAATTAGGTCATGTCCCACCTGTAATCCCAGCACTTTGGGAGGCCGACGTGGGTGGATTGCTTGAGGTCAAGAGTTCGAGACCAGCCTGGCCAACATGGTGAAGCCCCATTTCTACTAAAATACAAAAATTAGCTGGGCGTGGTGGCAGGTGCCTGTAATCCCAGCTACTCGGGAGGCTGAGGCAGGAGAATTGCTTGAACCCAGGAGGTGGAGGTTGCAGTGAGCTGAGATCGCGCAACTGCACTCCAGCCGGGTGACAGAGCCAGACTCCATCTCAATATATCTATGTGTATATATATATATATATATATATATATATATATATATATATATATATGGCGATGAATAAAATTGACATTAAACAGCTATGAAGTTCTTAGCACCATTGGTCTCTGCAGGAAAGGTGAAGATGTTTTTGTTTAATTTCAGGAACTTCAATTAAAAAAAAACCAAAAAGCCTCTGGAAGGACTACTACTGGCTAGGGTTGTCTAGGTAGGAGGTAGGACAACATAGGAGCTCTTTACCACACTCACATGTCCTGCTGGACTGAGTCATCCCTCATTAACATGGTTGATTGACTTGTTACTTGACTCATTCATTCATGCATGCATACAACAGTTTTGTATACCTACTATGTACCAGGCACTGAGGACACAAAGAACAAGAAGCCTTAAGTCGTCTTACCATAGGGGTTTTCAGGGTAATGGGGGAAGACTAACATATGGACAGATAAGTTGCACTAAATTTTTGAGTTATAACAAAAGTGTAACTACGTTCTGAGAGAACCTATAAGTCAGAGCTGTTAGGTTTGTTTAGGGGAATTCGAAGATTTTGTAAAGGTGACATGAGAGCTAACCATCTCATTGTATATGTTTAGAATTAAATGGATAGATAGGTAGTTAGATAGATAGAGATAGATAGATAGATAGATAGATAGATAGATAGATAGATAGATAGATAATTTAGAATTATTTATATATACAATTTAGAATTATCCATATATGTATACATATATTATATGTATACACACACACACACACACACGATGATGATACCCTTTTCCTTGCCACCTAGTGCATGTACAAATACATATGGTAAATAGAGGGGAGGAAAATGAAAACAGAAACCTCAAGTATATTCACAATTGGGGTTCAGACACCGATGATCTGGAAGACCACATGCATGTGTGTGAATGAGCTCCCCTGGAAGCTAGATTTAAGGGCAACACTAGGACCCTGGAGAGAGAAGTCAACAGAATAAAAAGAGCTAGGCATGAGCAGCAAGACTCCATGACAACCAGAGGTTCTGAGAGGAGAGGCGGTTCAGGTGGCCACGTGGAAGCACTTGGCAGTCTGGTTATCCAGAGATGCATGGACACACTGGGGAGGAAATGGACACGTATGTGGACATAACAAGATGATTCTTATCACCTGGAGGCTCAAGTGACCATGCTTTGGGCCCTCTTAACTTTGTGTGACACAAAAGGAAAGAACTTTCTACTTCATACACACACACACACACACACACACACACACATGCACACGCACCCACATGACTGAGCACTCATGGAACCATGAAGTGAGACATTGATGTCCAGGAAAGATCAGCAGAAAGTCTTGCTGCAAGACTCCTTTAAAACACAAGATTCCCTACTGCCTCCAACTAAAGTCTCATTTATTCGACCATCTGATAAGCATGTATCAAGTTCCTATTCTGTGCCGGTGATACTAAGTGTTTAAAAACACATCTATTGGCCACTCACCCTTTCTCTCCTTGGTCTAAGCAAAGACACATGGAGGCAAAATGGCACCGTTGGGCCCCTTCCTTATTACATGAGATGGGAACAGATTTGAAATGGGGAAGACATTGATTTCTGTGGAGGAAGATATGAAATCATTGTTACTGGAGCGGGGAACTGAATGGGAACCATTCCTCATGCAACTGGGGCAATAAGGCAGGTGGACCAGACAGGAAGAAGGGGAGCCCTGAAGAAAAGATTGTAAAAGGGGAGCATAGCATAGCATAGCATAGCATAGCATAGCACAGCACAGCACAGCACAGCACAGCACAGCACAGCACAGCACAGCACAGCACAGCATAGCACAGCACAGCATAGCATAGCATAGCATAGCATAGCATAGCATAGCGGCTTAAAGAAACCTGCCATCAGACAGCCTGGATTTGAATTCCAGCCCTACCAGTGATATTGGGCTTGTTACTTGACTTTGTTTTACCTCGATTCCCTCATCTCTAAAATGGAGATGTCAATTAAACTTACAGTATTTATACTATTTTGTAAGGTTGAAATGCATGTAGGCCACTACTTAATATTTTCAGGGCAAAACAATCTCATTTTACATTTCCCAAACCCAAATTTTTATTGTGAAAAATTTCAAGGCTGCAATGGGTGTCATCCTGTGTCACCCAGATCCGCCATTGAAAACTGAAGGGTTTATTCTCCCAGCTGCTGGGTGTTGTCACCATTGCCTTACTCAAGGTCATGCTCTCTTCCCAGGGCAGTCCCTATCCAATGATGTTTGACACCCAAGGTTGGAGGTTGCAGGGAACAATGGCCCTGTCCTCTCACCCTAACATGGGCCAACAAAGAAGGGCCCTCCCGGCCCAAAACCCTCCATGGATCAGCCCAGCTGAACCCTTGTATTTGCAGCACAGTCCAACTTCTTCCTCTGCCCAATCCTGATTCCTTTCTTACCCCGACCATACTGATCCTGAGAGCATTCTCTAATAAACCTGCAAATTAATTGCCATCTCAGAATTGGCTTCCTGGAGAAAGTGACTTTTAGTCATAGAAAAGTGGAAAGAATAATACAGTAAGCACTCATAGGCCCTCCACCTAGATTTGACAATTCTTAACATTTTGCCAGAGTTGTTGCCTCCTCTCTCTCAATCTCCTTCTTTCCCCTCCTCCCATTTTAAAAGTAAGTTGCAAAGGGCATGGCACTTTGCCTCTACATACTGGTATGTGTATTTCCTAAGAATAAGGGCATTTTCCTCAAAATCATACCATCATTATCATGATCTTATGTAAGGAAATTAACAATAACTCTCTGGCATTAATTCATATTCAAATTTACACAATTGTCCAAAAATGTGTTCTACAGCTGTTTATTTTTGAGTCAGGATTCAATCAAGGTTCATAAACTGTGCTGGGTTGTTATGAGTCTTTAGTTTATTTTACTCTACAATTTTTTGGGGAGGGGGGCAAGTTTTTGAGGAGTCAGGCCAGTTTTCTCGCAATGTTCCATCCTAGATTGTCTGACTGCTTCTTATGTGTCGTTTTACTTTTTCTTATATGTTCTGTATTTCCTAAGATCTAAAGCACCTTCTGAAGGCTTGATTAGATTCAGAGCCAGCATTTTGACAAGAACATTTCCTAGGTGCTCTTTTGTATTTCGTGTTGTGTACCATCATTAGGCACTTGGTGTCAGACTGTCCTGCTGCAAATGATGCCACATCTGATCCCTTGGTTAAGTTGGTGGCTACCAAATCATTCAATTACAAAGACCTGTGCTCCTTTTTGTAATTAGTAATTAAAATGTAGATTGGTGCTTTGGTACTGAGCAAATATTCTGCTCCCCAGCAATCTCCCAGTCCAGCATTTTAGTGTCCATGTTCTTTGCCTAAAACAGCTGCATGTTGAAAGTTATAAAATAGCACATTTCTAATTCTGTCATTCCACTTTTATTAGCTGGCATTCTTCTGGAAAGGAGGGCTTTCCTGCCCATCCCCTGACTCTCTTTCTCTCTTTTTCTGTGTGTTGAATATCACTCTGGACATAAGGATTTTTTTTTTATTTGGCTGATGTGGGCTTTTTCAAACTGTGTGTGTGTGTGTGTGTGTGTGTGTGTGTGTGTGTGTGTGTGTGTGCATGTTTTGCCATGAACCTATTAGTCTTCAAGCACTTCCTTGCTTTCTGATACAACAAAATATTATAGGCTTACCTTCTACTTTCACCTCTCAGTCTCTGAATCAGTCATATAGTTACATATATTTTTAATGAGGCTTGATTTCTTTTTGAGGGAAATGATATTTAAAATCCAGGTTCCAGGGACTAGGTATGCTCACTGCTATGGATAAGAAAGCATCTTTTAAAATACAATCTTATGATCCCCCCAAAAGTAAAACAGAGAGGCAGCTTTTGATTTGGAACTGGGAGCTCAGAGCCTGTCTCTATCTCTAGGATTCCAGCACTGGAGAAGTAAGACAATGAATACATTCTGCCTCTTAAACTGTATCTTTCTTATTTCAGAAAAGATACCAACATCCCATAACCTAAAAATGAGGGTCCCATTAATGCGCTCCAGAGATCAAGGAAGGTTTGCCTTAATCTTAAATGGAAAGAATTTATGGTCATCAAAATTGATGAATGCCAACTTGAACAGAAGAGAGATTTCAATTAAAAAGTACCTGATTCTAGAAAACTCAACTGAGTTTGAAAAAGTCAAACACATCAACCATTATTAAATTTTTTCATTGTTTTAAAGAAAGATTTTTCTTTCTTTTGCCAAAGGGAATACTGTTGTTTGGATATGCAGAAAAAGGATCAATATTGATTTTTATACAAAAATTATTTTTTTCATCAAGGTACAAAAGGGACTATATTGTAACACTGAGAAGAATGTTTTGGGTGTCCCAAAATACCCAAATAGTCTCTTGTGACAATAAGCAGGGCACCAGGACTCTCATTACTGTTCTACTTAGAAGCTTCGAGGCATATGAATGGACACTTTGTTAGAGACATTTAAGCAGAGAGGCTATTATGGAGAAAGATAAAGGCCGAGGAGTACGGAGAGTATAGAAATGGCTCCCCTTGTGCCCTTCAAATCCTTCTCAGTGATATTCCAGAAAATGCTGAGTCATCTGTAGGGAGAACCTGCCACCATTTAGAAGCTGTTTGAAATACATGGACTGTGGGATATACTCAGGTACAGTCATTTCTATTCTCTATCAAAAAATCAATGCATAGCACTTTGGGAGGCCGAGATGGGCAGATTGCTTGAGCTCAGGAGTTCGAGACCAGCCTGGGCAACATGGCAAAATCCCATCTCTACCAAAAAAAAAAAAAAAAAAAAAATTAGCTGGGCATGGTGGTGCATGTCTGTGGTCCCAGCTACTTGGGAGGCTGAGGTGGGAGGATCACTTGAGCCCAGGAGGCGGAGGTTGCAGTGAGCTGAGATTGCGCCACTGCACTCCAGCCTGGACGATCAGAGTGAGACTCTGTTTAAAAAAAAAGTCCACCCATAGTGAAGCAGTGTCATGCTCAGCACCATGATACTTGTAAAATCATCCCTTCAGGATCTTATGGTGTAGTCTACATATGCACTAAATGAACACATTTAAAAACACACGATTAACAATGTTTAGGCGCAGCACAATGTAGAAAGTGCACTGGAACAGGAGTCAGAAGACCAAGGTTCTAGTCCTAACTCTAAAAAACAAAATTTCTGTATTGCAGTGTGACCTCAGACAAGTCACTTTACCTTTTGGGTGCTGTAGTTCTTAAGCTATAAAATGGAAGCCTACACTATCTTTTGGGTCCCTTCTGATGTTAGCATTCTGTAATGTGTTGATGGGCAGGCTGGGTGACCTGCACAAAGCCTTACCAATGATAGGCTTTCAATAAATACTTAGTGGCTGGCTATTGGCATCTGTCACCTGAATCTCAAAAGAGGGGCACAGGCAGTAAGGTGTGGCAGCAGTTGAAAGGTATGAGAGACACCTTGGCCCGTGTCAATGACTTCCGGCCAAAGAGCATCAGGAAGGGGCACAATCATAGTTGCACAAATTGAGTTTACTACTCACTGTAGAGAGGAACAACGGATATCATCAGAAACTATGGCACATCTCAATAAGAAGTTCCTAGGACTTATTGCAGAATTTGGGCTAGCGTTAGGTAATTTTGGGGAGTTTAAGGAGCGGAGTTTTTCTTCAATTAGATGCTGTCAAGGAGTGAGAGTATAGCAATGAGTAGGTATCTTAATAAACCTTATCTAGGAAGAGGGAGGGGAAGACTAGACCCAGGCTAAAGCTGTTATTGGGAAAGAAGTAGCAGTCATTCACACTAGCAGGATGGGCGGATGTTTGGTCATTTCTGTGGTTGGACAATGTTCATGTTTTGTCTGTGTTCAGGCATGACTATGGAGTGGTCTGTGATCTTGTTTCTGTCTTCATCTGTTGTGGTCACAGGGTGACCTTGTCTGATATCAATGTTCTATGTAATTGTTTATGGTGTAGTCTAGGAGAACCCCAAAGCCTCACTAACAGTACCAGGCCAGCCTGCCTGTCATGATGTGTGCTCTTCCTTCCCTGAGAGCACAGGCCCACATTTGACTTGAGTAGCATAAGTGTGGCCCATTGGTTTATCTTCTGCTATAGTGTTCATTGTTCTATAGCCATACGTCGAATGGGAAAGGAAATGAATGTCAGTGGCTACTTTTTACAGCTCTCTTTTTCTGCTTCCTTGTGTATGAACCAAATATAACCACTTCTTATCTCCCAAATTTATGTGTTCTCAGTTTAAGTGAGCACTAAAAATTAATGACAGTCTCTAAATTTTAACTCTAAATTCCTTGGAGAGAGAATATGATTCACCTGTTTAGGTCAGATGACTATGCCTGCCCAATAAATTATTACTGAGAGTAAAGGATTGTGCAAGACAAATATTGTTCTCCAGGCCTACTCTTTAAAGGAGGACAATCCTCAGAAAAGGAGGTCATACATTGAGCATTGCCTCATGCAGGGACAACCTACCCAGGGTCCATGTTAGGGATCTCAACAAGAGAGTAGAATGGTACTAAATTTAATACTTTGCATGGCTTTAGTGCTTTATAAAATCAAAACATTTCCATGATCATTTTTAACCTTCCTGACCATGCTGTGACAGGGATACTTATTTCCCCTTAGAGGTGAGGGAGGTGAGGGTCATAGGAATTAAGGGATTTTCCTAAGCCTCTACCATCTGCTAGTCTAGCACAGAAACTAGAACTCAGGCCACATAAGTCCCAGGGCAGCTCTTCCTTTATTATGAGCTTGAGACAGTTGTTCCCAGACCCTGGGGCAATTAACGAGGGATCAGTGGGAATTTGCTCAAGGTGAAACAGCCAGTGAAATACTGAGCCAGGTTTCCTGCTCAGTTGCCTGATTCTAAGCTCAGCACAGAAGGAGCAAAAGACTAGTAGAGTGGAGTTATGGGGAAAATAACAAGAATGGAATTGTTTCTCCTCTAAAAAGGGAGAGAGGTGGTGGCAAAGGAAAAGAGGAGACATAAGACTTATTGCAGGCTTTCCCAATACCTGGAGGGTTTGAGTGAAGCACAGAATCCTCACTGAGGACAGGAAACCCATTAAACCTGGGGTTATGTTGATAGCAATGGTGAGGGAGAAACCAGGATGATGGGTGAGTTCAATGTCACCTTGGCTGCACAATCTCCTCTCTCATGGTCTCATCTTTTGTATAAAGATTAAAGTGACTACCTTACTTAGGGGGACAGAGATAATAATGGGAGTATAGCTGAAAATCCCCTTAGGCCCTCTAGCTCTACGATCTATGAATTTAATAAGCTCCACAGTGCCAGGAAACCCTTTGAAATTGTCTCTGGGGCTGTACTTTCTCCAATTCCCAAGAGTAGGAGCAATTGAGCATTGAATACATTTTATAGATTTGGTTCTTTCTTATTTAACTGGGCTATTCTTGGGGAAAATGCCCCAATAACTCAGCAGGTCCTGCAGGCTCTGGTGCTGCAGTCATTGGCATGACAGATGTCTTGGTGGTTCATGTTGTCATGAGGAAGACTCTTCAGCCAGATATAGGCTTGATTTGAACAGGTGGAGGATTTTTAAACTCCCTGGGAGAACTGCCAGTGGTGTTCAAGAGAATGACAAGGCAGCTAGGTAGGTGATCCTTAGACTTAGAACAGGCAGAATTCCAAAGAGCATCAAAGCATTTGGGGAAGTTTGGTTTAAGAAGATAAGGACTCCCTGTAAGATGAAGGACAAATATAATAGTGCTCAGGACATTTTTTTCCCCTCTTCATGCCTCCATTAAAAAAAAAGAGGTGATTTGTTATTGTTTGATTTCTCACTCTGGGACCTGGAGCTGATTTTAGAGGATCCGTAAATTAATCAGTTCAGTTCTGGCCTTGCATTATGGCACAGATGTTCCCTGGTTACAGAGGAGAGTGGCTGGAAGAGACTGGGGAAAAAGTGTCAGGAGATAAGTATTCTAGTCCTCAAAGACCCACTAGCCCCTCTGTTGTTTGAAAGTTTTGGGAGAGGGCTTCCGCCCAGATCTGCAGTCTCTTTGCAGTGCCCATCATCAGCACATAGTTAATAAATAAATGGATGACTCCACCCAAACAATGCCCCTTGCCCCAGGTGTTCTCATGCTCAATGTTGAAGGCTGTTAAGTTTGTCTCTGGCACCCACCATCACCCTTCAGTATTTCCCCAGTGCCCAATCCCACGATGTGATGGCCCAAGCCCACTCCTTCTCCCCTGCTTGCAGTAACATGTTCACATCTGCAGCTGCAGCATTGTCACCACTGCCTGCCCATTTCCTCCCAGCTGGAGTCATTCTCTGTAGGGCCACTCATACACACAGAGGGCTTAGAGAGGTAGGAACAGGAACCTTGTCCTGGGAGAACAGTCACATTCCCATCCCCGGAGCAATGGTCTTCTTCTGTGGACCTGGAGTCAGACCCCCAAGCCCTTCATCCATCCAGATCTGGGTTCTCTCTCCCTTTTCTGCTGTGACCCCATGCTTCGCAGGCTATTTAGCTTGTTTCTTTCCCCTATCACCAGTCCACAGGCTTAGTCCAGATGTTAGAGGTCAAAGGCTAATTTTCCATGGTGTAAGGAAACTTCATACCTTCACACTACTACATGACCAGACTTCCAGGCAACGATCAGAAGTTTAACCCTGTAAAGCTCGTACCTGGATGTCTGCCCAGCCTCTTCCCACACTGGGTCTTCCTTAACTAATGAACCTGATGACTTTGCTGCAGGTATCCTGTGGAAACTCCCTCATTGGCCTTATGCACTACTATCTGACCCAAGACTTGGGGACAGGGCCTGGGGAAGGGGCTAGACCTTGGGTGAGCACCTACACTCACATTCATTCACGGAGGAATCACATTTATTTCTGGAATCCTTTACCACAGCCCTCCAAAGAGCTGCTAACCAAATACAACTGCAATTTTTCTCTCAAAGGAATTTAAAATTAGACGTCTTTGTTCTCCAGCCTCACTTCTTGTCTCATGAAATATATGGAGGCTGTCACTTTCTCCGTCCCAAGTTGGCTGTAGAAACAATATTTGTCCGTTAATTTTTCTTTTAGCATATAGAGTAAAACATATCTGTTTTCACCAACATTTCAGGTATTAAGTTTCTGCAGACTTTCAGTGAGCAGATGTGCTACAGCTTATAAAAAGAAAAGGCTTAGAGGCAGTGTGTGTATGTGTATGTGTGTGCATGCATGCATGCATGTGTGTGTGTGTGTGTGTGTGTGTTGGGGGGAGAGAGAGAGAGAAAGAGAAAGAATGTGTGTTCTTATTCTTTTGCCACAAATATTATCCTTAAATAGTGAAAGGAAAGGTGGGGGCTTTCTAAACACATAAAGATGATCTTGCCTGTTTCTATCTAGCGGTCCTAAAGAGAATTCGGATTTGGAGAATTTCATGGCACTGGGGGAAGGAGATGAAGGGCCTGACAAATAGTAGAGATCCAGAAGGCCTCAAAGAGAGCATGGCAGGTGTCGAGACTCTGGTCACTTCCACTGCACCCACCACAGTGGAAAATGTTTTTTAGGCCTCAACTTTAGGGTCACACTCTGTTGGCTCGTTACTTTCCCATACTCAAAGTTCTTCAAAGATGGCAGGAACTCAGTGTATCAGGTGAGTGCCCAATTTATGAGGGTAGAGAACAGAAATTATTTCAATTTTCAAGTTAAGGAAATCAAAGAAACAACCTCCTCTCAGCCAGGTCGATTGCAGGAGTGACCCTTCCCCACTTAATCCATCTTATCAGTGTTCATGCTTGTGGACTTTTAAAGTTCTAATGACCACCCAGAGCCCATCACCTGTGATTTAGTACTTTAAAACTTGGGGCACATTCTACATTCTTTGAGGAATCTCCTATCTTTTTCTATATTCCAGGTGCTATCAATACATCAGCATTCATCATTTCTTTGAAAGAATGAGGACCTTATAAAAAGCCTAAGTCCATATAGGAAAAGATGGCTCATAAATGGTTAGTGAGGAAGCAAGTACATGGAGCCTGAATGTCACACACTTCATCGGTGCAGTGGCCCTGGGGACTGAACTCAGAGCACTTGTACCTTGAAAAAGCCCCATAAATATTTAGTGAGCTGATAATTGAGGAATGGCTGATGGAGAACAGAGGCAGTAAATTCTCCTCTAAGGCATATGAGAAATATTTTTCTTGGTTGAAAGAATTTATGAGTACTGTGGGGGTAGAGGAGATGAGGAGTGAAGGACTGAGTACATGATTTATTATGATACTTGTTTTTAGGACTTGAATTTACTTCAGAGCGTCCTCTGCCCACTCCAGTATTTTATATATCTAAAATAAAATTATCAGTCCTGCTCTTAGCCTGTGAAAATGAAATACATTTTCATAAATTCCACAACTTTGGTTATATTTCAAGGTTTGACTGATTTTTGATTCTTTATTGTTCTCTTTTTGTGTAATCACTGCAAAATTATCCACTGCAGCTTTTTCTTTTACAGCGCAAGATGCTATATCTGTCTCTAATTTTGCAAAATATCTTGGAAGGTCAGTTGGTGGCCAAGGAAGAGACTGAGCACTAAGCCAGCCTGGAGGCCAGGCAGAGCTCTCATGCTAGCATAATGCTAAACTGCTGACCTCTAGATTCCTTCTCACAGCCACCCACTTCCTGGGAAGAACTAGTTTAGTCTAATAGGACATGATACAATAGCTAGCCATGAAGGTCTAGAAAAAGTAAAAATTACCCATTACTCTGGATCCCCCTCAAAATATCTTTGTTGTCTGTTAAGCATCGACATTGGTCAGAACCTGTCTGAACAGCCCAATGTTTCCTGAGTACGTTCAAGAGAAATCATGTCCCACAAGATGTCTCTAGACAAAGAGTTTCTGTACCATGAGGCTGGGAAGTGCTGTCCGTGATAACCCTTCTGGGAGACTGACAATGTGGGGGAACATATCAAAGGCTCTGACATGCCCTGCAGCAAAAAAGTTTGTCCAATTTTACTTAACCTAGAATTTCCCAACCCAATTAGACCACTAACTTATTGGCCATCTCCTGTCACTCTCCAAAAAACAGACCTGGGTTGGCCACACCTAATTCTGGGTAGTTCTGAGGACAAGTTGTCATGGCTCATGCCTATGCCTTGCTCACTTGGGTTTCACCTGCTCCTCCCTGCCCACCTTGCTCATTCCTATTATTTCTTTAAGATTCCATGTGAAAGTTACCTTCCTTGATTGAAGCCCTCATTTCCCATGCTTCCAGAGCACATCTGCATTCCTCTCAGTGCACAGGATGCTGTATTTTATTTATATGCCTGGAATTACATACCATCCACCAAGCTTCTTGAGGGCAGGGTAAATAACCTTACTCCTTTTTGATTTCTCAGAGTCCAGCATAGCACCAGAGTCAACATACACAATAATGGAGTGCATAAATGAGAATTAATGGGGTAATATGAGCGAAGCAATGAAGCCCACCTCTTCCGTGCCTTTTCTGCTTGGGAAAGTGGGAATTGCCTCATTTGCCTGGTGTTTCACCATCTTCCGTGGGGCTCCCCAAACCCTCCCTCTCCATCTGGGCTGTAGAAGCATTTATGGAAGAGGCCTGCATAATAACGATCATATCATTTCTTGTTGACTAAAGCTCCTATGGCCAGAAACTTTAATTTCTTTCTTTCTTTCTTTCTTTCTTTTTTTTTTTTTTTTTTGAGACACGGTCTTGCTCTGTCACCCAGGCTGGAGTGCAGTGGTGTGATCTTGGCTTACTGCACTCCTGAGTTCAAGCAATTCTCTGCTTCAGCCTCCTGAGCAGCTGGGACTACAGGTGTGTGCCACCATACCCAGCTAATTTTTGTATTTTTAGTAGAGACAAGGTTTCACCACGTTGGCCAGGCTGGTCTCAAACTCCTGGCCTCAAGTGATCCATCCACCTCGACCTCCCAAAGTGTTGGGATTACAGGTGTGAGTCACTGCACTAGGCCAGAAACTCTTATCTATTGACCAACTGACCAAGCACAGCAGAACCTACAGTTTTTAACAGGACACATAGGTGCATGGAAAAAAAAAAGATGGAGAAACACTATTCTCAGACACAGTAGGGGTAGATAGGTCATTATGAGATGGGGCACACCTCCAAAGACTTCAGGAGAAGAACCATGCTTGTTGTTACAAAGAAACATCTAAGAAATAGGCTAAGTGAGTCTGAGGGTACTAGAAGTAGGTAACATGTATTGTTTTTTATTCTACCAGGCATTGTTCTAAGGTGCTCTTATATGTATTAACTAATTTAATTCTCCCATCAACCCACCCAAATGTAAACAATGGAACACATAAGGAAATTAGCTCATTTTGAGGCTAACCCATTAAAAAAATCTTTTAATTTTGACATAATTATAGACTCACAGAGAGCTGCAAAAATAGTACAGAGAGGTCCCATGCGCCCTTCTCCCAGCTTTCCTCAGTGGCATTATTTTACAGAAATGTAGGACAATACCAAACCAGGAAGTTGACATTGGTACAATCTGTGGATCTCACTCAGATGTCACCAATTTGTATGCATACAGTTGACCCTTGAACAATGTGGGGGTTAGGAGTGCCAACCCCCAGGCAGTCAAAAATTCTCATAGAACTTTTAACTCACCAAAAACTTAACTACTACTTGCCTACTGTTGGCTGGAAGCCTTGCCAATAACATAAGCAGTTGATTAACATGTATTTTGTATGCTAAGGTATTATATACTGTATTCTTACAACAAAATATGCTAGAGAAGAGCAAATGTTATTAAGAAAATAATGAAGAAGAGAAAATATATTTACTGTTTATTAAGTGGGAATGGGTCATCATAAAGGTCTTCATCCTTGTCATCTTCATGTTGAGTAGGCTGAGGAGGAGGAAGGGAGGGGGTTGGTATTGTTTTCTCAGGGGTGGCGGAGGTGGAAGAAAATTTGCATGTAAGTGAACCCACTAGGTTCAAACCCATGTTGCTCAAAGGTCAACTGTATCTGTGTGTATGTATAATGGCTCTGTGCAATTTAATCACATGTATAGAGTCATGTAACCACCACCACCACACACACAGAACTGTTCATCACCACCAAGGAGCTCCCTCATGCTGCCCCTTTGTGGGACTGGCCCGTTTTTGAAAGGGCAATTGGAAGCTGAAGCAAATCCTCAGATGACAGCCACCAATACCCATTGTGTCATCTGGACATCACCCGCAGTATTGCACAGCCATCACTGGGGTTCTGGGGCAGATTTAGCCTCCAAAAGTGTGTCTAGTGAACATGTTCAGAGCTCCTCTGACATTAGCAGTTTGAACAAGAGGACAGATGCCAAAAACCCAGAGTAGCACTTCTGGCAGCACAGGAAGTAGCAGGACTTGCCTCTTTTATCCAGAGACCTTCATGCTTCTAATACCTTGAGATTCCAAAGAAAAATCTCCCATCTTGGTGAAAGGTTTTGCCATATGAGCATGGCATAAGGCAAACCAACTGTGTCTGGTCTAATAATCCGACCCTGGCTCTTACTGAATCCCCTATTGCCACTACTTGTTGCTTAGGTGACGACATCTTCACTTGTTCAGATCAATAGCTGAAAAATGAAGATAAGGACCCAGTCCCTGGTCACTTAGCATTTGGGAGATGAGAAGCTGGGGGAGGCACCCCCAGGATGGTGTCTAATACACCAGACACTAATAGTAACCACAATAATAGCTTCCTTAGTTGATCACTTTCTATATGCCAATGTCGTACTAAGCACCTTATTTCACTGTCCCATTTAATCCTCATATCCAAGCTATTGCAATCTAATGTCTACATTCCTTAACCACTCTTCTCTACTACCACCCCAGGCACCTAATAACTGAGAATTCTTTATCATCATGATTACCACATATATTATTTTGGTAATCCTAAGATACATCTTGATCTTCTCTCTTCCCCTCCCAAGTTCACCTTCTAGGAGCATCCTATCATGTTCTACAACTCTTCCCATTTCTGAACTCCAGTTGTATTTATTCTTTTGGCCCCTATAGGAGATTAAGATCAGAAGTCAGTCTTAAGCATGCTTGAAACAAAGGCATCTTTTGTTATGAGCTGCTGACGGAGTCCTTTACCCTTGTTCACCCTCCTGTATTTACAAAGCATTTCCACCTATGGGATCTCATCTGCTCCTTACAGAAGTGCGGCAATGTGTGTGTGACAAAGGAACTTATGTCCAAGGAAGTTTAGTGTCAGTTAGTAAGTCTTCTGGTTCCAAGTATCATGTTCCTTTGATGCCACCAGCCTTCAAAAGGAAGAGGAATAATAATAATAATAATGATAACAGTACTATGCCTACTACAAATAATAATACTAGTAAAATGAGCTCCCTAGCCCTGGATTTGAACACAAAATAATTATTTCCAGCTATGTGAGCCACATGATTCCTGTACTGTTTACATTAGTTAGTTGCATTTTATGATACTTGCCATATAAATTGTCCTAACTAAAGCCACATTAACGCATTTCAGCTGAACAGCAATCCTAGAAGAGAGATGAGGGCACACGGGTAGAGTGGTGACATAATTTATCATCTAGACTTGAATTCTTTGGAGAGTGAAAGGAGCCCTTGTCAATGATTACATCAGAGCAGGAGGCATAATTCTGAGCTATCCCTGGCAATTTGGGACATGAGAGCACTCTGCAGATATGGAAAGAAAGATTCAGAGAGTTTAGGTAATTTGCCTAAAGTCACACAGCTGCTAAGTGGTGTCTGTGGATTTAGACTGAAAAGAGGCCGATTCCAGAGGATGAAAATTCACCCACTGTGCAGGGCTGTATGGATTCTCTGTTGTGACGTGGATTTGGAGGCCACAAACCTCTTAGGTCCTAACTACCAATAGAGATGGGGGCCTTTCATGAACAAGATACAGGCAGGATTTTGTGGACAGTCAATCAGATGCCCTCACACACCTGGGTATCAACCTCACAGTGTGCCCTAGGACTGTGGTGCCATGATCCATGGGTGATGTCATGTGCAAAGAATTTTTAACTTAGTGAAGCACAATAATTTCCCCCATCTTTTAAGTGAAGCAATATATTACAAGAGCACTTCGTGAACTGTCAGACATCATATAGATTATTCATTCATTTACTCAGTCATCATTTATTCATTTATTCTTCATAGTATAGTGGTTCTCATGATAGTGTGGGGAGCCCTTCAGGTCACACAGCAGCTTCACCATGGCTTATCTGAGATCCTGTTCCTTGGATGATGTATTAGTCAGGGTTCTCTAGAAGGACAGAACTAATAGGAGATATATATCTATATATATGTGTGTATATATAGGAGTTTATTAAGTATAAACTCACACAATCACAAGGTTTCACAAGGTTCCACCATAGGCCATTTGCAAGCTGAGGAGCAAGGATAGCCAGTCTGATTCCCAAAACTGAAGGAGTTGGAGTCCATTGTTCGAGGGCAGGAAGCATCCAGCATAGGAGAAAGATGTCGGCTGGGAGGCTAGGCCAGTCTAGTCTTCACGGTTTTTCTGCTTGCTTTATATTCTAGCTGCACTGGCAGCTGATTAGACGGTGCCCACCCAGATTAAGGCCGGGTCTGCCTTTCCCAGCCCACTGACTCAGATGTTAATCTCCTTTGGCAACACCCTCACAGACACACCCAGCATCAGTACTTTGTGTCCTTCAGTCCAATCAAGTTGACACTCAGTATTAACCATCACAGATGACATGTGTATTTTCAGCTCCATTTCCCTTCATTATCACTCTTCTACCTTGCCCTGGGCTGGACCATGCTGAACTCTTGCTTTTACTTCTCTCATGGCCTTGGTATAGGCTGTTTCTGCCTAGAGTATCTCCTTCCTGCAGCACTCCATTCAGCTTGGAAAACTTTATCTTTCAGCTCAAATGTAACCCCCTCCAAAAATCCTTCCCCTGCCTCTCTAGACAGAATTCAGCGTGGGTTTCCTCTGTGCACCCATGGTATCTCCCTTACATCTCTAACACAGCCCTGATTCAGTTGTTGTCATCATTTGTTCTTAAGTCTGTTTTATTCATGAGACCATGAGGTTTACAGGGCAAGGACTGAGCTCTGGTCATCTTGGCATCCCTGGTTACAGCACACGAAGGACACTTGGCAAATGTATATTAAATGAATGAACATCGTGCTCAATGGCATTATCTAGCCTTGCCATCCTGCTCTTTAAATTTCTTATAGGCCATTGGTACAATAGCCATGTTTTGAACTCATAGAAGGCCAAATTAAATCTGGGCTATGCTAATCTTGAGGCCTCCATATCTAAAGGAAGGAGGAAACATATTCATAGAACACTGAATTGCATAGTACTTGGTGAGCACTCAGTAAATGTTCATGAATGAATAATCCATACAATAGTTTTGGGAGGTAGGTAGTAGTAATACCCCCTTAAAGATGAGAAAAAGAGGTTCCAAAAAGCTTAGTAACTTCCTAAGGCCAAAATAGTAGTAAGCAGGGGAGCTAGATTTGAACTCAAATCTGTTTGGCCCCAAAGCCTGTGTGTTTTTTTCCAAGCCTAAAGGAAAAAAGAAAAAGGCAACCTTTGCTGCCAGCAAAGGCTGAGGTGACAGCCTTGGGCTACCACCACCAGCAGCCTCTCCTCTGTCCCTAGGCACTGTTCTTCAGGGGCTTCTCAGTGGGTTTTGGGGAGTTCAGAGAGACAGGCAGCATTTTCCTTTAGAACCTCTGGCTCTTTCTCCCATACCCTCTAACCCACACAGACTTGCTTCCACTTGCCTGGTATCCTCAGCCCTGGACTAAGCAACCCTACCTGTGGCTCATTCCTTCAGATTCAACACTTGGCGAAGTAACCTGATGGACTCACCTCTATGGACTGAGTAATAGATGCCCCCACTTTTCTTAGGTGACATGCTTATATTTAATAAAGCTCTGTTCCCTGGAGACCAAAAATCCGTGCAGAATGGATGTAGCAGTTAGTGAGAATTCCAGGTGGCAGGTTGGGGTGGAGGAAGAAAAGAGAGAATCTAGGACAAAGGGACCTATAAACTTACCTCATTAGTGGGTGTTCACTGAATGCTCCCTTTCCCTCCCTCCCTGTCTCTCCCCATCTCTCTTCACTTGGAACATCACCCCCAGCCAGCAGCACTTTCTCAAGCTTTTTGTTCGGTCCCTGTCAACCCAGGGTCCCAGGAGGCAGAGGGAGAGGGAATACAGATGAGTTTATAATCAAGAGAAAGCTCTGCAACTATCCAAACCTCTACAGCAGTGACTTGGAAACAAACAAGATAATGTATAAAAGACAAGTGTGTTCACAGGAGGGTGGTGGCCTGTAAATGGAAGTGATTTGCCTGATAATACCAATGAGCTGGCACTTATTAAGCACCTACTGTGTGCCAGGAACTTCACAGTTTACATAATCCTGGAAGTGACTATGAGGTGAGAGCTACTGACGTACCCACTCTATGGATGAAAAAACGGAGGCCCAGAGAGGTTAAGTAGTTTTTAACCAGCACGTAAGTGCCATGTGACCTAGGATACATCACTATCTGAAATTGCATCTGGCTATCCACTCCCCTCCTGCTCACATTATTTTGTTTTTACTCATAATATCTCCATTTGAAATTATCTTGTTGAATGTTTGCTCTATCAGTTCCGCTCCTCTCTTCCCTTCCCACTCCAGGACAAAATGTACACTCAGTGATGGCAGGGACCTTGTCTGTCTTCTTAAGTGATGTGCATCCCCAATCCATGCACACACAATAGGCCCTCAGGAAAGATTTCAATGAAAGATATGATGGAGTTGGGATCTGAAAACAAATCTATGTTGATCTGAAAACAAATCTATGTTGCTCCAAGGTTTTTAGCCACTAGCCTATTTCACCTTCCTCGACTCTAGTTAGCTAATCTGCAACATGGAGATAAAGGCACCCAGCTTCCATGGGAGTGGGAATGTTCATAAATGCCCTCACACTTTGCCTGGCACATGGAAGTGACTCTAAATGGTCTATTTAGTAATATTGTTATTGTCCCTTCTTTCTTGAAAACATCCTGTTTAGCATTAAAGACTTTCCTATGCAAAGCAGAACTAGCACCGACTGAGTTCATCTTAAACAGGCTGTTCTGAAAGGAATTTTCATAAGAAATGAAAACATTTGGCTTCTATCAAACTCTGGGAACACCCAGAATTCTATGAACCTGGGCCTGGGCCTGGGTCTTGGCTTAGGGACCTGCCTGTTCTCAGTCGTCACACAGTGTGAATGCCCTAATGGGCCCCAGGGGACAGCTGCAGCCAAGAGGCCTCATTTCTCACACACCAATCTTCTCAATGACCAGATACAATGGCTTTGCCTGGCCCTTCCCCAGCCTGCCCTTCCCTAGCCCAGGAGCACCTTCGTCCCCAATACCCAGACTCTGCAATCACATTCCAAAGTTTTCAGGATTAAGAGTCCTGTTGTCTAAGTCTGTGTCTTCAAGTTACCAACTCAACCCATTTGAAAGAAAAGGCATTTTCTTTACCAATATCTTTTCCTTGCCCTATCCTCCACTGACTTTTTAACTACATTTTCCAGCTTGGGGGTAGATTATCTTTGCCAATTTTGGCTTTGAAAGAGTTAGCTCTCTGGAAATTGGACCCTCCAGGAGGTATTTTAACTCTTTCAAGCCACAGGAGACCTTTCAGTGTTTAGTAGCTGTCCTGCTCATCTAGATAAAGCCAGACCACCCAGGCCAAAGCTAACGCTTGACTCTTCCTCCAGCCAGGAAGTCTCTAAGAAGAGAGTGGGGAAGGGGTGCTCAGGGGAGGGGGCATAAAAGTTTGCATAAACTCATTATGAATTTTGGGAGCTAAGACACCAGTGTTTAGGCCATAGATTCTCAGTCCATAATTCCTTTGATCAAGGAGCACCCTCTCGCTGAGAGGTCAATTTGAGAATAACCAAACAAACAAAAAGGCAATATAAGTGTGGGTGCCACAAATCCCTAGACATCAGAGGACAGGGATGTCAGTGTGGATTGGAATAACTGAGGAAGACTGCATGCAAGTGATGGATCTTAGAAGAAGCATTGGAGACCAAATGAACATCAGGTAGATAAAGAACGGAGAGGACAGTCCAGATAGGAGGATCAGCATAAGCAAAGGCCGCAGAATGGAAGTGTAGGGGTGGAGGTGGAGGTGGAAAACAGAGTACGTAATTGGGGAGGGTGGAGAGACTTGGCAAAAGCCAAAGTTTCTTGCAGAATAGTGGTGAGAAATAGGGCTGGAGAAGGACACAGCTGTTCAGCATATGACTCAATAACATTTACTTAACCTAGTTCCTTGCCCCTTGAATGAGAGATGGAATGTTCTTCATCTTGAAATAGCAATTTGGGTCACAAGTGAGGGATTTTGAAACCATACCTAGGTTCAAGGAAGGAAACAGATAGTCCTTTGCTAGGCATTCTTTTGCTTGCCCTTTAAATATTGGTGTCTCTCAGAAGTCAATCCTTCCTTGACTTCTCTTTCTGAACATCCTGTCAAGGTAATTACATCTACTGCCATGCCCTTAAACTGCCACCCATATGCTACATCTGCCAAGTCTACGTCTTTGCCCCTAGTCTTTCTCTTGGGCTCTAGACCAAGAGACTTTTGGAAGTGTTTTCTAATCACTTCAGTATCTCTGTATTAGTCCATTTTCATGCTGCTAATAAAGACATACCCGAGACTGGGCAATTTACAAAGGAAAGAGGTTTCATTGGACTTACAGTTTCACACAGCTGGGGAAGCCTCTCAATCATGGTGGAAGGAAAAGAGGAGCAAGTCACATCTTACATGGATTGCAGCAGGCAAAGAGAGAGCTTGTGTAGGGAGACTCCCATTTTTCAAAACCATCAGATCTTGTGAGACTTATTCACTATCATGAGAACAGTATGGGAAAGACCTGCCCCCATGATTCAATTACCTCTTACTGGGTCCCTCCCACAACACATGGGAATTCAAGATGAGATTTGGGTGGAGATACAGCCAAACCATACCAGTCTCTTAAATTGAGCATTATCTTCTTGCTAAGACCTACTTTACTCTTGAATTTCCTACCTCTCTTAAAGCTTCCTTCCTTCCTTTCTTCCTTCCTTCCCTCCCTCTTTCCTTCTTTCCTCCATGAAGCATTAATTGAATACTTGCTATTTTCTAGAGACCACATTAAATGACCTTTTGCCTTTGAGGAGCTCATACTATAGTGGAACAATTAGATGAGTTCAATAATTAATTTCCATTCATTTAAAAGCTGTTTCTGAAATAACTATGTATAAAATAAGTATCCATAAAACACTGAGATAAATAGAGGTAGTCAAACAGTAGGCTCAAGAAAGACCTCCTTGGTTAAATGTAATCAGAGCTGAGTCTTTAATATTGAGGAATTAATTGGACAAAGAAGAGAAGACATAAGAAATAGTGTTTGAATAGGACACAAAGAAGAGTGAGCAAGTAATTTTTGAAAAAGAATGCTCATAATAACAAAAGTAATGGCTAACATTTATTTAGCCTTCACTATATACCAGTTACTAAGATAAGCACCTCACATGTTTGCTTTTAATCTGATACTCAGTATAACCTCAGAAATAGGTAGCAGTAGCTTACCCATTGTGTAGTTCGTAATATTGAAGTCCAGATGAAAACACTTGCCCTTGAACTTTTGTGAATAAGTAGTTGAGCTGGAAACCTAAGTTTCTCTGGCTCCAGAGCCTGGATAATGGAGAGGTGCAATAAAGAAGGTTAGGGCAGTAAGCAGAAGCAGGATTCTAGAGGGTCTTACATGCCTTAGGAAAGGGATTGAGTTTTATCTGGAAAGAAATGAGGAGCTACTCCAGGCCTCTAAGCAGAGAAGTTACCTGAGGCAAATCTCCATTTAGCAAGGTCACTTATGGCAAGGAGTCCAGGATGAATTGGGGGTTGAGAGGCAAGACTGGAAGC
Source organism: Homo sapiens (assembly GCF_000001405.40). Taxonomy (NCBI): domain Eukaryota; kingdom Metazoa; phylum Chordata; class Mammalia; order Primates; family Hominidae; genus Homo; species Homo sapiens. The sequence continues at coordinate 110,949,989 of NC_000011.10, forward strand.
AGATGGCTCCATTAGAAAGCTACTGTCAGCCGGGCGCGGTGACTCAGGCCTGTAATCTTCACACTTTTGGAGGCCGAGGCAGATGGATCACCTAAGGTCAGGAGTTCCAGACCAGCCTGGCCAACATGGCAAAACCCTGTCTCTACTAAAAATACAGAAATTAGCTGGGCATGGCGGTGCACTCTTGTAATCCCAGCTACTCGGGAGGCTGAGGCAAGAGAATCACTTGAACCCAGGGGGCGGAGTTTGCAGTGAGCTGAGATTGCACCACTTCACTCCAGCCTGGGTGAAACAGTGAAACTCCATCTCAAAAAATAATAAATAAAAGAAGGCTACTGTCATAGTCCAGGTGAGCTTCATGAGCCCTGGAGAAAGAGGCAGAATGGAATGACTCTGTTACACTTGGGATGTCAAGGGAAAGGGTGGGTCAAGAACAGTGCTGAGGATTTAAGAAAGTCAATTCACTTTTTTAAAAAAATATCACTCATTTCATAATTCAGTCAACAAACATTAAGTGTCTGCCTTGTGCTAGGACCATACTAGGTTCTGGGGATAAAACTGACCAACAACATATAGTCCATGGTCTCAAGGAGCCAATACTCTAATGATGGAGCTAAATAAAAATCATCACAGGTAATAACTGTGAGAGAAACGTACAAGTACATCATACTGGGCTTGGGGAGGCTGAACCACAAGTAGGCTCCCTGAAGGAGGGAATGTTCCTGATTCTTCTCTTGATTGGTAGTCTCACATTTCTAATGATCAACTGGTCACCTATGCTGGCTGTTCCTCAGACATTTCTAATCTATGTCCAGAATTAAAATTGAACCCATGCTCTCACCTCCAACATACATTCCTCCTCTCAGGTATCATATTTCATGTCCCGATCAAATTATTCATAAAATAAATATATTCTTTGAGCATCCATAAAGTGCCAGGTATTGTATCAAGCAAGCTTAGATAATTCCAAATGCAAATTAATATTTTCACTTTGATTTTAAAATAAAAAAACAGAGGTCATGGGCATCTGAATTATGTTTTCTGAGACAACATCACAAAACTTAATCTAAGTATTATTAAGAACACTAGCTTTCACATGTTTGCATTTTTTAGCACCTGTAAAAATTATTGTCCTCCCTGGAATAAAATGGATGAACAGGGCTCTAAAGCATGTTTTACTAGTTGGAAAGCAGAAACACCAGTCTCCTGCTGCAGGGCAAAGTCCACTGTGAGGTGAGAGTGACATTGTTCACCCCTTAAGATCTAGCTCCAAATGGAGGAAGCAGGCAGGGGGTGTCAGACGGGCCCCATGCTTCTGCCACCATTCAGCCTGGCCGGACAGTGTATGATTAGAACAGCTTGTGATGTCCTCGTGATAAAGACTGAGATATTTAATGGAACATTTCTACTGAGCACAGCTGGGGATCTTTCACACAGATCTACCCTCCTCCAAGGCTGTTCAATCTTTGTGTAAAGGCACAATTCTCAGCAGAATCTGTGTGATTAACCAAAGAGGGGAAAAGTGGAGGTAAAGAAGATTCTAGGGACAATACAGGAAGGCCCAGAGAGGGGTGTCTCCCACAGAACTGACCACAGAGACTTGTTCCTAATATGCGGTCCATAAATGCTCACTGAATGAATGAAAGTGAATGCATGGAGGGAGGGTGGCAGGAAGGCTGTTCAAAAGCTCTGGGCTGGAGGGACGTGGCAGAACCCATTACAGCTTTTCAATAAGGTGGTTTCAATTACACACCTCTTTCTTTGACTCACTGGTACTTTATGCCTGAAGTACTAGGGAAGGGGAAGAACAGAGGCTGAAATGTCACAATTGGCCCTAGTAGATTCTGAGATAAGTGCTCTGGGGGACTTTTGCCAAATTTGCACTCCATGAGACACCATGAGAGAGGTCTGAGCAGCTGCAGATTTCTATAGAGAGTTCCTGTCACTGAGCTAAACTGTGGAGCTCATATTTCCAGTGCTGTAGCAAAGGAAAGAGGTGACTGGGAGGCAATTTCCAAACATAAGATCCCATACAGATGTTTCTAAACAGTGCTCCCCAAATCCCAAGACCCCAAGGGAAAACCCTGGCTGCTATAACCCAAGTGCCTTTTTAAGGCCCACGGTGTACAATAGGCCTTGAAAAGTCAGTACCAGTACACTGAAAGCTCATGCCCCAGTTAACAGAAAGAACCTCATTTCCACATCTATTGAGATATGTCATCTGTGTCAGACTCATTTAACCAATGAATTAATCCCAACTGGAAACATTTACTGAGCTTCCAACATTGACAAATTTTTGTTTCTCTTCAGTCCTTGGTTGAGTCTGCAGCCAAAAGTCAAAGCACAAACTTGCCTTTAGAAAGTGAGTTCTTGATTCTAAAGCTCATTCTGAAAGAGAAAGCACTTTTCTCTCATGAGCGATCTTGTTCTCACAAGTTAGATAATTTAGATAAGTCTCTGGGGTTTGGAAAAGCCTGGAGAACACTCCGCAGTCCAGGGCCATTGAACAAACGGAACTGTTTAACCTTGTAAAAGTTTGCACAATTCTCACCATAAATATGGTCAGAAAATGGGAGCTTAATTTTCAGATGCAAAGGTTCTAGGCTGCGGGCCCAGAGCCCAGACACCCTTGTGGGAATGGTGGTTACAATAGGCTCGGAGGTATAAGCAGGCCCTGGAAAACATTCCAGTTGGAAAGACATGAGTACTGATGCGGAGGTCACAACTAGAGCTTACAACTGAAACAAATGAAGGAAACATAACCATCTCAATCTCATGGATGTCTCTGAGGCCACTGGTCACTGCACTGCTCCAGGTTGCCTGTGTAATCATTGCGCATGAAGTGCAGGCCCCGCCATTTCCTCCTGGCCTGTCTTGCTGGACTCCTAGACCAGCTTTTCACAAAGGGTGTTTTTGCTGCTACTATTCAACAAACAGTGCTGGGCAGAGGCTGAGAGGGTCAGAGCAGCTCCTGGGCCAACCAGGCCTGCAGGAAGGAGGAGGGTTATGTATGAGGTCTCAAGAATCCAGGTTCACATGCAGGTTTGATTCAGTTTCCATCCTCACAGCAGGACATTCTCCCGTGTTTTCTCTCCTTAGAAGTGATTTTGATTTCTCTCTTTTTAGTTTAACTGCTGTTATTTAGTTGATGCTACATTTGTTCTTACTGAAGTTTGATAGAATTATAATTCCTAACAGTATTTTCAGAATACAGTTTTGATGTAATTCTTATGAATATATTATTTACATTTCATTGGAATCATAAAGTTAGATAGCTTAAAAGTAGTGTATTCTGGCTGAAGGAAGAAGTCCATCCTTACTTAAACCATCACTGAAGGGTTGTGGTGGGGTCCGCCTCTCTCTGTTGGCTGAGCTGGTGCTTGGAGCACAGGCAGGCACAGCAAGGGCTTGGCTCCCAGGCCCAAAGTGAGAACTAGCTCACCGTGGCAATGGCTTTAGTGTCTCAGATGTGGGTAGAGACCCATTACAGCCACAGAGCCTGAGTCTGAAATGTGGGTACCTGTGGAGTGGCCACAGCTCCAGGATTGTGGCACGCATTGGGTTGGGGGAGGCAGTGGTTTCTTTCTCAAAGCAACCAACAGCATCCACTTCTTATGGAAGGAAGGGGTTACCTGGTGGGAATGGCCATTGGTTACCTCAGTGTCAAGAGATGTCACTGTCCTCTGGGTAATAGGTCCTGGGACGATGTTGATTCCCCTCACTTGGCCAGTAGCCTCCTCCTTTGTTCTTTGTTCTTAGGATGCCCTGGCATCTCAGGTATACCGGTCTCACCAGCAACCCTTTCTATGTGGCTCTTCTTCATTTTTTTTTCACCACTGTGCTGCTGCTATTCTTCAATGAGCCTCTGAGCCTTCTCTGAGATATTTTGTTTTGTGAATAGTGATCTACATTTTTTTTTTTTTTTTTTGTGGAGGGGATGAAGGCTAGTATCTCCTACTCCACCATCACTTACCTGAATAAACTTTGATTGGTTTAATCACACACACACACCCCTAAACAACAATAACAGCATCTCAGCTAAACGCAGCAAACTTTTATGAGTTTAGCCCTACCTAACTTCATAGATCACTTTAGGGCAATCCTTTGTTTCTTAATTCACAACCTTTTTCTCACTTTTGTTATTTTGTTCAGGATATTATTCTTGCTGCTTAAACATTTCTCAACTTTATGCAGTAAAAAATAAAAAGTTTCCCTTTATGGCCAAAGAGGAAAACAAAGTTATTCACTGTGTCTCTAGTTGTTTTTCATCACACAGTTTTTTTGGGATCCAGAGCTTAACATTTTGCCAGAAACAGAAGTTGGTTATTTTATTTATAAAACTCTGTTCACTTAGCACTTTAGTAAATATAAAAATTAAATGTACAAAAATATTTAAAAGAAGAATGTGAGAAGGCTGATGGAGAGAAGAAGAGCAAAGTCACAGAAGCACGACTGGCCACACATATGCCGTGACTACAAATTGTGAAGCATTATTAGAGCATCAAGGATAAGGATGTAAGACGGGGCTGGGAAGGTTAGCACAGCACAAGGCATTGTAGGTCTCTATATAATTGGGTTCTATTTAAGGGAAAGAAGAAAATGTGTGTCAGAAAGATCATCCTGTCTAGACAGGGGAGCCTAGGTGGGTGGGGCAGGCCTGAAGGTTGGCAGACCAATTAGGAAGTTGTTGCTATAACCCAGATGAGAGAAAATTGTCTTTAACTAGGGCACAAAATACAGCAGTAGGTACAGAGGAAGGAACAAATTCCAGAAACATTTAGCAAGTCTAGAAGAAGAGGCATTGTGTCAGTCTGTTCTCGCACTGCTATAAAGAAATATCTGAGACTGGGTAATATATAAGGAAAAGAGTTTTAATTGGCTCACAATTCTGCTGGCTGTACAGGAAGCATAATGGGGAGGCCTCAGGAATTTTCCAATCATGGTGGAAGGCAAAGGGGGAGCAGGCATGTCACATGGCTAAAGCAGAAGCAAGAGAGTGAGGTGGGTCAGGGGGGTGGTGCTACATGCTTTTAAGTGACCAGATCTCACAAGAACTCACTATCTTGAGCACAGTACCAAGAAGGATGCTGCTAAACCATTCATGAGAAATTATCACCCATGATCCAATCACTTCCCACCAGGTCCCACCTCCAACATTGGGGATTACATTTCAATATGAGATTTGGGCAGGGACACACATCCAAACTATATCAGGCATATTCCAAAAAACATTCAGCAAGTCCAAAAGAAGGGGCATGTTCCAGAAACACTTAGCAAGTGTAGAATAAGTGACATATTCTAGGAACATTTAATAGGTAAAATCAATGGAACTTAGTGAGGAGTCAAGAATGGTTCCCGGCTTCTCATGCAAGTAATTGAATGTATGAGGGAGCGGCTGAGATGGGGAGTTGTCGAGGCTGAGGAGCAGGTTTTGAGAATAAAAACTAACATTTTTTTTCTCTTTTGCCATAAAGGGAAATTTTTTATTTTTACTGCATAAAGTTTAGAAATGTTTAAACAATGTGCAATGAGGAGGGGGATGGCATATATCACAATAAAAGACCATAAACTAGGTCCACCCACTCACCCATAGATGAGTTATGTTTTAAATATATTTGATGTGATACGATTAACTTTGGACACCTTCCATGTACCTTGCACACCTTTGATCTCTGCTTAGGCCCCACATCTCAGCTTTGAATTCTGTGTCCTGAATTGACTAACTATTTTATGCTTTCTGCTTGTGATCTGGGACTGGCTTCTCAATTCTGGATCTCAATGTATTGGTTATAGGGCATTTATTTGGTGGTTGCAGTTTCTGAGTATGTCTTTGACCTGAATGTGTGATTTGTTATAATGATGACTTCCTTGTCTCGTGGTTCTCTTTGAGCCCCAGTGGCAATCCCTATCTACAGAGGTTAGGAGGAACTACTCTTAAGGGAGTTACCCAGGCAGTTCTGAGCTGCCTCTTTATAAAGGAATTTGAGAAGGGAGGGAATATATCTGGCTGTTGTACCAGGATACTTGTGGGTTTCCCTGGTTATTTATTTGAAAAACATCAGCAGACATTGATCAAGTGCCTGCAATGCACCAGGAACTAGAGATTAGCTGTGGGTGAGATAAGCATAGCCCCTGCCCTCTGTTATTTCATACGTTAGTTGGAACAAGAGACAAACAAGTATACTTAGAAAAATAAATCCTCCTTCCCTTCCTCTGCCCTTTCAGGGGTTTGCTCTGGAGAGGGGATGATATCTCTTGTACCAAAAGCCATTCTCATATAGAAATTCAATGAGATGGGTATTTGCCTAAGAATTAGTTCTGACCCAAGATTTTTAAAAATATTCTTTAGTTTCATGTTTTCTATTTCTTCTTAGTGTTTCTGTAATGAAAGAAAGTATCACTGGTAGGTGGGACTTTGTATTGGACTGGTAGGCCCTTGGGGGTGGAAAGTAAACATCTGTCTTTGCTTCTTAGAATGCTCCCTCTAAGGGGATGGTGTGGGCCATGGGGGTAATGTTGTGTTTCTCTTTCCTAGACTCTTCTGTCAAAATTCCTGAGTGTGAGAGTGCATGCAATTGTGTGTGCCTGGTGGCAGTGTGTACATATCCTCTTTGGAGATACCCACAGAAGCCCAGAATATTGCAGGGAGAAGGAGAGGGTGTCTCTTCCATTTAACGTAGTAGAGCGATCTCAAGGGAACATTAAGTAGACTGTTCTGCTGAAGCACTCATTCTCCAATTCCATGCCCCCGCAACCCCAGTTTCTACAGATTATACCAGATGAATAACCTAGGCTGTAAGACACATATTGATGATGACTCTTTTGCCCCATGGATAAGGGAAAGGACAGATTCTCCTTTCCACACTGAGCTTAACTGAAAAATTTCATCAAAGAACAAAACAAATTTTGCATCAAGCTTCTGCACATCTATTAGCATCCCTTGATAGCAATATCTAAGATAACTAAGTCAAAATATTAACAGCACCTACTTCCATGGCCTCCTGAAACACAGGGCAAACCATTTGCTGCTCCCAGGATCATTCTCTTGGTGACAATTTTCTGTCCCAAGGGATCTTTCTCCTACAAATAATAACCACCACCAAAAATCTCATTTTAAAAGAAAGTAAGGAAGGAGGAAGGGAAGTGAAAATTGGTCACAATCAAAAAGAAAGATGGTAGGAGACGTCTGATGCAGAAGCATGTGAATTTTGGAGGCCATGCTGACCTAGCACAAGCTGCTAATGAGGAATGTCTGCCTAGAAGTCTGCCACTTCCTCTGGAAGCCAGAGTAGGGGCTGCACTGCCTTGAGGGGCTGCCAGGATCTATGAGGCAAAGCCCATTCTATAGAAGGTAGTGGGCCATTTGTGGATCTTAGACAAGCTATTTAACCTCACTGTGCCTCAGTTTCCTCATTTGTAAAATTGGGATAATAAACCTACCTCATAGAATTTTTAAGAAAACCAATTAAATGAGTTATTATTTGTAAAAATTTTAGAACCATCAGTGCTTGGCACATAGAGTGCTGAGGAGTGCTTGTTCAAAAGTAGGTCCATTCAGTGTGCCGAAGTCACTCTCATGCAGAGCCATGAGGTACAGCAGCGGGCAGCTGAGTTGCGTTTAAGGACCCCCAGACCTGCCTGTGGCCAGCACTCTCTGAAGCAATGGGCCATAAGGCAATGTGCGATGAGGAGGGGAATGGCATATATCATGGTAAAAGACCATAAACTGGGTAGGTAAGGGCTTAGAGGGCTGCACAACTTATTACTCAATTTGCAAGACTGAGATTCTAAGGTGATTTTAAGTAGCCCCAGGTTGATAAATCCCTCCAGTGCTCAGATCATCCCTTGGCCTCTAAGCTACTCCTAGAGCAAGCCTGAGCCATTCTTTTTATTGTCCATATGAGAGAGGTTCTAATCTGTTTGAGCTCCATAAATACTTTTCTAGTTTTGCAGTCACTTTCTTTGTCAACCAGATAGGTGTCCAATAAATTCTTGCTGAATGGCTGTTCCTGCTATAAGAATCCTGGTTTACAGAAGAGACAACCACAGATTGGGAGAAAATATTTGCAAACCATACATCTGATAAGGGGTTAATATCAAAAATGTGTAAGGAACACAGACAACTCAATAGCAGCAAACAAATAACCTAATCAAAAACTGTGCTTTCTCAAAAGAAGACATGCAAATGTCAACAGATATATGAAAAAATGCTCATTACCACTGATCATCAGGGAAATGCAAATTAAAACCCCAGTGAAATATCACCTTACACCTGTGAGAGTGGATATGAACAAAAAGATGAAAGAAATAAGCGTCGGCAAGAGTGTGGAGAAAAGGGAATCCATGTGCACTGTTGGTAGGAATGTAAATTAGTGCAACCTTTATGGAAAACAGTATGTAGATTCCTCAGAAAACTAAAAGTAGAATTACCATATTATCCAGTTACCTCATTTCTGGGTATGTATCCAAAGGAATTGAAATCAATATGCCAAAGAGCTACTTTCACTCCCACGTTCACTGCAGCATTATTCACAATAGCCAAGATATAGAAGCAATCTAGGTGTCCATCATCAGATGAATGGATAAAGAAAAAGTGGTATATATACACAATGGAATACCATTCGGCATTGAAATATCAGAAAATTCTGTCATCTGCAATAACATAGATGAACGAACCTAGAGGACATTAGGCTAAGCAAAATAAGTGAGGCATAGAAAGACAAATACCACATGATCTCACTTACATGTGGAATCTAAAATTTGAACTCATAGAGGTAGAGAGTAGAGCGATGGTTACCAGAGACTGGGGGACGGGAGGGGATGGAGAAGGAAAGGGGAGATATTGATCAAAGCTTGCAAAGTTTCAGTTAGACAGGAGGAATAACCTTTACTGATCTATTGCACAGAATGGTGACTATAATAAGTAATAATGCATTATGTATTTCAAAACTGAAAAACAGTAGATTTTAAATGTTTTCACCACAAAAAGTGATAGGCATGTGAGATAACGGATTCGTTAATAGCCTGATTTAGGTCAGGTGTGGTGGCTGACGTCTGTAATCCCAACACTTTGGGAGGCCAAGGCAGGCGGATCACCTGAGGTCAGGAGTTCAAGACCAACCTGGCCAACACGGCAAAACCCTGTCTATACTAAACATACAAAAACTAGCCAGACGAGGTGGCACACACCTGTGGTCCCAGATATTTGGGAGGCTGAGGCCCGACAATCACTTGAACCCGGGAGGCAGAGGTTGCAGTGAGCTGAGATCGTGCCACTGCACTCCAGCCTGGGTGACTGAGCAAGATACCATCTCAAAAAAAAAGAAAAGCCAAATTTAATCATTCCACCTTGTAAACATATATCAAAACATCATATTGTACCCCATAAATACATGCAATTATTATTTGTCAATTAAAAATAACAAGTTTTAAATTTTAATTAAAAAACTGTAAGAATCCTTGTTACTTGTCATCTGCTGTCGTTGGTATTGGGGCTGTTACTCAGATGAAATAACTTTGAGTCCACCTTCTTAGTTCCTCTTTCCACCTCTTCTATGGAGCCTGTCTTCTGCCTGTAACTTTCTATCTCCCCCTCTCTCCATTCCATTTGCTTCATAGCAGGGAACAACACAATGCATTCCTTCTGCAGTTCCTTCCTACCATGCCCCGACAATATCTCTAATAGATGAGGGTGCTCTTCTCTGCTGAATTCATTAAGTGGCCTTAGTAATTTTATTCAGCTGTGGCCAATTCATCATTCTCTACTGTTCTCCTCGAGTACTTTTCCCTTCCTCTCAACCTGAACATCACATCCCATACCTACACCAATTTATAATTTACGACTGACCATCATTGATGTCCAGTGAAACTTTTAAAGTGCTAATCCCACAACAGTTACATTTTGACAAAAACATCCCCCAACCCAGACATGACTGATGGGATTGGTCAACCACTCGTTTTCAAATACTTATTGAAAAGTTATTTTAGACCCAGCTTCCATCTGTTCCAGAAGTTAAAAATAAAATGAGAATTCAATTAAAAGTATGCACACAATCTACCCAGAGTTGTGCCAGATCTTCTGAGAATATCCTACTTTCCAGCCGATCAGAAACGGAAGTGTGCCTATGCCAATAAACACCTTAGAATGCCAAATTGTTTAATTAAATAAGAGATACATCAGTGTGGATGCAAAATAGCAAAGATTTTTTAAAAGCAGCATATTCTGCCTTTAAGTTTCTTGCCCCTATTTTTCTGCAGAGAGATGTCAAAAGAATGAAAAGAACTTAGCCACGTAGTACCTTCTACTCTATTTGTCTCCTCTGGTCAAGGTCAGTGGGTGGAAGCTCAGCAGTCTCCCTGCTTTCTACTCTGTAGTACTAACTGTAAAGTTCAATAAACCTGGGCCTGCCCCAGAGCTCATTCCAAAGTTTGACTTGTTTTAGGCTGGAAAGAAATCTCCACCAGGTACACACTAAAGCCTACCGGTCTCTTTCTAATCCCTATTTTGCCGAATTCAGAAGAAACATTTTCTTACTAGATAGATAGCTTTCATATTTCTTCCCTGAATGGTTCTTAACATATATTTAATTCTGTTCAAAGTCTGTGACTAAAGGAGTCCATCGAATTAGCTGATCCATTAATCCTGTTACTGTGTCAATTCTTATTTTTAAGATTCAGTTTCTGTGAATTGCTGATGTATGCGAGACGATAATAGCTTCTTTATTTTGTTTGTTTGTTTTTTTCTCCAGACAGAGTCTCTCTCTGTTGCTCAGGCTGGAGTGCAGTGGCGCAGTCTCCGCGCACTGCAACTTCTGCCTCCTGGGTTCAAGCTATTCTTGTGCCTCAGCCTCCTGAGTAGCTGGGGCTACAGGCATGCACCACCACCACACCCAGATAATTTTTGTATTTTTAGTAGAGATGAGGTTTCACCATGTTGGCCAGGCTGGTCTCGAACTCCTGGCCTCAAGTAAGTCACCCATCTCAGCCTCCCAAAGTGCTGGGATTACAGGTGTGAGCCACCACACCCAGCCTATGATGACAACTTTTTTCTAGTTAACATGCTTGAGACAGAGGCATTGCAAACAATGCCCATCCCTAAAATTTCCCAAACAGATCTAGGTGCCCACCATGTGCACACACATACACATATATACATATGTATATACACACATACATAATATACATATTTTAATTGAACCGTTTGAATGTAAATTGCAGACGTCAAAATATATCACCTTATCTCTTCTAAGAAGAATGAAGACACTCTCAAATATAAAGATATTTTTGGTTCTGTCTGGTTTCCTTTGCCTTTTTAAATAGTTTAATTATTTTATTCATAGTTGAGGAATACAATGAAATATATTTAATAGTGAACTTTAATAAGAACAATTATGCAGCACCGTATCTGGACACAAAGAGATTTTTCCAGCTTCAGTTGTGACAAGACAGCCCTCCCTCTTCTTCAGGACTAACTTTCTATCTCAAAGAAGCCAGCATCAAAACAGGCAAAATGGTTCTGAATAGTTCTGTGGTAAACATGTTTATGGTTTGGCTGAACATTCACTTGGATGCTAAAAGACAAAAAAGAAATTTCTGGCTGGGTGCAGTGGCTCATGCCTGTAATCCCAGCACTTTGGGAGGCGGAGGAGGGTGGATCACTTGAGGCCAGGAGTTCAAGACCAGCCTGGCCAACATGGTGAAACCTTGTTTCTACTGAAAAATACAAAAAATAGTCAGGTGTGGTGGCATACACCTGTAATCATAGCTACTCGGGAGGCTGAGGCATGAGAATTGCTTGAACCCAGGAGGTGGAGGTTGTAGTGAGCCAAGATCTCACTGCACTTCATCCTGGGCAAGAGAGTAAGACTCTTGTCTCAAAAAAGAAAGAAAGAAAGAGTTTGCCTTCCATCACCATTTCTTCTCCTTTTGTTTCCAGATAGTAAATTATTCTCTGAATAATCTTGTGCTTTCCTATTAAAGTCTATCTCCTGGTACTAGCTGGACCACACCATTCGAGGTAAATTGAGTGACTGGCAGCATCTTTCAACACACAATTTGATTCAAATCAGAAAAAAGCAAAGTTCCTACTCCCTCTTAGTCCATAGCACTGAAGTATACACTCTTTACAGGTAAAGCTTTTCATAGATCCTGACAGAGGTGAACATTTCTTTGTGGACAGATGTTAGGCAACTTAAAGTATAGATGTCAAACTGGTCATCGTTATTCAACAAAGCAAATTAGAGTGCTCAACACTCAGACAGAGTCTTCAATATAGAATGTGATAAATTTAAGTGAGCCAGAGGATTAGATCATAAAATAGCTGTTATTTTAGGGCTATGAAGGGAAGCAAGGTATGCTACTCCAAAATATGACACTTTGACATAAGAATTATTTTGAGCTGAAGGCATGTGAGTTCTTGAAATCCTTTATCTGCCTGCAAAGCAGAGGCTCCCAAAACAACTTAATTGTCATAAATCCCCTCCCCAGGAGCAACTGTAATCTTTCTAAAAGTCCATAGCACACCCAGACAGAAAGTGTCATAAACCATCACCCAACTATTCTGCCAAGGGCCCATTTATCTTTCCGAAAAGTCATTTGCTGTTCCATAAATGCCCCTTCTTCCCATTCTTTTCCCCTACTGTTAGGTATCTACACCCCAAATTTTAACCACTTCTTCGAGTTACTCATTGTTGAGCACTCTCATGGGTATGTGTGATGCACATGCTAATAAACTTCTGTTTGTTTTTCTCTTGTCAGTCTGCCTTTTGTCGGTTTAATTTTATAGGGCCCCAGCCAGAGAATCTAGGAGAATGGAAAGAAAAGGACTTTTTTTTCTCCCCTAAAGCTGTATAGAACCACTGTGATGGTTCTGTCCAGAACAATCAAGCATCTATGGGTGATGGGTACACTGTAGCAGGGGAAGATCACAAACTAGCAAACAGAGGAGTAAAACCAGGACGTGGAACCAAGGCTTCTAAGCCCAGGTCATTTCTACTAAATGATGCTCTTTAGCACATACCAGGAGCTATTACTAGAAACTAGCAGCATCAGAAATAATAACAGGAAGCCAACTAAATGCTTCAGAAAATGAAAACCACCATGGAAGTCAATCATCTGATTTTTGTTTATAGTTCCTTTACCCAGGGAGAGGAGAGCTGTGGCCATCTGGAGTAACACACGTTTTGCATTTAATGGGAATGAATAGTGAAAAACAGCCAGAGGGATCTGTTTAGGTTAGTTCAGCTTTTCTTTGCTTTGGCTTTTTTTAATGGGATGCTATAAATTTTAGATGTTTGTATCTGAGTGAAACATTCAATATATCGTCGCTTGAAATTTCACTTTCACAATTAATTCAAATAGCTTCAGAAAAAAAAATAGTCATATGGATTGAAAGCTGCTGAAAGAGGCAACAAACCGAGTGCAGGGTGAGGTTTCCCAGGATCCAATGTGGAATTCAGAGCTCATATAAGATACTCAAAAAGGGGGAGGAGGCTGCACTATCAAGAACTACATTTATGGTGCCACATTGAGAGGTGACAGAGACTGCGGCCAGAGACAGGGAAATAGGTGTACCTGAGGACACACAGATACACCTAAGTGTGTTAGAAACAGAAGAAAACTGGAAAACCTCTTTGAAAAATGACTTGTCAATGATGAAAAAATAATTTAATAACGATGACAATAATAGTAGTAACTTCACTAAAACCCTCCCTATGGCTTATGGGCTGCCACCCATCTCTATGTATTGCCCTCCTGGCTTTCTCTTTGCTCCAACCAAGTTTCTTTTAGTACTTGGACTTCATCCCGACTGGCGTTTGTATATGCTCCTTCTGCAGGGAACACTGCTTTCCACTGCCCCTGCCCCTTCACCTGATGAAGTCTCAGATGAAACAACTGTTCCTCAGGGAACCTTTCCCCAGTTTCCTGAGAATCAGCGACACCCCCAGTCTTATGTTCTCACAGCCACTTAGGTTTTCATGACAATCATGATAATTTTATTCTTGTTCAATGAATCTTATAGGAGACTATCAATTCTATGAGGTCAGAGACTATGTCTGTCTCCCAAGCTCACAACACAGTGCCCACCACAGGGGTATTCAGTAAACACTTGTTGAACAAATTACTCTTGAGCAAAACAACATCTGGATGGTATTTTCTGGTAAATACAGTATTTCGCTTCATAGGGAAAGGGGAGATAATTTAGGAACTCCTTGAAATTGCCAAAAACTACATCAAATTCTCATTTATCTCAAGTTATCCAGAGCACTGGAAGTCAAAATCTACTGATAATAATATTATAACACTTTCTTTATATAATCATTTTTAATTATATATGTAATACATAATCATTATAGCCCCACATGTCCCCAAGGATTCTTCCACATCACTTTTTTTAAATAAACTGGTAGAAAGGATCTAATTTGATTCTTGTGGTTTCCTCTCTTTAATCATTTATGATTTATTGATTCATCCATTGATTTATATGTTCATTTCTCTTTTCTGTCATAGGAGGTGTGGAAGCTTCTCTGCCTGTCTTTACCACCCTCTAGTCTAGGCCAAAACTGAGGGTGGAAGAGTTGAAAACACTAGGCAGACTAAGAAGAAGCAAGGCTTCTGCAACAGTTGCATGCTTTAGAATCAACTTATTGACTAGATGTCTGGCAGATTGGACAGAACTAAGCTTTATATCCTCCAAGCATCTCCCACTTGACCCATTGCAAAGCTGGCTCCATGTAGAAGACTTCTTATTCTGGAGCCCCTACTCTTTAAAGGGCTTTAACTCAGACCACACAGAAAACTGTGGCCCCTGAGGTCCATCAGGTCATACAGCAATCCTGTAGCTAAGCTGGGACCTTCCAAATGGGGTCTCCAGAGCCTTAGAGAAAAATTGAGGGTACATGCATATATAATGTTACAAGAAGCAAATAAATTAATCGTTATCATAGAAAGTTGGATAATTTTTTGTTGTAATTTCTCTACTTTTTGAACTATCATGAGCATGATTACATTATTCTTAAAGTTTTTTATATTAAGGAAAAATGAAAAGTCCCCAGAGAAACCCCACAGTAAATGCCTTGTCCAGCTAAAAGCTCCTCAGTACTCTACCAATGTGGGCCAAGTGGCCATGAAGGGAGAGAGGTGCACAGTACAGGTAGGTGAGTCCCAGTGGAAATGTTCACAAACCTGGCAACATCCAGTGGTATCCAAGGTTTGGTGGATATTTTTCTCAGCAGACTGGATTAGTGGGTGAAGATGAAGGCCAAGAAAACATGGAACATGCTGTCTAGTCAAGGAAACCTTTCTTCTAGAAATATTTATTCTCTTCTCTAAAATTTAGATTCCTTTGCCTGGTATAGTAGTGCCTCTTAAAAAAAATGCCTCTCTCCCCTAGCTTCCGTGGAGCTTACACTCCTGGGGATAGAAGGAAGTTTTCTATATTCACTTAATCTACAATGTTGGTGTTAGTCAGTTCTATGCTTCTATCAATTGACACCACCAAGAATCTCCCTGCTTTTAAATACCCCAGCTATTGATAAGATGAACAATGTCTGGTATCTAAGATTGACCTGTGACTTTTATGGAGGTTGACCTTTTATATGAAATTATTACTCAACCTGTATAACTAAATCTCACAAGGGCTGCTGGGGGTTGTAGGGGAGCATCAGTCAAAGGGAAAGCTAAAGATAGAGAATTTCAAAACTCTCCGGGCTGATGTATTAGTCTATTTTGTATTGCTATAAAGGAATATCTGATACTGGATAATTTATAAAGAAAAGAGGTTTATTTGACTCATGGTTCTGCAGGCTGTAAAAGCATGGCATCAGCATTTGCTCAGCTTCTGACGAGGCCTCAGGAAGCTTTTACTCATGGTAGAAAGGGAAGGGCGCATGGGCATGTCACATGGTGAGAGAGGGAGAAAGAGAGGGGGAGGTGCCAGGCCGTTTTTGAAAACCAGCCCTCACATGAACTCAGAGTGAGAACTCACTCATTACCATGGGGAGGGTACCAACCCATTCATGGGGGATCTACCCCCATGACCCAAACACCTCCCACCAGGCCCCACCTCCAACACTGGAGATTACATTTCAACATGAGATTTGGAGGGGACGAATATACAAATCATATTAGCAGGGAAAGGGTGCACCACACAAGCATATGTGGAAAACACTGCCCAGTTGTATGACTTCCTTTAGGCCAATGGAACATTAACGATTGCACCATAAGTGCTTGTGCCATGGGGCTTGCCTGCTGTTGCAGTTGGGATCCTTTTACCATCATGCAAATAAGCCCAGAATAAACCCTTGGAAAATGAAAGACCATGTGAAGGGAGGCTGTAGTCATCCTAGCTGTCCCAGAAAAAGTTATCATAAGCCAGCTGGCCCCAGCTGGCCCATCAGTTCACTGCCAGTCTATGAATAAGGCCAGCTGAGGCCAGCCAAGCCTGACCAAGACAAGAATGATCACACTAAGCCCAATCTGCAGAATTGTGAGCAAAGCAAAGTATGGTTGTTTAAAGATGCTAAAGTTTAGGATGGTTTGTTCCCCAGCAATAGCTAATGGACACAGAGGTCACTTGAGCAGCATAATCCCTGAATCTACGCAGCCACGTCAGCCATGTCAATCTTCAGGGATTGGTGCATAAAGATCAAGGGCAGAGAAGAGCTGCAACAGTACCATTATGATGTAGTACCTTTAGCAGATGACCCCCCAGCCAGTATATGAGGCTGCTGTTTTCCTAGCTTTCCACCCATAGAATCTATTGTACGACTGTGTTTTTCACAGCTAGGTAAATCCGTACCCTATCAATATTTAATGCTCTGGTTGCTTTTCTCTCCTGTGTCCTCTGATCAAGTCTCAACACTGCCTTACCATTTACTCTCCCTGGCTCAGCTCAAGGGACCCATTTGTGGCCAAACAGATGATTATTTCATCAGCACCAACCTGGGTCTGTAGAATACTACACATCCATCAAAATTATCTTAGGCCACATTTCAGAAGGCTTTTCTAGACATTCGTAAAGAGTCTGATTTAATGTCTTCACTAAGATACCCTAGGGAGGTTATTTTCATTCACCATAAGAACTGGCTGTTGATGTCCCTGATAGGATGCCATAATGGAAATTATCTATACATGAGTCCGTCTGTCCCAATCAAGTATAAATTCTTCAAAATCAGAGACCATATGTTATTTGTCTTCGAAATCTCCATGCTTAGTGCAAAGCCTAACATATAAGTTCAGAGTCTGTCATATGAAATGAATGAGTGAATAAATGAATCAATCAATAAGTCATGTGCTTTGGACAGGCCCAGTACCATACTGATTTATTTATAGGATCACAATATAAGAGTGTTGTATTCTTTTTCGTTTAGCAGACTTCTGAATTTTGGTAGTGGTTGTTTTTTGTTTTTGTTTATGTTTGAGACAGGGTCTTACTCTATCACCCAGGCTGGAGTGCACTGGCGTGATCACAGCTACTGAAGCCTCAACCTCCTGGGCTCAAGCAGTCCTCCTACCTCAGCCTCCTTAGTAGCTGGGACTACAGGTGTGTACCACCATACCCGGCTAATTTTCTATTTTTTGTAGAGATGTTGCCTGGCCGGTCTCAATCTCCTGGGATCAAGAAATCCTCCCACTTCAGCTTCTCAAAGTGCTAGGATTATAGGTGTGAGCTACTACACCTGGCCTTTCTGCATTTTTGGCTACTTTGAAACATCAGAAGTTTCTCTGGTTTTCTTTTGCTTATAAGATTTTGCCTTCTGGATCACTTCGATTTACAGAGTCTTAATTTACATGTAATAGATCCAATGTAGAATTTCCTTTGCTTCATTATTTCTACAAAAACAAAGATTAAAGATTAAGGGAAAATAAACTGAGAAAAACATCAAAAGAATTCTGGATATAGGAAAAGGGAAAGCTGTGGTTATTTACAGAGTCTTTACTACATGTTACCTTCTCCATGAAGCCAACACTTGACACCCCATTTAAAACAGCAACTTCCTATGTCACCCCCTACCACCCAAATCCTGCCTACTCTGCTCTGTTTTTTCAAAGCATTTACTGCCTTCAAATATACCATCATAATGCCTTGTAGATAGTAGGTACTCAATAAACACTTGTTAAATGAATGAATATATACATGGCTATTGTGGTAGGCAAAATTCTTAGATGATCTCCAAGATTCTCACTTCCTGTTGTACACACCTGTATAATCACCTCCACTTGAGAGTGAGCAGGACCTGTGAAAATGATGGGGCACCACACCTTCTTCCCATGTTAGGCTGTGTTATGTGGCAAAGATGAAGGTAGTTTACAGATGTGACTAAAGTCCCTAAATTAATAAAGAGAAGTTATCCTGGATGGGCCTGACCTAATCAGGAACTGAATTCTGCCAACGACTAGTCGGCTCAGGAGATGGAGACCTCGACTGCAGCCTTCTCAGACCCTGAGTAGAGGGGCCCAATGACACTGTATAAAGATGGACTCCTGCCCCACAGGAACTGTTAGATCATAGATGAGTGTTGTTTTAAGCTGTTAAATTTGTGGTCATTTGTTATGCAAGAGTAGAGCACTCATAATACAGCTATGAACTCACCAAGTGTTGAAGAAAGGGGCAAGAGGAACCAAGGAACCCACAGGATTTTTCTTCCTGGTGAGAAAGAAAACTTCTACTTGGCCTCTGATGTCTCCTTAGGTACCATCCCATGTCCTGGGATCTCTATGCCAATGGCCTTTACCTCCACTCTACCCCTGCAGCCCTCTAAAAATTTAAATTTATATAGCTCAGAGGACATGTGCTTTCCTGCTTTCAGAAATATTTGTAAATCTGGTGAGACCTCCAATTTTACTTCACGTCTGAGTGCTCCTCCCTCCCTGTGGTCTCTGAGGGTTTCCACCTTACTTATTCTCAGTTCCCTGGGTCCCTGCAGTCCCTTACAGTGACAGTTTGTAACCTTTGCCACAAAACAGAATCCCTGAGGAACTTCTCAAAAACACTGAGAAAGGATCTTGATCCCCATAGATTGTGACTTCATTGGTCA
The DNA here is from genome assembly GCF_000001405.40 of Homo sapiens. Taxonomy (NCBI): domain Eukaryota; kingdom Metazoa; phylum Chordata; class Mammalia; order Primates; family Hominidae; genus Homo; species Homo sapiens. The sequence continues at coordinate 110,969,026 of NC_000011.10, forward strand.
ATGATGGGGTCCACATATAGACATTTTTGTAAAAGCTCCCTGGGATGTTCTTAATTGTACCCAGGTAGAGAGTCTCTGATTTGGACCATTTACATTTTATCCCTTCTTTGGCCCTTACAAGAAATCAAACCTGCCAAGCTTACTATAATTTTGGTACATTTGCTGTAGGTTTGAGGCTGACACAAAAAGGGGATTATTTTGTGGGGTAGTGGCTGTTCACCATCTCATGAGCTTCTGCATCACTTGCTTTTCTTTCAGATCTGCTGCCTTGCATTTGGCTGTTTCACAAATCCCATGCTTCCACTGTGGAAATGTCATATATAGTGAAGTTCCCTAAGTATATCCCAGCCAGCCAGCCCCCTGCCCCAATCTCCAGATTGCTGTGTTTCAGAAAACATTGCATCAGGTGCTCTGAGACGTCTCTGTCTTGGTACATTTGTTCATCAGTGCTCCATCTACAACCTCTAAGTCTCCTACCTCTTTCCTTCCCTTACTGTCTCCACTTAACCAGTGTTTTATCTTCATTGAGATGTCAGTTTATTCTTTCAATCCATCACCCCTGCATGGACTGACTTAACACCATCCCCAAAGCAAACGATTTCTTCAACCACATTATCACTGGGACCTGCCAATTCCTTCATTCTCTTGTCTTCTGATGGCACCAACCAAGAAACTACCAATGCTGCTGTTTCTGAAGAAATTCAAACAGCATGGACTGGTAAAACTCCAAATGCTTGGTAGTTAGCTTCTACTAGCCATTTGCTAATATTGTACTATTAATAGCTAATGTTGAACACTATCTTATCAGGAACTTTGCATTCTGTCTTTTAATACTCACAACAGGATATTAGATAAATATTATTATTGATACCACTTTGCAGATGTTGAAAATGAGACTTGCTAAAAGTCACACAGCTATTGACATGATTTGAGCCTGTGTCTGTCTGACTCCAGAGTCTTAACTTTGAGGTACTATATTTTCTGCCTCACAATGAGAAAACTCTTGGCTTTACTGCCTCCATTTTTAGATTCATTAGCACTAACACAATTCTTCCCTCTTCTGTCCTGTCTCAAAGAAAAGGTCATCTCTCTTCCCACCCCCTCACCACCCGCCCCCCCCCAGTTAATTCCTTCCCTGAAGGGCTATTGCTTAACACTCACATCCCTTTCAAAATCATCCCATTTCCGCAGTCCCTTCTTTTTATGTTTTCAATCTGTTCCTCACTACTAATTCTTTTTTTGTTCTCAGCCTACGAATAGATCCCAAACTAAAAAACTCAGCTGGAGACTAGGCATGGATCCTCCTTAATATTTATCTTGTGGGTACCACAAACGTAACCTGTCCAAAACAGAACTCATAATATGAAACTTTCCCATTCCACATCCCCCTTCCACAAACTTGTTCTGCTCTGATATACTCATCTACTAATGTAGAAACATATTTAGTTTTAAGATATTTTCTTATAAGCAAAAGTTCATACAAGTGACTATTAATTCTCATTATTATTATCATCAAAATAGTACTTTTTCTATTCATGAAAAATAAGCTCAAGTATCATGCTGGTGTTCTTGATGACATAAATTATATTTGTAGACAACTATAAGCTATGCAATTACACTAATAAAATATAAAATTCTAAGGTAACGTGGAAAAAGCTCACACATCAGCTCTCTGCACCTTGCTAGCTCTCAGTGATTATAAGAATTATCTCAGACTGGTGGTAATAATTGCCATGTTTTTAAAAACCAATATTGTATGAAGTAAGGGAAATTTTTAAGCACAGAAATAGTACCTTAACGTAATAAAATAGTACACTGAGGCACACTGAGCAGAAACATAAAATTTATGCTATCCCTTAGGCTATAAGCTCTATGAGGGCAAGAAGCTTATATGTTTTGCTCCACACTACATTCTCAGCATCTAATGTAGTGCCAGGAGCATAATTAGTGCTCAATAGATGTTCATTATATTAACAAATAAATGGGAGAAATTGATGTATAGTTAGGATAATCTCTGTAATAAACAGACTCAAATTGATGCTTATTTTCCACTTGCGTAACAATACGTGGCAGCTGAAAGCCTCCTCTGCATAGTCACGCAGAGACCCCGACTATTGGAGGCTCTGTCATCTTTACTTTGAGGCTTTGATTAATGTACCAGAGATTATCTCCATTCCAACAAGCCAGAGGAGAAAGCAAAGCATGGAGGAATGCCTCATGGAGTTTATGGTCAAGCTTCCAATCAGTGCACATCACTTCTGCTCACATTCCGGTGGCTGGAACTCAACCACAGGGCCACTCCTTACTGTAACAGAAGTCAGAACATGCAGTCTAGTTGTGTGCCCAGGAAGTGGAGGAGGCCATGAATTTTGATAAGCAGCTAGTGGCCTGTGGCACATGTGATGAGCAGGCTGGAACCAGATCTTATCTTATCCTCTTGAAGCAAAACATCTTGGCCCACATTTAAAAAAAATAGGTATATAAGTCTCTTCTGCTTGTGTAAGCAAAAGCATGTAAATAGAATACTTATGCAGAAAAAAATGAGGTTAGTTTTTGCATCTGTTCATGGTGTCACCATGTATTCTGCCTTCAAAAGGAGAAGCTTGGGTGCCATCAACAGATTCTCCCTCTATTTTATTCCAAATCCTTAGGTCTGATCTGTCATCTAGTGTACACTATAAGACTGAACTCTAGCCCCTTTTCTCTGACTCCGTTGCTTCTCTCTTCTTTTAGGACCAGGCTGTTAACTTTAAGGGATGCAATAGCTTACAAAATGGTCTTCGGACCACTAGTCCCCAGTGCAATTGATTAAACATCTTTCTTCCATCAAAGTTATATTTTAAAAACAAAGTCACTAGGTCCTATCCCAGGTTAATAAAGTAAAACAAACAAAATGCAAACACACTTCTTCTTGGCCATCCTAGATTTTACAGATAAAAATCCAAACTCTCCAGCTGGGCATCACAGCTGGCATCTAAGTGCCTTTCTAGACTTACCTGTCTACTTTCACTCTATCTCATATCTTAATTTCCTGCCTTCATTGTCTTCTTGTGAAATTCCAGTTCAGATTAGGCCTATGACTCTATTCCATTTCAATTTATGATTCAATGCCTTTTTTTACAAGCTTTGCACAAAATAAAATCTCTCCCCTCTTTACTTCCTAAATTACCTTCATTTTTAAGGAACCAGTTGAAGTATTCCCTCTTCTATGAAGATTTTTAAATAACTGTCACAGCAGAGTTGGCTGATCCATCCTCTGTGAGCCATGGCACTTTTCCCAATTCAATTTTCACTTCGAAAACTCAAAGTGAGATAATTGCCTAGGCAAAACTTTCTCCTGAGAGTAAAGAACTATATCAAATAGTAGCAAGGAAACTGAGACAATTTTCTAGAACTTAAATGCATTCTTTCCCCTTGTGATTCTGCAAAAATTATCATTATCACCATCATCACCATCACCATCATTATCACCATTACCATCATCATCATCCAGCCAGTTTTCATCCACCCTGTCTACAACATACATACATATCCCAGCACTCTCTTTCTTTGTTCTGCCTTGGGAATCAGTAACCAGACAGCCCAATTTTGCAAGATTATCTTATTCCTCAAAAAGTTTACCAAGTGTCCCAAAACTTCCTGTTGGAACAACATATACTTCACCTTTGGGCCTTTTAGCCAATTTGATTACTACTTAGAACAACAAATAAGACTTCCTGAGACTTCTCTCAGCCACACAAGGCCAAGATGCCACAGAGCTCAGAGAGTAATTTTGCTGCATCACGGTAGTGCCTGTCTCTGTTGAGCAATAGCACTGCTAAATGCTGATATTCAGCTCTGACTCAGAACCGAGGGCTCTGGTCTAGGGATAGGAGTATGAGAGACATGGGGGCTTGTTTTTCATAAACATTCCCTGCTCTTTGTATATCTGGTAAGTGATACAGTACATGTCCAGACTGTCTGAATATCTAATCTCCGCTTTTCCTTCCCACCTGAGCCCTTGATCTCTTCCCAGTCCATTTGGGCCATTAGCCCATCTGAAACTCAAGATTCTCCCAACATGTAAAACATGTTGTAAAATCTTTTTAGTGAAACACAGCTTATTTTCTATTTTAGGAAATTATTTTGAGAGTATTAGACTGCTTTAAGCTTTACTTCCTTTCCTTATAAGATGAGGCACACATTGGCGCTTTATACATTTCATTTTTAAATCTAACAACATCTTCAGAGTTCATATTATAATTTAGTTTTACAGATAAGGAAATAGAGGCTGAAATCCTTTATTCCCAAGGTCACATGGCCAAGTGATAAGTAAACAACTGAGCCTGCCATCCAAACCCAGTTCTATAGAACTATAAGCCTTGGCATTTTCCAAAGGGCTCATACTATTTTGATATTGACATTTTGGTGCCAAGGCCCCAAAATGATGGGGCTCACAGGATGAGAGACAGGGCAGGGCTTACTCATAGCATAGAGGATATGTCAGGGATTTCTTTTGTAGACATCACTAAGTAATAAATAGCAGTGTTTTGATAATTTGATACGCTACTTTAATATGGCTCCATCAAAAAGGTGCTGCTTTGTTCTGCTAATCCACTACTATCTGAATCAGAGGGCACACACAATACAAGAGCTGGAAGGATCCATTTGGAAATGATTTATTTTAGCCCCTTCCTGCTGCTGCTAAGAAGAGCAGAGAAGAGATCTGCCAAAGGTCACAAAGGCAGTTGGGGAAAGAACTTAGTCTAGAGCCTGGCTTCCTGTTACGGCCTCTCAGGACTCAACATTTCCCTACCTTGCACACAAAGTCCTGTCCAGGCCAGCCTACACTGCTCTCTGCCTTCTGAACTGGCTCACCATAAACCATCTCCCAAAGCATGTTCTGGGACTCATGCTCCCAGAACTCATGCCTCCTTATTTATGCAAGAGTTGATATTACAAGTCTTACAAAGGCATACAATTTAACCACATTTAATCAGTTACCTCAATTAAGAGAACAAAGTTAAGTGAAGTTGGGGATAGTTGGAGAGAGTGAAAATAAACTCGGAAAAATGGAAAAGTAGAAAGTCGGCCGGGCGCGGTGGCTCATGCCTGTAATCCCAGCACTTTGGGAGGCCGAGGCGGGTGGATCATGAGGTCAGGAGATCGAGACCATCCTGGCTAACAAGGTGAAACCCCGTCTCTACTAAAAATACAAAAAATTAGCCGGGCGCGGTGGCGGGCGCCTGTAGTCCCAGCTACTCGGGAGGCTGAGGCAGGAGAATGGCGTGAACCCGGGAAGCGGAGCTTGCAGTGAGCCGAGATTGCGCCACTGCAGTCCGCAGTCCGGCCTGGGCGACAGAGCGAGACTCCGTCTCAAAAAAAAAAAAAAAAAAAAAAAGAAAGTCAAAATACCTTTAAAAGTAAAAATAATGAATAATGACTATTCAAACATTTTAAAAACCACTAAAAAATTAAAGATAGTAATGTTACTTTTGAAGACTACAAACTTATAACAAATATAATGAGGCTTTTAAGACCAGAAACTAAAATGATTTTTTAAAAGCATAGAAAATAGGTAGTGGGATAAATTCCTGAGCTGAAAATCCTAGAATAAGAACAAATGTTGTCAACATGCTTTAGGCAGAGAGCTGAGGGGCAGAGAAATGAATCACTCTATTACTATGTACCAGGAGTTTGGAGTCCTCCAAAAGTCCAGTGCAGGTGGTGGCCGTGCCTGACTCTGGAAGGCGGTCCTATGCAGCTAGCTATTTGGTGATACCTCTGCTTTATGTTGTTGCTCCATCACTTCAGGAATGGTTGGTCTGTTCCCCTAACAGGATAATGGCTGTACATTGTAGATTCAATTAGGAAAGAGCTCTGAAGTCAGTCTAGCTTCTAATCCTGGCTCCATCTCTTGTTAGCCTTAACCTTGCCAAACCTCCATTTTCTCTTGAATAAAGTGAGAATAATTAAGAGTGTCTAGTTCACTGGCATGGTTGTGAAGACTAAATGAGATCCTTTCAGTAAAGGACTTAGCATAATACCTGATAAATAGTAAATGCTGTGTAAAATTTTAGCTATTTAATTATGTGGGCTGAATTAATGAGACTGAAAAATCTTTGCAGACAGGGGCCTGATATGTTTTGCTCACAACTGTGAACACCAAGCCTAGTGCCTGGCACATAGTGAAAGTTTAAATATTTATCAAATGACTAAATATACTGATCTTCCCATTGTTTCTCATTTTCCTTTTTCTTCTTTGTCTCATTTTTTAAAACACACATTTAGCAACCATTATGTGACAAATATTCAATACATAAAAATGGCTAAGGTAACAAGAGATTTTAAGCAGGAGTGTGACTTGGTCAGGTGTGTTTTGGTCAGGTCACACTGAGGACAATGTGAGAGGAGGTTAAAAGGCAGCAAATATGGGTCCAGATGAGAAATGATGATGATCTTGAACAAAATACTGATCATGGACATTAAAAGGGAAAAATGAATCAAAAGTGGATTTATGAGGTTATGTGATGGAGTCTCAGTAATGGAATAAATATAAAGAATAAGAGAGCAGGGTCTCCTCTTTCAATTACCATATAGCACACTTCCTATGTAATTGGCCTACTTTGTGATATCTTTTCCATTTTCCTGAACTTTTATCTGAACATTTCATTGCTATATTCTTCTTTGTAGCACTAGAATACTAAGTATTTTGGTAGATTTAAAGTAGTTTTACCTAATTAAAGAGTAAAATGGAAAATCAACCAGCCCAACATGCACAAAGGTTTATTGTTTTGTATTTTTAAACAAAAGGTAAACCACATCTACACTCAAAAACAACCAAAAGAGAGAGAGAGAAAAAAAAAGGGAATGGGGAAGGAAGGAAGGAAGGAAGGAAGGAAGGAAGGAAGGAAGGAAGGAAGGAAGGAAAAAAGAAGAAAGTGAATCTTAAAGTAACCTCTGAAATGTTCTTTTTACCCCCATAGATCACTGACAATATGTCTATTTTCCTTTAAAAAGAAGCCACCTGGACTAATAAATCAAATACACAATTTGACTAAGTTTCATTTGTTATTTACCAATTATGGTCAGGTAACAAAAAGAACATTTGCAAAGAGAGAAAGTCTGGGTGAATTCCTCCCATCTGGCATAACAAAAAAAAAAATGTATAAAATGGAAAATATATAAGAAAAAGTACAGAATTATTATGTAAATGTTCAACTTGTATTTATTTAAATAATGAATTTTCTGCTGTTTCTAATCGCTTAAGAATTACAATAAACATACACCATTTAGATTCCACTAAAAGAACTGTTAGCACCAATAAACAAATTCAGTAAAGTTCCAGGATACAAAATCAACATATGAAAATAGTAGTATTTCCATACTACTATTAGCAAAGTGTCTAAAAAAGAAAGCAATCTCATCTACAGTAGCTATGAAAAAATTTAAGATCCTAGGAATAAATTTAACCAAAAGGTGAAATATCTCTGTGAGGAAAAGCATAAAACACTGATAAAAGAAATTGAAGAGGACACAAATAAATGAAAAGATATCCTGTGTTAAAGGATTGGAAGAAATAATATTGTTAAAATGTTCATACTACACAAGGTAATCTATAGATGCAATGCAATTGCTATCAAAAATACCAATGACATTCTTCACAGAAATAGAAAAAAACACTCTAGAATTTGTATGGAACCACAGAAGTCCCCAAATAGCCAAAGCAATTTGAACAAAAAGAACAAAACCTGCTCTGTCGCCCAGGCGGGAGTGCAGTGGCGCAATCTCGGCTCACTGCAAGCTCCGCCTCCTGGGTTCACGCCGTTCTCCTGCCTCAGCTTCCGGCGTAGCTGGGACTGCAGGCGCCCGACACCATGCCCAGCTAATTTATTTTTGTATTTTTAGTAGAGACGGGGTTTCACCGTGTTAGCCAGGATGGTCTCCATCTCCTGACCTCGTGATCCATGAAAGTTCTTTTGAAGCATCACATTACCTGACTTCAAAATATACTACAAATCTATAGTAACCAAAACAGTATAGTATTGACACAAAAATAGACATATAGCCCCATGGAACAGAAAAGAGAACATAGAAATAAATCCACACACTTATATCCAATTTATTTTCAACAAAAGTGTTAAAAACACAAATTAGAGAAAGAATAATCTCTTCAATAAGTAATGCCAAGAAAATTGCATATCTACATGCAGAAAAAAAAAACCAGATCCTTATCTGTCACCATATTAAAAAAACCTCAAAATGGATTAAAGGCTTAAATGTAAGACCAACAGTTATAAAACTACTAGAAGAAAGCATAACGAAATGCTTCACAACATTGGTACGGGCAAGGAGTTTTTGGATAAGACCACAAAAGCATAGGCAACAAAAGTAAAAGTAGACAAACTGCATTACATCAAACTAAAAAGTTTCTGCACAGCAAAGGAAACAATCAACAAAGCAAGGAAACAACCTACAGAATGAGAGAAAATATTTGCAACCTATGCATTTCAAAAGGGGCTAATAACCACAATATATAAGAAATCCAAACAACTCAATAGTAATAAAAACAAATAATCTAAATATAGGCAAAAGAACTGAAAAGACATTTCTTAAAAGATGAGGTACAAATGGCCAACAGGTATGTAAAAAAAATGCTCAATGTCACTAATCATTAAGGTAATGCAAATCAAAACCACAATGAGATATCATTGCACTCTAATTAGAATGGCTATTACCAAAAAGACAAAAAAAAAAAAAAAAACAAGTACTGATGTGGATGTGGAGAAAGGAGAACTCTTATACACCATTAGTCGAAAGTAAATTAGTACAGCCATTATGTAACACTATATGGAGATTTCTCAAAAAACTAAAAATAGAACCACTGTATGATTCAGCAAACTCACTACTGGGTATATATTTAAAGGAAATAAAATCTGTATGTCAAAAAGATATCTGCATTGCCATGTTTACTACAGAACTATTTACCATAGCCAGGATATTAAATCAACCTAAGTGTCCATCAACATATAAACAGATAAAGAAAATGTGATATGTATATACAGTGGAATACTATTCAGCTATAAAAAATAATGAAATTCTGTTATTTGCAGCAACACGGATGAACCTGAACGATGTTATATTAAGTAAGATAGCCAGCCACAGAAAGATAAATACCCCACTTCTGTGAAATCTAAAAAAGTTGATCTTGTAGAAATAGAGAGTAGAATAGTGATTGCCAGAGGCTGGGGAGTGGTGGAGGGGAGAAGGGAGTGGGCAAAATTGGTCGACAGGTACAAAGTTACAGTTAGATAGGAGAAATGAGTTCTGGTGTTCTATTGCACAGTAGATTGACAATGATTAACAATATTAGTTTGTAAATCTCCCAATAGGTAGAAGAGAAAATTTTGAATGTTCTTACCACAAAGAAATGATAAATGTATGAGGAGATGAATATGCTATATACCTTGATTTTATTATTGATTATTACACAGTGTATACTATACATACATGGCAACATCACATTGTATCCTAAGTGTTAGGATAATTATGTGCCCATTAAAAACAAAATTTTTAAAATAAAAAAGTAAATATTGGATAATAATATAAGACAGAGAAGAGTTACTAGAATTAGAACTTTCTAAGATCTTTGTATTTTTCTGGAGGAAGGTAAAGACATTTTTGATCATATATGCATGTAAAAATATTAAGGGTAACATTTTAAGGAAATAAAAATAACTTTCAAACTGTAGAGGAACAAAATGAACTAAAAAATCAATGAAAATTAAGTTAGAAAGGAAGAAAAATATACTAAGCTAGCTGAATATAAGTGCAAAATAAGATGATGGAGATAAATTAATATATATCAGTAATCACATTCAGTGTAAATGAAATATATACTTGTTGATAAATGTCAATTGAGAATAACAGTTTGGAATTTTAAAAATCAGCTGCATGCTATTTATAAAATACATGCTTAAAACATAATGATACAGACAGGCTGAAAGTAAGATAACATAATAAATGACACCAAACAGTCATGAATCAAAAGAAAGTTCCACAACTACATTAGCAACTGAAAAAAATGTTAAGGCAAAATAATTTTAAGGGATGAAAAAAGCTCATGATTAATAAAAAATGGAACAATTTGCCAGTAAGATACAGTAATTATAAACTTGTATGCACCTAACAACATAGCCTCAAAATATATAAAACAAAAGATATGTTTTGAAGTCTGGTTGCTTCAGAATATGAATTAATGTACATGTACTATTTACCTGGGTCTTAGAAATATTTTATTCTCAGTAGAAACTTCAGTTACAATAACACTTATTATTAAGTCTATAACATGCTCACTGAATAGGTCTTAAAATACAGACTAAGTTCAAAAGTTATTCACACGTCAATTAAAACAACTGGCCTCAGGAAACAAGAAAAGAACCTCCACAATGAAGCCCTCATTTGACCCAGCCTTGCTCCCAGCCTCTCCCTTCCTCCTTTCTTGCTCACAGCTGAGGCCACCTGTAGGTCCAGCCTCCTTCATACTTACAGAATTAAATCAGACTCAGACAGAAGTTGGTGAACTTCTCTGGTCAACCAGCATGTTAGTTCAGCATTATTATCCTTACTTCTTGTAAATTTTTGTTTCTCCACCCCTTTGCCTCTTACCAACCTCCTTCCAAAGCCCTTAATCTTGATACCTGAATTACCCTTTTAATAGCTACTCAGTAGTTAACTGCTGGACTCCAGAGCACTCCCTGACCTCTAGTCAGTATGCCCCACCTGCCAAGCAAGACAGCCCATACTTCAGCTTCACTACTGACTAATCAATGAAAAGTTACAACCATGACCCTTAGAAATGTACTTGGACAGAAAGAGCTGTCTCTGTCAGCAGTGTAGCTGAGTCAGATCCCCTGGCTTCTGTCCTGTTCGTGTGGGTGCAGATCTAGTGCCAGGTCCCTGCTAGGTACCTGAGTGGGTCTGCTGATTCCAGTACTTGATAGCTGTAGCCCTAGGCCTCTCCAGTTTCAGACTTTCACTGACTCTGATTTGTAATTCTTGCCTCCCCATATCTATTATCTGATCTGCTCCGTGAAAAGTCATTCAAGTTCATTAAATTCCTAACACTTATGGAATGTATGTCCCACTCCAAGCCTGACCTAGATGCCACTTGATATAAAAGATAAATAAAACCTCTTTCAATGGAAGTCTCTAGAACAGACCAGTGCACAGAAGAGCATATTTACTATGACCCCAAATCTAGACACATGCTATATGAGAATGTATTACACTTGAGGATGCAATATATATAAGTCAGACTTCTTGGGTTGTAAACAACAGAGAAAATGCTGGCTAATTTAAGCAAAGAAAGAAATTTATTGGTTAAAAATTGGCTGGCTCAGAATCAAAGAAAGAATTTTGAAAAGAATAGGAACTTAGGCAGCACCTGGTACCTTTGTGGGAGGAACTAAGTTCATTCTCTTCAGGAGATACCAGTGAGCTATATATTTTTTTACTTTTCTTATGTTACTTTGTATAACATTCAAGTTATCCAGGGACAGACATTCTAATGTGCCCACTTTTTGGCTAGGAGATGCTGGGGGCGCTTTGACAACACCATAGAAAAACACATGAAGTAGGGCAGAGATAATTCCTAAACTAAGAGAGAGGTGCTATTACCAGAAGGAGAGGGGTAGCTGTGGAGGATCCTCAGCAGATGTCAGTTGCAAAGCATCAGCCTGAAAGTTGTCTACTGGATACTGGCATGTTGTATCTAGGCCAAAGAATCCCAAGGACAGAATGATAGAAAGCAGAATTTTGACCAGGCGCGGTGGCTCACGCCTGTAATCCCAGCACTTTGGGAGGCCAAGGCGGGCAGATCACTTGAAGTCAGGAGTTCAAGACCAGCCTGTACAACATGGTGAAATTCCATCTCTACTAAAAATATAAATTAGCTGGGTGTGGTGGTGGGAGCCTATAATCCCAGCTACTCGGGAGGCTGAGGCAGGAGAATTGCTTGAACGTGGGAGGCAGAGGTTGCAGTGAGCTGAGATCGCGCCATTGCACTCCAGCCTGGGCAAAAAGAGTAAACCTCTGTCAAAAAAAAAAAAAAAAGAAAAGAAAAGAAAAAGAGAAAGCAGAATATCTCTGCATATATTGTGCAGATGATCTCTTTGATTACATTATGAGGCAGAGTAAAAGTGCTATGAGTAAGGTAAAAATAAAGTGCAAGGAGAGTTAATGGAGGAAGTGCTGGCATTTTAAGGGAGGAAACTAAGAAAAGCTTCAAGGAGGGAGTCGTATTTAATGTGGGGTGTTTAAGATTTAAAGGAGGAAGAAAGGGCACTCCAGGCATGGGGAACAACGTTGGTGAAAGGGTAAAGATAAAAAGCAAGGGAGGGCTTTAATAAGACTAAAACTAGATTTTTTAAAAATTAAGGTAGGTATTTTTATGAGAACAATATATAGATAATGATAGAAAGTTAGATTGGGGTATGGTTGTGGGTGAATAAGGTGAGGAATAAATTTGCTCAGTCCAAATAAGAGGTAATGAAGTCTTGATCTCTGATGGCAGCAGTGGGCAACAGACAGTTTGAATAATGGAGGGAGAAATGGGAAGAATATTGCAGAGGTTATCAGTAAGCTACAGAAATGGACCAGGATGGTAAGTGATCAGCAAAAAGTCAAAACTGATGCTGAGGTTTCAGACCTGGGGGCAAGAACAAGGCAGAAGAGGCAGGCACAAATACGCTAAGCCTGAGATGATGGAGGGGCATGAGTTGGAAAACTCAATTCTGGAGTCATCTGCCTAGAACTTGTACTTTACCATAGTAGTGATGTGAATGAAATGATGGAGAGAAAGAGAAAAGAGAAGAGGGCCAAAGATAAAATTTAACTGAAGATCTAAATTCATAGGGTGTGGAAGTAAAGAACCGGTGAAAGAGGAAGGGGGTAAAGCAGGAGAAAAAGTAGCTGGAATGACCACTAGGCAGCAACATGTAAGCCAAGGGAAGAGAGGATGGCAAAGGAGGCTGGGTCTGTAACATCCAATTGTGCTGATATGGAAGAGGCCTTTGGATGAGACCTTCAGGAGGCTGCATGTGACTCCAGGATAGTGTTGAAGGCAGAGGCTAATGTGCAATGGTCACAGAGGGCTGGACAGAAAGAATGTGAAAGGTACACACACATGGAGACTCAATGTTTGACAACGAAGAGAAAGCAAGAGCCAGGCCAGTACTTTGAGAATGAAACAAAGTCGAGAGAAGTTTTTGGAATAAAGGAGAACCAGCTTGCCATAGGTTTAGGGCAAAACCCAGAAGAGATGGAGACACTTAAAGACGGAAAAGAGTGAGAATCACTAGAGGGGTAAGATAGGAAACTAAGGCCATTGTTCCAGGTAGGCCAGGAGGGGGCCTGGAATGCAGGGCAGAGAGGGAGTAGAGATTCAGAGTGTTTGGAGATGAGAGACCTTGAGCTCTTTGGTCTTGATGTTCTTGGTTGAGGATATAGCTGTCTGCTGAGAGTAAGGCTGGACAGTGGCATTTATGAAAAATAGGATTTGAAACAACTGCTGTGAGTTTTCTGTTACATAACAACTGCCTGAACAGTGGAAAATAGTGCTGACTTTTCTTAACTCCTGGAACCCCCTGATTTTGTGACCAAAATTATTGACTTTCTCACCAACTTGACAATCTATAAGCCAGAGTGGTCAGGGTTCTGTTGAACTCTATTCCTTCCTGGAATAATGCTATCAGTCCCAGGTATTCCAATCCAAGTGTGACCATGCAACGGAATTAATAAGTTTGTTGTTTTGTCAGTCAAGTTATCATTACACAGCAACTTTCCCATTTGGGGCTTAATAACATCAAGCATTTTTGTCCTTATGGGTCCCCTGTGTTTATGTCACCGAGCCCTCAGGACTTAGTGGATATCTGACAAGGGTCTTCATGATTCAATCACATAGTCATTTTACCATACACCAAACCCCTGTAGCTGCCACAATATTTTTGACCCATATACCATTTCGTATTGTTTTATTCTTAGTCATACACTGTTTAATTTGTAAGGAACTCTGTTGTTGAAATATAGAAAGTGGAAGGGAAACACAAAAGCAGTGAATTCGCAAACTTGCCTCAAGATGCTTGCATTAGATCCGTGGACAGCATTCAAAGTTCTCATATTGCACACCAGGGTGTTTATTGTACTTTAACAGTATTTAAAAATGTAAAATACATGATGATTATATATAATTTGACTTTCCAGCTATTGAGAATAAGGCCTGTCAACAACCGCAGTGTGTTATTTGTGCAAATCAAATCCTAAAACCTTCATTCTCATCTTGTGATTTAGAAAAAAAACCTGAAAATTAGACACATCGAAAAACAATACCAGTTGATTTTTTAAGTTCAAAAGAGAAATTTTAAGCTAGTTATGGAAGCAATTGTTGATTCTAGAACTTGTAGTTAGACTCCAATTTACTTTAATATAGTTTTAGTCCCAAAGTAAAAATATGACACAAAGAAATGTTAAAATGTATTTGGCCATGAATCATTCTTTTACATCTAGAATTAAGTTAATATAAATCAAATAGGCATCCTGTTTTTTTAAGAAGAAATAAAGAAAAAAGGAAATAGAAAAAAAATCAAATAGTATATATCACTTGATAAATAAAAAATTGTTGACATTTTTCCTCTATTAAAATAATTACTAGACTTTTAAAAATGAAATATTAGTGCAATATTATCTTTTCATAATGGGATATTTTGGGAATACAAAAAAGTATAGATAATAATATAATGAATGTATATGCTCTCATCACTTGGCTTAAGATTTTATAACACAGACCTAAAATACGTATATTTTTAACTTAAAATCTCTCTTTCATACATAACATGTAAAAAGGGTAAAACATATAAATTTAATTCCTAAGAGAGTTTGCAAAGATTTATCATAAAAAGCATTGACTCTAGGCGTGGTGGCTCACGCCTCTAATCCCAGCACTTTGGGAGGCAGAGGCTGGTGGATTGGCTGAGCTCAGGAGTTTGAAAAAACATTGACAAATCTGAACACTTTGAATGATACTGCCTTACAGGGTTCACAGAAGACTTAAACTTTTTAAGTTTAAGTCTTTTTGACTGCTTTTTAACTGTGTGTGGAGGGACACACGAAATGTTTTTCCAGACCATCTTATTCATTTCACTTAAGGAGCTCAAGAGAAAGCAAAGAGAGTAACTGAGGCTTGATTATTGTTATTTATTCTTAAGTGCAGAACAAACCACAAGAAAATACCTCCAGCATTCCTACACTCTGAGTCAGTTTACGTGGTAGATACAGAAAGGCCAGAGCTGGGTAAAAGTTAATAGGAAGTCTTTATTATACTGAGAGTCTTACTGGATGCTAGACCCCATGTGGGACACATTATATATCTCAGTTTATTTAATTGTTGCAACCATCACTAAAGTAGGTATTTTGGTGGTTGCCATTTTACACATGCAGAAACCAGGAGCTAAACAGGTTATGGGACTTGCTCAAGGCCAGTACTGTTGAAGCCAGCACCCAAACTTACGACTCTGATTCTAAAATTCATAAGGGATATCTTTGCTGTATCAGTGTTGATGAGGACTTCAAGGTTCAGAATGAATAGCAGCTAGATGGTAAGATATCACAAATGAAAGCACAATATATTTACCTCATCAAGATACATAGGGTTCACCTTTTCTACTCTCTGGAAGCAGAGTCAAAGTCAGACAGGAACTCCTGGGACTTTCAGAAGCCCCCTGTATCATTCTTTCCCTGGTAACTCTGGGGATACTGGGCCTCAACAGCTTCTGATCCCCACTCCTGGAGACAGGAAGAGAGACACAATTGCCAAGGCAACTAGTGGACCAAGAAACACATATTGAAAACATGCCAGGTCCTGATTGCTGGGTTACCAGGGATCCTGCATTAATTAATGGCCAAAACCCCAGAATGTGTTTCTGCAATAACTGGCCTACACGTTAATAATCTTCATTGTGAGTCCAGGTGCACTTTCAACTGCATTCCCACTTATTGTCTTTATTGTGCCCCAATGTGGAACTCTTCCAATCTTGTTTAACATTCACTCCAACCCTACGCAAAATTCAAGGTATATAGCTGTGTCATTTTGGGAATAGGAAAGAGGGAGGAGGAAGAGGAAAAGAAGAGTAAGAGAAGGAGAAGAATAAAGGAGCAGGAGGAAGAAAGGAAGCAAAAGGACATCATTTCATTGGGTTTCATTTCACTGATCTGTTAAAGGAGGGTATTAGACCAGGTATGTTATTCTTAATGTTTCTGGATGTTAGAACCTATGAGAATCTGAGAAAAGCTATGAACTATCTTTAATACACATAGCATATTTTGCACAGAGTTCCAAAAAGTTCTCGGACTTCAGGTTAAAGATCTTTAGACTAGATCTCTATGGTTTCTTCCAAATCTGTGGGAACAAACCCACCATAAGTTGAAATCGAGCCTCTTTTATTGCTATCAAATTTCTGATTCAAAGGGGGTGGTGGAAAAATAATAATATTGATAGTTTGGTTGTTTGCTTAGCAACCTGCAGGTGAGAAACCAAATGAATGTCAAGTACTATTAAGGATACAATCATTATTCCAAATATTTTAATATGCCACAGGTAAGCCTCAAGTCAAACAGTAACACTCCACAGAGCAGAAGTCTGACAACATGTTAAGCAGCTGCTGCAGTTCTTGGCCTGACTCCTCCTCCTCCCTACCCCAGGCCCCACCCTGGACAGCAAACTTTCAAATAAATTGCCAGGAGGTCCTTTGTTCTAAAGAAAAAGGCTGAATGGTGAGATGAAATGGACATTGAATTTTTATTTTTCTTTTTTCCTATTCTAATCTTTTATAGTCTGAATGATAATCACAGAGGAAGTTCCCTTGGCAATGTTGCATTTCCATGGTGATGGGAGAGGTCAAGGTTAGCAAACCAGGGTTCTGGGAACCTTCTGCTGCAGGCTGGATGTGAGGGAAGGGCTAGCAGTCAAAGTGTCAACAGGGGACCCACTTTCACAGTCTCTTCTTTAGAGTGGACCACAGAGCCTAACTTGTCCATTTCTGAATGGACAAACCAGTGATGTCTTGAATGTAATAATAGCTCCATCGCTTCCCCCTATGCAGAAACTTGCTGTGCCCTTCCTCTCAAAGGCCAGGAACGGATGCCTCTTACTAACAACAATCCGTGGATTGTTGAAATATGTATGTGCTCTTTGTATCGGCACCAGAAGCTCAGAGATGCCAAGTTTTAGAAACCAAATCTACTTTAGAAAAGCAATTTGATCTTTGAGAACAAGGGATCCGAAATAAGCTCTGACCGTGTCAGCGCAAGCAAAAAGATGAATTAATTAAAAGTGGAATAGGAAGCATACAGTTTAAATTAAATATCGAATGACCTAAATAATTCCCCTTAAAACCCAATTCAGTTATTTTGCCTGAAACTGCATGTCCTGATTTTACTCTTTTGGATTCTCTTCTTATGCTTTTATGTGGGTATATAATGTTATGAAACTTGTACAGTTTGTTCAGACCAGAACTACAGAGGAAGACATGATGGAACCAAGGTAAGCCCTAATAGACCAACGATATTTAAAGTAATTGATTGAAGATCTGTGATTTCTTTGAGAGGAGGAAAAGGTAGGAGAGACACAGAGGTTCTTAGGATCCTAGAGATGGAATGAAATAGAATTTTGTGTATTACAGAGCTGTGGTGAAGCCGATTCAGAAATGGGGCAGCTCTTCCCATTTTAAGTCATATTACTGGATGCTTCCAGTTCTGCTACCAAGAAGACTTAAGGATTCCTTACACACATTGTCTGCCTAGACCATCTATGTGCTAAAGTCTCTCAAATCTCAGTCCAGAGCTCCAGGTCCATATGTCCAATGTTTGAATGCCCATCAGACATCCTAAACTTAGTAAAAACAAAACTGAACTCCTTCTCTTCATCCCTTCATCTGCTCCTCCTCTCTACCCCAATGCTCTATCTCAGTAAACAGTTATTAAATACCAGATCAGCCACAAATACAGGACTCATTCTTGCCTTCTTTTTAACCTTCATTCTAAACAACAAAGTCTTGTCTATTGTCTCTTGTTAATACTGCTCAAATCCATTCCCTCTTTTCTGTCTCCATTTCCATTGGCCTTACTCAGGCTTCCATCATCACTCCTGAGGATTATAACACCCTCCTGTACTGAGCTTCCTGCCTGCAACTTACACACATCCACCCATTCATTCTCCAATCTACGTTCAGAGGGATCTTTCTGAGATGCAAATATCATCATGGTCATTCCTTTGCTTAAAAGCAGCCAATGCTTTGCCCCTGCTCTAAGGATAAATCCCAAATTCTGTTATGAGTATTACCAGACTTGGTAGATCTAGTCCCTGCCTGCCTCTCCAGCTTCATCTGTGCATACTCTGCCTTTCCACCTGCTCCTTCCCCATCCTCCACATACACACAGTATATATATGAATTCCTGGGATGAGATGCTTGGTTTCCTGAACTCACAGGCTTTCTCTTTACTCTGAGTTTTCGCATAGAGCTCTGCTCATACTCTCACCCACCCTCCTTCTCTGTGGTTACTCATTTTGCTGGTCTAGGTTCTGCTTATGTTTATGACATCTAAAAATGTCAGCTTATTTGTAATTTCTTTTCTTTGTTTTTATTTATTTATTATTTTTTGGAGACAGGGTCTCACTCTGTTTCCCAGGCTGGCTCACTGCAACCTCCGCCTCCTGGGTCCAAGGGACTCTCCCACCTCAGCCTCCTGAGTAGCTGGGATTACAGGCACACACCACCATGCCCTGCTAATTTTTTGGTAGAGATGGAGTTTCACCATGTTGGCCAGGCTGATCTTGAACTCCCAACCTCAAGTGATCCACCCAGCCTCCCAAAGTACTGGGATTACAGGAGTGAACCACCACATCCAGCCTTCTTTGTAATTTCTTCAAGGATGTGTTTCCTGACCTCCAAATTTAGCCTGTATGGTCACGTTACACCCTATACTTCCTGTATCAAAGCATTTCACACTAAAAATATTGTTATATTATAATTGCTTATCTATCAAAATAATGTTATATTATAATTGCTTATCTATCTTTTTGTACTTTTATTTTAGATGTAAGCCCCATGCGGGCTGAGACTGTGTTTACATTGTTCACCAGTATACCCACAGTGCCCTGCACAATGCTCAAAAATGTTTATAGAATGTTCTTGAAAAATCCCGGTCAATAATTAAGCATTTGGCTGGGCATAGTGGCTCAGGCCTGTAATCCCAGCACTTTGAGAAGTCGAGGTGGGAGGATCACTTGAGCTCAGGAGTTTGAGACCAGCCTGGGCAACACAACGAGGCTTCATTTCAACAAAATATTTAAAAATTAGCCAGTTGTGTTGGTGCAGACCTGCAGTCCCAGATACTCAGGAGGCTGAAGTAGAAGGATCACTTGAGCCCAGGAGGTTGAGGCTGCAATGAGCTATGATCACACCACTACACTTTAGCCTGGGTGACAGAGTGAGACCCTGCCTCTGATGATGATGATAATAATAATAATAATAATAATAATAATAAAGTATCTGTAGAAGACTAAAATATAGATTATGTAACCTCTGAGCTCTTCATGCTTTTTTATGAGATGTAAATTTTCACGAAGAACTAACAAAGTCTTGGATACTTTACAATACGTTTTGACTGTGGTTAATGTTTTTCTTCCTCTCTTACATTCTACAACTGTAACTTGCATTCACCTTCCATAGATTCCCACAAGAATCATATTGGAAGAATATTTTGGCAATCTGCTTTTTCTAAGAAAATTCCTGTGGATAATGATTTGGCTCACATAGGAACTAAGAAACTAGCCCTTCCAAAAAAATGGGTGGAGTGCATTTTCCCAACATTTTTAACATTTTTTTCAAGACAGGGAATAATATGGATGGAAGAGAAGATCGAAGATTATCTCATTTGGAAATAACATATAGAGAAAGAGAAGTTTGCCAACTGTCTGAATATTTTCACCATGATGTCTTGGGCCAGTTGGTAATCTCTGTAATTTCTAACAAATGTAAAATGTTTTTGTGTAATTACAGTGTTTAAGAGGGTCTTTTGCAGTTGTCTGACCCTTTCTGAGAATTCCAATCAGAACATCCATCTGCTGCCAGTTAGTTTTCTAAAATCCAGCACTGATTATAACACCTTGGCTCACAAAACCCTTTGTTGGCTACTACAGTGGCTACAGAAAGAAAACCCAACATCATTTGCTTGGCTTGCATGACCCTATATTACAGGACCCCACCTCCCTTTGGGAGTTCATCTTTCCCAGGTCCCTCCATATATTTTACATTCTAGTCACACTGTATAACTTACCATTCTCTAAACACATCTTGTCCTTTCAAGCATCTATATTTTTCCCTATCTCTGCCATGTACCTGAATTTCCTTCTTCCTTAACCATCTTTGCCTAATGCAACATTACTTATTCTTCAACACTCAGTATTCCAGTATCTTTAGTGCTGGAAAAGCTAATGGGGACTCTAAGCTAGTGCAGCCCTCTAAGTGTTAGTCCAAGGCAGTTGAACTTTATCTCAAAGCAACAGATTCTGAGTAGACAGATGGTACATGAAAAGCAGTGTTCAGTGAACAAGTTAAAATAAACTAAGAGTCCCAAGGACCAGGAAATGTTGATATTCATATACTAGCCAATTATAAGGAAAAGTCATCAGCTCCAGGTTTCCTGGAGGATACCAGATATTCCCATTTTTTCCTCCTATCTGATATTTACACTCTTAACATGGTGTTCTGCTTGCCACACTGCTGGCCAGTTGTAAACTTCTGTTGGACACAGCAATCCAGACAAACAGATAGAAGTGCTTCTTACATCATCAGGCCCTTCTTGTGTCAGCTTTGATTTCTCAGGTTGCCACATTCATGACATCTGCCAAGATTTCCTAATCAGCCATCTGCAAACCAGCTTCATGCTGAAAATGAAAATCCAAATGAAAGCAGGCTTACTCAACACCTCAGTGATTTAAGAAAATCAGGCAATCTTTCTAGTCCATCTGTGTTATCTTTACTTGTAGTTTTTGTAAATGGAAGAATAGGAGGGTTGAAAGATAAAAATAAAATCACTTGGAAAAATTAGCTTAAACTTGAAAATCACTTGTTCTTGCAGTCATTGCATTATTCTGTGATAAATAAAAGCCAGTAATTTCCAATTGACAACATAATCGAAAACTATTTAATACAATAACAAGGATGTTAAATGAGTGCATATGCATTAGATACAAAAAGATCTGATGTTCTATAAAAGAAAAATGAAAACTTTTCAATTAAGAGAACTGCTTTCAAGAGATCCAAATTGTTTTAGAGTTCAAGTAAACATCTCTGGAAAGAAAATCAGCTTAAATGGATGTATTTTACTCATGCCATGTGATTTGTAATTACTTCAGAATTTCCAGTTGCTCTTCCCGGCTTGTCTTCTCTTTTCACATATCAAAGTTATCTGTCATAACTCAACAGAGAAGGGAAACGATGCCTTGCCTTCTCATGCAAGAGCTAGGAACTTTTTCTTGTCTCTTTGCTTCAATTACCCACCTAGGGAAAAGTTATCTTACTTCTTTGTAGGCATCATTGGGCTGTTAAATACAACACTTTTTAAAAAGTTAAGAAAAAAATGCAACGCTTAAATTTAGTTTAACGGTTTACAGTTTCTGACTTCCCCACTCCCCCTCCCAGCCAAATAGTGGGTTGTTTAATAGAATCTCGTTGGAGTTTCTGTAAACAGGTTTGCACTTGTGGCTCTTGCATGGGAAGGCTTTCTGGGATTGTGATATTTAAAAATGGTTTACAAATGGTGGGGCACGGTGGAGCATAGCTGTAATCCCAGCACTTTGGGAGGCTGAGGAAGGCAGGTCACAAGGTTGAGAGATCGAGGCCATCCTGGACAACTTATGGTGAAACCCTGTCTCTACTAAAAATACAAAAATTAGCTGGGCATGGTGGCGCATGCCCGTAGTCCCAGCTACTCAGGAGGCTGAGGTAGGAAAATTGCTTGAACCCAGGAGGTGGAGGTTGCAGTGAGCAGAGATCGTGCCACTGCATTCCAGCCTGGCAACAGAGTGAGACTCCATCTCAAAAAAAGAAAAAAAAATGGTTTATAAATTAAACAGTATGTCACCACCCTTCCCTAGCCTCTCAAAGATTAGCAGATGTGCCTGCACATATATTTTTTCTTTGTGGGGTGGGGGGTGGGCGGAGTTTTTGTTTTTAAATATTAGAATTTAATATGAATTTTGTTATTGCAAACCACCTCAACTCCTTGTGGGAAATAGTAGGGTTATACATTATCAATAAGTCATATGTGCACATTGGGATGTTGGAAAATAGTAGCATCTCACTCAATGACCTCCAAGGAAGTTTCCAAATGGAGTCTGTAGCTCTCTCCCAGGAGGCTTATTTGAGAGCCGGAGTGGTTGCAGGTGGATGCCACATGATTTCCTGCTTCTTGGTTTCTGGCCCTGATAGGGCTTTGCTGGAGACCTCCATTGGTTAAAAACTAACTTCCTGTAAGCATTTAAAGGAGCTTTCAATACATTAACATCCACCAATTGAAGTGAGAAGGTGAGAGAGAAGGAGATCGGAACAGAAAGAAGGCTTCCCTTTGAGAACTTGGTTTGACAGTTGGCAGGGAGTTCTCTGCTACAGAGGGTCACAACCCTAAGCTCTGCTTTGTGTTAGGGAGTCATGGCCAAGGTTTGTTAAAACAAAGCCACACACCACATCCTAGTGCCAAACGGGCAGGAGCTCTGGCCTGTTGCAAATGAAATCATTAGGAATTCCTTTGGAGTAAGAGTTACAGCCCTAGAGCTCTCTGTTGCTAAGCAAATGCAGATGTCTAATTGTGCACGTTGTTGTCTCCCTGAGACACAGCTTGGAGCATGTCACTTCCCTTTTCAAAATCCTTTAAGGCTACCACCCTCCTTGAACAAAGTCCAACATCTTCAATATCCCTTTCAAAGCTCTCCCCATTCTTCTCTATGCACTTTTTCTATCTCAAGCCACAATATTCCAAGTGTGCCAGGTATCCTATTAGCTGCAGGCCTTTGCGCAAGCAGTGACCTCTGCCTGGAATGCACTTCCCACCCCCAGATGTCCTCCAGTTCAAGATCCACTTTTCCCTCAAGGTCTAGCTCAGTGCCAGGCTTTCCCTCTCAGAATTAGTCTTCTCTTCTCACTCTGTTTCCACTCTATTCTAGCTTGCCTAATATCATCATTTTCAGGGACAATTAAAAGTTCAGATGCTTACATCAAAGACACCTGGGTTCTTCTCCCAGCTCTGCAGCTTGCTAAGTGTGATGCTGAGCAAGATGCTAATCTTCCCTAAACCTCCACTTTCTCCTCTGATAAACAGGAATTATTCTAAAATATGGTAGTTGTGAGGATTACATCAGAAAATATCAGAAGGAAAGCATTTCCAATCACTCCTGGCACCACAGACAAGTTTGCTATTATTATTTGTTTCTCTTGATAGGTTGTGCTGATTTGGGGCCATAGCTTATTTGACAGGTATTCCCAAAAGCACTGTGATTCCCACCTGGTATGTGCTAAGTGACTTTTTCTTGAATTAAGATATTTGTTGAGTAGATTCACAGTATGAAGCCAGGAAAATCACACCAAACAATGCAAATGAGTGAGCTCTCTGTGCCAGACTCCTTCAACAGTTGATTTGGTTCGAGCCCACTGTCAAGGCCTCCAGGCAGATTTCCTGAGGGAGCCACACTCTGCTTCTAATCCTGCTGCCTGGAGAGTAGACAAACACCAGCATGCCTCCTGGAATTATCCACACCTTCCCTATCACAACTAAGAAAAATGATAGAATTAACAAATCCCAAATAGCCCCCCTAAAGATAACTGTACTATTTTTTTCTCTAAAACTAAGTAAGAAAAAAACTGCAAAGAGATGATCTAGAGCAGTGGGTCTCAAACTTTTGGTCTCACGATCCCTTTATATTTTAAAAAATTATTGAGGACCTCAAAGAGCTGTACTTATGTGGGTTCTATCTAGCTATAGTTCATCGTATTAGAAACTGAAACAATATTTTAAAATATTTATTTTAAGGAGAGCAATAAACATATGTTAACATACATATTTTATGAACAATAACTACATTTTTGAAAACAAACCAAACAGTGAGAAGATTAGCATGTGTGTGTGTGTATGTGTGTGTGTGCAAATCTCTTTAATGTCTGGTTTTATAGAAGACAGGTGGATTTGTATTTCTGGTTTTGCATCGAATTGGTTGTGATCTGTTGTTTTGGTTAATGTATACGAAGAAAATTGACTTTATACAAATAAGTCATTAGAAAAAGAAGGACTCAACAAGGACAGCTTTTAGAGGTTAGTTGCCATGTAGAATCTGAAATATATTAATGAAACTTTGCACTGTTATATTTAAATCCATTGGCCAATCTTGCATTTGTGATGGATCTTTTACCATGAATGATGTTTTTACATTATGCATTGATCTCTTGGAAAATATTGGTTCATTGAGTTATACAGACCCTTAAAATAATACATTGTATTATTCAATATATAAAGCACCATTTTTCAGTATTACCAACAACCTCCTCAGAAAAGTCTCTAAATATTGGGAAGCTCTCAAGCTCAAAGCGGAAAATACAAGTTTCTAATTTTTTTCTTGAAAGCTCAATATTTTGCCATTGGCAATGGTTATCAATTGTTTTCCCTGAAATGACTGGCTCACGTGGTTCATTTTGAGCAAACAGCAAACACCAAACACCCAAGTCTGAAAAATCATGGTTTGTCTATCAGTAATTTTTCCCAATAAAACTTATGTTTCATGAACAGAAGCCAGTTCAGCTCACTATGAAAGAACCAATCACACAGTGATTTACCTTGCAAGATCTAGTATATGCCAGTGTGCATACAATACTTTATGTATACATCCCATTTCACCATGCAGAATAGTAAAAAGATACATAATCGAGAGTTGAGATTTAATAAAATGAATAATTTTTACTGCTTCATCAAGGTCCTTTTAAGCCAAACTGGCATTTTCTTTTTACTTCAAGTACATGGCAGTGAAGAACATGTCTCTAGCACATAGCTGACAGTGTTCAGCAGAGATGACAGGCCGAAACTAAGGAAGGAAGTCAAAATTGAAAAGATATTCTAAAAGAATATAGATCAAGAGAAATTTCTTCCTCCTACACTGGGCCTAGCACAGGTCTTTTTGTCCCTTTTCTTTGAGTTTTGTCCTAAGAGAACATGTCCTGTCCTTTTAGGACAGGATAAGGACAAGAGTGATACTTTCAGCTGTGACTTACAGAGTACAGCTGCAGGGCCTATGCCATCTGATATTTCTCTTCAAATTTGGTCACTTTAGAAAGGGACAAAAGCTGGGAACCAGGAGGCAAACTTAATCCTGAAACAAGATCATTAAAACTTTTAAATAGATTCCAGAAGGCTGGGTCTGTCAGCTCTGATGCTTCTTTCCAATCAAAATATTGAAAACAACTTTATTACAATGTTTGATTTACCGATCCAATTAATAAAATCTCTTCTTGCCTCCTTATGAATTTGTTATTTGCAACATGTGTTTTATGAAGTAACACTGGACTTCTTCAAGCCACTGATAAATCCAATGATCTTGTAAAAGGACTGAGCACAGCATGAAATCAAAGGTCACTCTCTGTTCAAAAAGAGCAACGATCCCCAGATAATGGCTTTTTCGAGCAAATTTTTTTTAGCCTTTGCCTTTGGAACTCACCATTGAAGTCATGGGACTCTGGTTCATGGTCTCACCATTGCACTGGAAAAGTCGATGAACCATATTATCTAAAGTATTGCAGAAAGGTAACTTGCTCCTAGTGGGTTAGGATTGGGCAGACTCCAAAGTTGTGCTCTTGAAACGTTGAAAAGACTCTTGGAGAAATCATATACAAATGAAATGATGAATGGGAAATCTAAATGAATCTGTCCTAACCCAAATTTCATCCTGAACATACAGAATGTATCTATTCTAGAGAAGCTTAGGTCATCAGATGTAATCATGTTATTCCAAGTTAAAAAGAGATGAGTAAATGACTAGTAGGCAGAGTACATTTTCTTCTCTTCATTCAGGTCAAATAATAGTTCCAGTATCTTTACCCTTGAGCAACAAAAGAAGTCCTGAGTCTATCCTTTTATACTGGAAATATCGTTGAATAAGGAGACAGAGGGCATGAGTTATTTTCTTGGCTTTTAACATTACTAGGTGTGACCTAGGCCAAGTTGCTCTGTCCTTCAGAGTGAAATGATCATCAGATTGTTCAGTTCCCCTAATTAACACATATAGCCCTCCAGTCTCATTCTCATACCTCAGAGAATCAGAGTTCACCCAAGTAAAATGGATTGTCCTTAAGATCTAGGTAAAAAAACAAACAAACAAAAAATGCCTTTAACAGGCGGCACACCTACCCTGCTTCCAATTTCCAAGCCTGTGGAAATCCAGAGTCTTTGTGAATTCTTGAGGGACTCAGGTTCTCCTGGTACCCTTACCTTCCAGGCACTTTGTTCTCTCACATGCTAGTACTGCCCCTCACCTTACCAGCTGATGGGAATTTCATCCCCACCTTTGCTTTACACACACACACACACACACACACACACACACACACCCCACACATATTTGTAATTTTCATAAAGTTTAGTGAAGATAATGAAAGTGCCAGGGCCAGGTCAGGGCCCAGAGATTGCAGACATTTTTTGGGCTCCTCTCTTAAAGAGACCTGGGTTAGAATTCTGGTCTATCATTTAGTTGCTTGATCTTAGGCAATTTGCTTAATCTCAAAGAGTACTCATGTCTAACTCAAAAGACATTACCTCTATTGTAGGATTGCTGTGAGAATAAATGAAATAATGCAACTCAAGTTTCTAAAAAATTTCCAGCCTTCCAAGGTCACCCTCTAAAAATAGATATAAATAAAAATAATATTGGAAGGTTCACATCTGAGAATATGAAGTACATTAAATATTCCTCCTACTAAGTACAACTAAAACCCCTGGGCATTATGCATAAAACAAACATAATAAGACTTTTAAAGATTGAGTGGGGAGCCTAGACTTCCACCCTTGCAAGGCTGTAATGAGCCACACCATTACCCTTTCCAGGATGATAATCAG
Source organism: Homo sapiens (assembly GCF_000001405.40). Classification (NCBI taxonomy): domain Eukaryota; kingdom Metazoa; phylum Chordata; class Mammalia; order Primates; family Hominidae; genus Homo; species Homo sapiens. The sequence continues at coordinate 110,996,212 of NC_000011.10, forward strand.
AAAAGGCCGGGAAAAGAACCAAGACTTTCACCATTACTCAACAAGGAGGCCACTCAAATTGCAGTGGTGGTGAAGACCACCTGGGAGCTGGAACTCCCAACCCCCACCAGCAGTAATGAAATGATATCTCCCCTCCTCTGCTAGAGCAGTACCAGAAAATATCAGCTAAAACATGTTTAAATAACATCCAGAGTCTCATGTCATAATATGAAAATGTCTAGGTTTCAACAAAAAAATCATTCATCATGCCAAGAATCAAGAATATCTCAAACTAATGAGGAAAATGAATCAATAAATGCCAACAGATTGGCAGGGATGTCAGAATTACCTTACAAAGATATTAAAGAAGATATTATAAAATGGTTCTAAAAGCAATTATAAACGCGCTTGGAATAGAGGAAGAAAAAAAGTAGAAAGCCTCAGCAAGTACATAGAAAGTCTTATCAAAGAAATAGAATATGTAAAGAGGACCCAGGTGAAAATTTTAAAATTGAAACAAACTGCAATGGAAGCAAAAAGCTCAGTGGATGGGCTCAACACTATAATAAATGAGACATAGGAAAGAATTCATGAACTGTATGATAGAACAATAAAAATTATCTAATCTGAACAATAGGAAGAAAACAGTCTGAAAAAAGTGAATGAAGCCTCAGAGACCCATGGGACTATAACAAAAGCTCTGACACTCATGTCAGTGGAGTTCCAGAGAGGGAGGAGAAAGAGAGTGTGTCTAAAAAGGACTCCAAGAAATAACTGCAGAAATTTCTCAAATTTGGCAAGACACATAAATGTACAGATTTGAGAAGCTGAGCAAACTCCAAACAGGGTAAACCTAAATAAATCAATGCCTAGACACATCATAATTAAACTTTTGAAAACTAAAAAAGAAGTCTCAAAAACAGCCAATGAAAAAACAAAAACCTTACCTACACAGGAAAAATAATTCAAATGTCAGTGGATTTCTCATTAGAAACCATGGAGACCAGAAGTAAATGGCACCATATTTTTCAAGTGGTGAAGGAAAAAAAAAGCAATTGTGAAACCTCTACTGAGTCTCACACTTTACAAAAAACATTACTCAAAATGGATCCCAAACTTAAATTCAAAATGTAAAACTATAAAGCTTTTAGAAAAGGCAGGATAAAATCTTGAAGGTTTAAGGCTAGGCAAAGATTTCCTAGATTTGACTCCAAAAGCATGACCCATAAAGGAAAAATACATAAGTTAGAGTTCATCAAAAGTAAAATATTTGCTCCGCAAAAGAACCTGTTAAGAGTATGTAAAGACAATATAGAATGGGAGAAAACATTTGCAAACCGCATATCTAACAAAGGACTTGTATCTAGGATATATAAATAATTCTCAAAACTAAACAATGAAAAAATCCAGTTGGATAATGGGCAAACGATATTTCAGTGAAGAATATTTGCCAATGAAAATGGCAAATAAGCACGTGAAAAGATTTTCAACGTCATTAGCCATCAGGAAAATGCAAATTAAAACCACAATCACTGCACACAACCACACAATCTCTGCACACCAGAAGAATGGCTGAAATATATATATACATATATGGCCATTCTTCAGCCATATATATATATATATATATATATATATATATATATATATATATATATTTCAGCCATTCTTCTGTGTGTGTGTGTGTGTGTGTGTGTATATATATATATATATATATATATATATATATATATATATATACACACACAACACCAAATCTGGAGGAAATACAAATAAACTAGATTACTCATAGGTTGCTACTGGGAATTTAAATGGTATAGACATTCTGGAAAACAGTCTCATGATTTCTTTAAAAACTAAACATGCAACTACTACACAACCCAGTAATTTGCACTCCTGGGAATTTATCCCAGAGATATAAAGATTTATGTGCACAAAACCTTGTGAATAAATGTTTGAAGCAGGTTTATTTGTAACACCCCAAAACTGGAAACAACCCAGATGTCCTTCAATGAGTGAACAGTTGAACAAATTGTGGTACGTCCATGCCATGGAACACTATTCCGCAACAAAAATGAATTATTGATACAACACAATGACCTGGATGAATCTCTAGAGAATTACGTTGAGTGAAAAAAGCCAATTTCAAAGACTATATATAGTATGATCCTATGTATATACCATTCTTGAAATGACAAAATTACAGTAGTGGTGAACAAATTAGTGATTACCAGGGGTTAAGGAGAGGACGGAGGCAGCAGGAGGGAAGTGAATGTGACTATAAAGGAACAGATAGCTTGATGGTTTATGTATGCTGGCAGGGAGGAGTTTTCCTGGGAGATAAAAATGCATTTGCTTTTACCTTAGGTAAATCCATGCAGTCTTTTATGATTTCTGCCTTTAGAGTTCTTAGAAAAATATATAGCACACACTGAGATTATATAGTAAAAGCCACCTTCTATTTTCTTCTATCACTTTTATGGTTTTGTTTTTCACTTTTAACTCAATCTCTTCATACACTGGGGATGGTAGATATGATGGGAGGTAGGATTCTGTTTGATTTTTTTTTTTCAAATGTAGACTTAGCTCTTCTAATACTCTTGAATAGAATGGGAGAAAATATTTGCAAACCACCTATCTAACAAAAGACTAGTATCTGGAATATATAAAGAATTCTTAAAACTAAACAGTGAAAAAAATAATTCAGTTGGATGATATGTAAAAGACATTTCAATGAAGAATATACACAAATGGCAAATAAGTACATGAAAAGATGTTCATGTGCTTTTATCACTAATTTGAGATAGCATCTGATCATTCAAAAAATTCTTACATTTACTTATACTGTGCATATTTTGTCTTTTATATCTGTCTCCTTTACATTTTTATTTATCCCTGTGTGTAAGAATCACTATCATAAGGCATTTAGGGCCAAGAAAATGTTCCCAGTGAGAATTACTAGTCACCTACCTTGCTATCCATGAACTCACTAGCTGGGTAAACTTTGACAAGTAGAGGTCTCTGAATCTCAGTTTATATACCTATAAAATAGAGCTAAAATACAATTCTACTTATTACATGTAGCATACTGAGATCCTCTTTCTTCAAAAGCTTACTAAGGCAAAATTTTGTAAGAAGTGATGATTACCTTGTTTAGCCCTTCCAAGCACCACCATGTTGTTTATAACAATCTTTACAAAAAAAAACTTTTGAATTTTGAGATAGTTTTGGATTTACAGAAGAAGTATAAAAATGGTACAGATAGTTCCAATATATCTTTCACTCAGCTTCTTCTTATGGTAATGTCCTATGTAACCATAGGACAATTATCAGAACTAAGTAACCCCAGTACAATACTAATGTCTAAACTATAGACTTTATTAAGATTTCACCATATTTTTCTACTAAGGTCCATTTACAATTCCATGATCCAATTCAGGATCCCATACTGCATTTACTTGTCATGCCTCCTTAGTGTTCTCCAATCCATGACAGTTTCTAAGTCTTTCCTTGTTTTTTATGACCTTGACACTTTTGAAGAGTACTGCTCAGTTATTTTGATAATAGCCCTTTTCTCTCAAAATAGTTATTTTTTAAATCAATAGCATATCATTGAGTTCCATTTTGTTTTTTCCAACAGCTTTATTAAAATATAATTGACAAATTGAAATTTTATATATTCATCACCTCACCTGGTTACCATTTGTGCATGTGAAAACATTTAAATCTATTCTCTCCACAAATTTCAAGTATATGACATATTTATTACTATGCTCCCCATGCTGTACATTAGGTCTCTAGAACTTATTCCTTCCTACATATGGGTGTGGCTGGTAGACACATAGAACTAAAAGCACCACTTTTTTTTTTTTTTTTTTTTTTTTTTTTTTTTTTTTTTTTTTTGAGACAGAGTCTCACTCTGTCATCCAGGCTGCAGTGCAGTGTTGCGATCTCGGCTCACTGCAACCTCCGCCCCCTGAGTTCAAGCGATTCTCCCACCTCAGCCTCCTGAGTAGTTAGGAGTACAGGCATGCACCACCACACCCAGCTAATTTTTGTAGTTTTAGTAGGGACAGGCTTTCACCGTGTTGGCCAGGCTGGTCTCAAACTCCTGGCACCAAGTGATCTGCCCATCTTGGCCTCCTAAAGTGATGGGATTACAGGTGTGAGCCACTGCACCCGACCTAAAAGCGCCACTTGATACTGATCTTTCCTACTGGCAGAGATGGGATTCCAGGGTCTTAATTATTATTTGTGCATTTTGGTTTCCACAGGCAAAATGAAAGGTAGGCTAAAAGCTTCAAGTTGTTTCCTAAAAGAAGAAGAAAAACGATGTAACTCTCTGCTCCTCTCCCCCCACACAACTGCAAAGGGTTAGCTTAGGACCATGAGTGAAACTTCCACACTTCCTTAATTTCACACATTATGCATAGTTACTATTAGCACATGTGCTTCCAATCACCCCCATCTTACAAACAGTGCAAATGTGGGTGCTAAGAGAATTGAACCTGCCAAACATATTTGACATCACAATGCCCTTGGAAAAGCTATCCGCTAAACCCGGATATATATGTACATCTCAGCAGTTCTATTTTATTAAACTCACAACATTTCCACCCAATTTAAACTCACTGTGATAGCACACGTCGTGACGGATTTGGGTGGTGGTTTCCTTTCCAGTTGGCTCTAAGAATAATGTATTAAGCCAGACCACAATCAGATGCCAAGCCCATGATTAGCTTTCTCTCTCCACTTGGGTCGCTTTTGTTTTTTGAGCAGATATGCAGTGCTGGATACAGCCATTTGTGGGTGGGCTGAGGATGGGCTCTGTTAAAAGAGATGTGATAATGGCTGTGAAAATCCATTTTAAGTGCTGCAACCCTTGTTGCTTTAAATGTTATCTGTGAATTTCCTGCTAAGGGTTGCATTTCTGTAATAGTGATTGCAAACTGGTGGCCCCTGGGCCAAATATGGCTCACAGATGTGTTTTATTTGGCCAGCTCAGTGTTATAAAAGCATCTGAATTTGTGGCCAATATTTACATATTAAGAGATGCTACACAAAAATCTAGATTTCGGTCTTCTCATGAGAAACTCGATGTGACCACATTGGGCCCACTTTTCCATGTGGCAACAATTGGCTGGGGCTGAGTTGCAGCTGGCTCTTTGAGACAGAGTATGTACCATCTGGTTAGCATAATATCTATCCAGCTCACTTCTCCCATTTAGGTAACTTGCTGCATCTCTGTGAGTGTTTAGATTTTCAACACTGGTTTATCAAGATCAAGAGATCAAAGATCAAGAGATCTTAATTATCTAAGCTTCTGGTTAGACCAAGTAAGAAAATGCATGATGAGAAAAGAAAAAGTATGATAAGTCTTAGTCTAGGTTTCTTCAAAAGTAGACCTTGAAAGAAGGATTCAAGTGCAAGTAGTTTATTTGGGAAGTGAACCCAGGAAACACTGGCAGGGAAACCCAGTAGAGCTGGAGAAGAGAAGGCAACCATAAAGAATGTAATGTGAAGCAAGTAACTGCCGTAGTCACCTGAAGCTTCATCCTCCTAGAGGATTGTAGGAGATACTGTAAAGTAGGAGCCTCAGAGTCACCCCAGCAAGGGGCAAGAAAGTAGGAAAATTCATTTGCCATTTCCATCAGGTATTGGTTGATGGCTCTCCGAAGTAGCAAATCAGCATTTCTAGTCTTCCATGGCTGTGCACAGATTGTCTCTAGAAGTCAGAGAAAGCTCTCAGGCAAACGTGCCCCAAATTGTAAATTAGTGCTATAAGCACTGAAATGTAAGACCCAGGGGGATATGTGAAGGGTACCAGCAGTACCAGCCACAACATGCTTCCAAGGAAGGGTGCAATGATGATTTTGTCCCAGAGAATAGAAAGGAAGCACTTGGTATTTGCTGACCAGCAACACAAACTTTCTCTCCCTCATGATAACTGCTCATCCTCTGGAGCAAGTCCTAAAGTCCCCCAAATAGGCCTTCACTTCCTGCTGCTCACTTCTAGTTCCTGAGTAAAAGGATGTATCATCCAAACTGTCCAAAGCAAAAGAATCGTAAGGATACTAAGAGTGTCTTTTGAAGTTGACAATGGGCCTTCGTCCCCTTATTCTTGGCTTGTATTTCTTTATTCCAAAGCAAGGACATTTCAGCACTTTCCATAGTGAGCCAATGATCAGAATCCAGATGTGAGTAGGCTGCCTTCATTTTCTGATTGCTAACAATGGTGAGTCATATGAGGATTGGATGTGACTCAAACATGAGCCCAGTGCATGTGAATGCTTCAGTCATGCCAATGTTTCCTTTGGTGAGAATCCCTCCTAATGTCCAAGCATAGCGATATGTTTATAGTAATTGTTTTTCACTAGAATAGCAGAAAATTATGTTATGTAACTATTTACATTGATTTTCAATTACTAATTGATCCAATCCTGCTGCTATGACAACTGGCGGCACTCAGTTACCCGATGAAAACTGACTATAATCTCGTAAAGAATAAGGGCAATATTGCCAGCACTTACAATCTGCATGTAGACAGTAGGTTCTTGATGAGTCCCATTACTCATTCTTTGCTGTTTGGCACATCATAAGTGCTTAAGAATTGTATATTTGCTCCACATTTCTCTTCCTCCCTTTCTCTCCTCCCTTTTTGCCTCAGTTTATCATTAGAGGTGGAATCGGGGGTTCATAAAAGAACATTCTAGATCATGATATGTAGAAACAAGTTAAATGGGGTGGGAAACTACTAATTCCTTGAACATTAGGTGTCTAAGAAGGGATTTTTTTTTTTTTTTTTTTTTAGGTCCAGTATGTTTTCCTGATCAGGGAAAGACTCTAAATGGCAACAAGCTGGGCTAGACATAATGCCACTTCAAGCCCTGGGTAGCCATAATATTCGATATTGACCCTTGGCTTATGGAATTTTTTGTCAAGTTGATTTTCTCTTTGGGGAAACCTTCTTAATGTGATTTTATTAGGGTTAAACTGTAATAGCACAGAAAATTATTAAATACATAGCAATTATATTCAGATTCAGGTACTCAAGAGAAACTGTACAAAGTCAATCCACATTGATGACATTGTTGATTATTATTTTGTACAATTGTTCAAGAAGAGTGTGCCCATTCAGAATTGAGCCAAATAAAACAGTTGACCCTTGAACAACATACGGGTTATGGGCACTGGCCCACCAGACAGCTGAAAATCCACATATAACTTTTGACTTAACTACTACTAATTTAACTACTACTTAAATACTGCTAGCCTTCTTTTGACCAAGAGCCTTGTTGACAACATAAACAGTAGGTTAACCCATATTTAGTAGGTAGCATATCATATGTACCTACTGTCTCAAGGTGTCTTGAGACACCCTTGCTGTCTCAAGGGTGGCAGAGATGGAGGAAAATCCATGTATTGGACCTGTGTGTTCAGTCCATGTAGTTCACGGGTCAACTACAGAACATTGATTCTCAAGTGGCATGGAAGATGTGAGTGTCAGTAAAGCTGTGGGCAGGGGAACTATAGTGAGAAAACATGCCAGAATCACCTGCATAACTTTTTCAAACTACAAGTCTGCTCACAGCCTGGTGCCTGATTCAGGGAGTTCTGGTCTGGTATGTCACTGAGCAACAACCTCTGGAATAAGGATGCTGTGCATGCCTAAAGAAAGCATAGGTTCTTCTCTCTGCTTATCCCAGGGTGGAGGGGCCTCCTGTTGGCAAGAAGTGCCCTGGACATAACAGGACTGCCTTCCCAATGGGGGTATCATGTATTGCTCAGGAAGGCACAGAGCCAGTAGCCTCAATGAAGGGCAAGCCCCTCTTTGTGCAGACCCCACTGGTTATGACTCTGAGGCTCACAGAAAGTTCCACTCACTGAAACCCCACCAGAAACAATCAGTCCCAATATAGTGTGAAAGAAGAGCTTCACTTAAAAACCATCATTAAAACTTTCACTCCCACTATCACTATGTTGTTAGCACCCTCAATTAAAGCAGAGATTTCCCTCCTGGAAATCACTATGAGTCTGTTACAATCACTAGGTCCCTGATACAATGAAAATATTTTCCTTGAAAGAGGCAACATTCATCCAGAATTACCATTGGACCTATATTTCATATGAGGGATATTGCTTATAACCTCTCATTGAGTACTATGCATCCGTTATAATAATTCTTGAAAACCACTATAGGATGTTGATATTCTTATTCCTTTCTGCAGATAAGGAAACCTAGGTTCCATTAAGGTTCAGAAACTTGCCTCCAAGATGTCATAGAGCTATTAGGTGTAAGACCCATCACTCCTGTACACCAGTGTGGATTATCTCAGGCAAGCCATCATTACCTACTAGGGAGGAAGGAATGGTCATAAGAGAGATGGGGACAGCTCCAGCATTCTGTATATGGGGGTCTTCGGGATGACAATCTGGTTGGGGCAACATGGAGGTGGTTTTTTTTTTTCTTTCCAGAAAATTCTCTTGGAAGCTATGGTTACATTGCAAACTCATATTTTAAAAAAACTCAGTTGGAGTGACTTGAAGAGGAGATTGATGGAACTTGTAGGGGAGTCTAAGATCACCAACCACCCCTGAGTAATGACCTTAAGCCACCATTAGGTTTATCCAATAGCATTTGTTTAAGCAGTTTCCATGTGCCAGGCTCTATGCTGGAAACACACAGTTGGCCCTTTGCTTAAGTCACTCAAGAAAACCAGGGGGAAAGAAGTAGCACTGACAAAATTATGTCATCATTTGAAAGGTGGCAATTCAGAAATATCCAAGATTCACAGTAAGAGTAAATCCTATGGCTTTCCTTTTTATGGTTCTAATCTAAATGATCATTATCATCTCTCAGGACTAGAGATTTTATTTTTCTCACAGAGTATGTGGTCTCCAGGCACACAGCTTGCATAAATCCTGAACACATTCCTCAAGGCTTTATGATGTGTGTGTGTGTGTGTGTGTGTGTGTGTGTGTGTGTGTGTGTGTGTGTGAAAGAGAACAGAGAGAGAGAATGTTACAGGGAGGATGCATGACTCCCTGCTGTGATCTGACAACATTCAGGAAATTTAGAGTTAACATTCTTACAGTCAGCAGTCGCATAGGAGACTGGGCCTCAATCTCTGCATTCCTGGGCTGTCGTCGGCTTCACGATTTCAATGTGCCTCAGTGTCTGTTTTGTATTTAACTCTGCCCCACATATAACACCACAAGACCTGTCCGTGGTTTTGCTGTTAGAGAATGGTTAATATCTAAAGAGGGTGGGTGCCCTCACCAAGCACCCCCAGGGGAGATCTCAAGCTAGAAAGATAATGATCACTTTCATGGAGAAAACCACACAGGCACAAACACCAGAAACTGATATTTAAACCCCGAACTCATAAGGGACCCCACGTTTTCCCATTAGCTGGCTTTGTCTGTTTCTCCTCATCAGCAAACATATGCTCTCCATGGAACCAGCCCAGCCCATCTGAACCAGTTACTATTTCTGTAAGAAGTAGGAGGGGGAGGAGAAAGGGAGAAGAAATTTTACATTACCATTCTCATGCGGTGCTATAAATATTTGCCACAGAAAGCCATGAGGTCTCATTTGCATGAATGATACCACAAAAGCCAACTGTGCCTCTGTGAACTAAGGCCTCTCTCACTCTGTCCTGAGTGCACTGCTTAAATATTGGGGTGGGCTCTTTGATTAGAGAGATCTTAGTTTGACTCCCAGCTCTGCAACATAACATTGTATGACCTTGAGAAACGTAATTGACTTCCATTTCCCAATTTCAACTATCCCATTCTCTCACTACCGTCTTCTACCTGCCAATTCCCTGCCACCACCAGTAGTTCAACAACACTTTGACTCCTACCAAGATCTTGTTTTATTGATCTATACAAGTGTTTCACCATCCCTTACCTCTTGCATGGCCTCCTTTTATTCATTATTCATTTAAAAACGCCACGGCCATTCAGTAATTCTTGAGTGTATTTTTAATTTCCTTGTCCCTCTCCTTTGGCATATTTGCTTGGCTAAATGAGAAACCTAGTTACATCCACCTCTTTGCCTCTTCCTCACCTGAGCCTGTAGCGTTGGACATGTTTGGAGAAAAACACATAATCTTACTGACTAGTCTCATTAAGTTTATGACTACCATCTTCAGCTGTGCCTTCTGCTGCCTGGCAACCACTCTGCCTCCCTAGCCAGTTCACTGTCTCATTTTCCTAGCTGAGGATCTCATACGTCCTCTGTTCTCTTAAACCCCCTACCCCCACTCTCCCTCTCAATTACTGGCTTTGCTTCCTGCTTTCCCGAGAAAAATGAAGAGAGAATTTCCACAAACTCCCACTTCCGCCTCTACCCATCTCCCTATATCTCATTTCTGTTAATGTGGATGAACACACTCTGCTCTCAGCTGAGCAAACCTTGCCACTTCTTTCTCTCGTGCATCATAGGATTTTTTTTTTCTGTATTCAAACTGTTCCCATACTAGCATGCTGTTATTCCGTTTTACTAAAAATCTTTCTTTTGACTCCACTTTCCTCTGTAGCTATAGCCCCCATTTCTCCCTTTCCCTTTATAGCAAAACTCTTTGAAAGAGCAATCTATACAATAGTTACTGTCTCTAGATTCTCCCAACTCTTTCTTGAACACATTCAAATCAGGGTTTTGCTCCAGTGAAAGCATTCTTATTAAGACCACCAATAACTTCCATGTTTCTAAATGTAATGCTATGCACTCGGTAGATATTCTTGAATGATGAATGAATCACTCTAAACCTCATTTTCTTCATATGTAAAATGACATAATAATATCTACTTTTGATATTTGTTGTGGTGACTGATGTACTATAGGCAAAGAATTTCAGAGTAAGTGCTAAATTATATATTAAGCAAAAGACGTTTGCTACATTTTGAGAGGAAATATTTACCTGCAAAGACTCTGCAGCTTCTTTCAATGCTGAACCTTCAGTGAAAGGTGTTGCCCACACCAGTAACCACCCCTTGCTCTTATGAAAAGATTTCCTCCCATTCCTCTAAAGATGGCAACTTTCATTTTCCTAAATTGGATATTAAACTTTGATATGTTGGAAGATGTGAATGTATGTTGTTTGCTGATGAAATTGTGGGGCTTCCTTCCAGTGAGGGGAAGGGCGAGACATCTGGGTTGAAGAGACATCAGCACACTGAGTTTGTTCATTAAGTAGGACCTCCAATATATATGCAACCATTTGAAAATAATTGAAATCTGTTGGGGAAGAGAGAAAGAGAGAGGCATGCAAGGATAGATGGCTGATAACTGAGCACTGCACCTATTTGGTTGAAGACAGTAAAAGGACGGAATGGTCCAGCCAAACTCATTGGCAAGTAGGTGAGCCAGGGGAAGGACTCTAGATTAAACATTTCTCTCCAAGACTCCCATCATACCCTGCTGGAGGGAATATGCATTCCTAAAACTTTTGGGGCCAATTTGACAACATGTTTTTAAAAAGTTTGAAACACGCATGTTCTTTGATCTAGTCATTCAATTTCTAGGAATTTATTCTAAGGAAATAATTATAGATAAGCACAGAGGTTTAGTTACAAGACAGTTTGCTACAACATGGCCCATACTATGGTTTAAAAAAAAAACTAGAAAAATATAAATGTTTACCAATAAGGAATTGGTTAAATACATCATTTATTCAGTTTAATGATATTCAATGAAGTCATTAAAAATATGCTGGAGATTATATTACATGATGTTGAAATATGTTCACAATACATTGTTAAGTGAAAAAATCAAGTTGCAAAACATTATGTAGAGAATGATTTACATTTTTATAAGTTTTTAAGAAAAAAGTTTGAGAGACTTTGTAACCAAATAGTAATAGTTGTGGGATTACAAGTGATTTTCATTTTCTTCTTTTTACTTATTTATATTTTAAAATTTTTCTACAAGTGTGCATTACTTGTGTAGTAAAAGTTAAATCCATAGAGAAAAGTTCTCTCTCTAGTCAGTATAGGACCTTTTGTTCTTTCTCCTGGCCCCTAATGATCATATGCAAATGGACCGAGACTGAAGATACACACAAGTTAATAGGCATACAGCAAGAGGGGAGTGACTTGATATTTTTAAAGAATGTCCATCCATCATTCATTTGCCAAACATTGATGTGTGAACCATGTTTGGCACTATACAAGTATCTAGCCAGCAATGAGATTAACGTGGCCTCCCATCCTCATGTAGTTTTTCATTTACTAGAGAAAACAGATAGTAAGCAAATAATTATGCAAATATGGGAATTGTTACAGAAGAAAAATTTAGTTGTAACAGAGCACATAGAAGAATTTAACCCAGTCTTCAGGGTGAAACTCTTCGGGTTTTAGATACATGGGAAGGAGCACTCCGGACTGATTTCTGCCTTTCTGATTTCTCCCATGATGTGTCTAAGGGAAACTGCCAGTGTGATCGGACTGGACAATGTCCTATTGCTGGTCTCTAGAGTTATTATAGAATCACAGTTCCCAGCCATTCCACTTGTCAGGAGCCAGGAGACCTGCCTGGTTCAAGTCCCAGCTCTGCCGCTTCTAGCTGTGTGACCTCATACAAGTCACTTCATGTCTGGTTTTACTCTCAATATTTACAGAATGAGCTGATTGGTTTAGACAACTCAACAACAACAAAAAGTCTGGGACTGTATGACTTCAGAGGGCCAGAAAGACTCACAAGAGAGGGAAGAGACCCTGGCTTGGGAACGGGTCCAAGGGTAACTAACCCGCCTTGGTTAAGGTGGGGTGGGAAAAATTAGAGAAGATTCCCAGAAGGGGACTCAGGTCTTGAAAGATGAACAGGAATTTGCCAACACGGGATCCTGAGGCTGGGGCCAAGGCCTGAGTGTTCATGCGGCAGGAGCTCAACTGAGGTACAGGAAGAGGGGCCACTGAAAGTGAGTGTGGAGAGAGGATTGTGCTCTAAGGCAAAGCAGAACCATCAACGTTTGAAGTAAAAAGAACTAATAGAAACAGATCTGCCTATGGTGTTGAGGACATTTGAGAGGGCCAGGCTGGAAGCAGGGATACCAGTGAGAAGACTGTCGGAATAGTGCCCAGTCAGAGTGAGACACAAGAGGAGGAGATGGGAGAGAACATGAAACTGGACACTGCAGGTGGAGACGGGGCTTGGCAGCCAGCTGACCAAATTCAGGGAGGCAGGCGCGTGGCCTGGTCAACTGGACAGACTTATGGCAACCAGGAGGAGGGATCGGCTTGGGGTGGGAGAAATTATGGATTCCACATTGGTCACATTCAGTTTGAGATGCTGTTCAGAAGCTGAAGTGGAGATTTCCAACAGGGAGTTAGATGTTCAAAAGCCCCAGAGGTAGGTCTGTGTGGAAGACATATTTGAAAGCCTCAGCTTAGTACCCATTCATTGAAATCATGAGCATAGGCAAGACCACCAGTGAGGAAATGGGACCAGCAATGAACTTCAGGAAACTAATATTTAAGGAATACATGGAAGAAAGGGAGCTAACAACAGCGAAGCTCGAAACAATGGCCAGAGAGAGACAGAGACAGAGAGAGAGAGAAGAGAGAGAAATAAAATAACTGAGTTGTTTTACTCTTTAATTCCTTTCTTTCTTGTTAGAGGACCAAATGCAATATCACATTTAGTTATCTGGGGAGAAGAAGGGTCCTTTTGAGTTTGTCCAGGTAGGGACAAGGGAGAGGTGGAATATGGGGAGTTTGTGGGGGCAAGGGGAGATGAGGTAACTGGGCATTATCCCTCTAGCCCAGGGTGGATTGAGGGATGGGGGAAGAAGGCTGTGCCACACCATACACTCCTAGAAAAAGAGAGATGGGACATTTCACCTGGAGAAAGATATTTGTTGTTTAGTTTATGACACAGGTGGAATCATCATTAATTCCTGGGACAGAGAACCATCTCCTTCTAGCAAGTTCTCCTTGAGGCAATTTCAGATTCAAGTCTGGAAGGGATTGATTCAAGTTATCTAGATATGCTTTGGCTCTGAATAGAGCCAGAATCAACATATTTTTAGGGATGAGCCTGAGATCCACGTTCATCAGCGAGAAGCCAGCACTGCAGGCAGGCCCTGATTCTGTAACACTCAGCCCACCCTGCATATAAGCCATGGCACCCAGGGCCACGAGAGGGAGGCTGGGTGGGATTCTCTGAACTTCTCCCTGGACAGGTGGTCACATGTCATATAGGGTTATCTCCCCTCACAAGAGTGTAGTGATGTCTAATTTCATGATCTGTGCAATTTGACCTTCAGGAAAGAAACTTAAGCAGAAGTGGGCTGTGGATTTAGAGGAGAAGGATGGTAGTGTGGGTATCAAAACCAACCCTTTGTCTGTGCTGTGCAATCCAAAGAATGAGGATAACTGCCCAAGTATGAGCTGATGAGCATGCCTTTTGTCAACAACTGTTTAGTGGCTCTGCTAAGGAGGCAGCTCCCATGGTTAATGACCCACAGAGTAATAACACTGCATACACTTAAGTGCTAATTGTGCACTGGGGAAAATTCAACAGCATTTTCGGGAAGAACAAAGTGATTTTCAGGCCTTCAGGATTTGCTACTGACACTCAGATAACGTGGCTTCTCTAACTGGGGAACAAAACACGTGGATGTTCTGACTGGGGAACATCCAACACGTGGCCCTTCCTGCTGCCTGAGATAGGAGCCAGGCACGAGGCTGCACTCTCCCCTCCAGGCTGTTTCTCTGGAAATAGAGACCCCTCTCTTCCCCACAATATGGTTTGTACTCCCTCTTCTGCCCTCTGAGCCCCACCCCTCAGGACCTTTGTACTTGCAGTTCTCTTTGCTTGTACTCTCTTCCCTCAGATACCCCTCAGGCTCACCTACCATCTTTGAGTGTCTGTCCAGTTGCCACATTACTTTTAAGTGACTTAGAATGGCAAATCCAGTTCTAAAATGGCGGCCTGCCAAACTGGCTTGGTTTCTAGTTTATCTCACTGTCATGCATATGGGGACCCTAAAACACATCACAATGACTCAGAGACTGAAACTCTGTCCCTTTCTCTTTTTTTAGCTCATAAAGCCAGTCACACAAGGCATTTTTTTGTATAAGAAAGTTCACTTAAGTTTCAAGGAAGATGGATGTCATCATGGTTTGCATCACAACAGGGCAAACAAGTTTTATATTCAGGACAGTGTATAATGAACTCATACATTGAACATCAGACATCCCTATTTGTAAGTGCTTTTGGCCACTCACCTCTGGGGAGATTTTATGAGCCAATTTAATCCCATTGAACAACTCTGCCTTCTTTTCATGCTTCTGTCTTCTCTCTCCCTTCCCTCAGTCTCTATGATCCCTTTCTCTTCCCATCCCCATTTTTACCCCCCTTTGGAACTCAAATTTCTTTCTCATTCTACTATGAAGAGCAATTCAATTCTCTCCAGCTCCTACTCACAACGTCCAGGCCCATTTTTGTAGATCTAAGCCCATTAACATGCACATCAGAATGAAAGGGACCTTCATTGAACAAAACCCCATCTTCCTCTGACTGCAACTGCACCTGTTATAGTAATAGCTTATTTCTGTTCTCATGGAAAAAAAAAAGGTTCAGTTTTAACCTATAAAGCAGGACAGCTGGTGGTAGGCCCATTCTGCTATTAAAAACAAGAAGTCCTTTGTATGAGTTTATTACACATTGTCCTGAATATAAATGTGGTGTCTCCACAGGGAAAGGTTCTAGGAGACAGATAATTTGGCAAATGTTACAGTCATCTAGGTAATAATGTCATCAGTGCCCCCAGGTGAAGGAGATGATAGCACAAGACACCAAGACAAGTCAGCCTCAGAGAAGGAAGAGATTTACTTGAGAGTCTGTTTATGTGCTTTACAGACCAAAGGTACCAGGAGCACATTCCTGCATCCCCTTGGCAGAGGTTCTGAGTAGCCTGTGATGCTCAGCACATAGTAGGTGCTCAATAAATATCATAGATTGAGGGCCAGGCACGGTGGCTCAGGCCAGTAATCCCAGCACTTTGGGAGGCCAAGGCAGGTGGATCACTTGAGGTCAGGACTTCAAGACCAGCCTGGCCAACATAGTGAAACTCTGTCTCCATTAAAAGTATAAAAATTAGCCGGGTGTGGTGGGCATCTATAATCTCATCTACTCAGGAGGCCAAGGCAGGAGGATTGCTTGCACCCGGGAGGCAGAGGTTGCAGTGAGCTGAGATTGCACCACTGCACTCTAGCCTGGGCGATAGAGTGAATGAGACTCCATCTCAAAAATAAAATAAAATAATAAAATAAAATAAAATCACGGAGTGAACGGAGGACTGAAGGAATGGATGGCCCCATTCACTGAGTAAGTTCCACCACAGCAGGTGTTTTAATAATGCACCAGTTGGAAAGTATAGCAGAAATGATTCCATATGGATGTGGACAGTCTGCATTTTCTACAGCACAGGCAGAGACAGGACCGTGCAGGACAGCGCCAGGATAGCTGGGACATTAGACACATTTGGCTTTAACACTTCCTAAGAAAGAAATGGATCTGGACAGGCTCAGGCATGAGTAAGTGCATTCTCAATTCTCCCTCCAATCATTGCAAACCAAAGGCATGATTGTATTTGTCTGGGATTCATTTTCAAAAAGCATAACAAAAATCATATATGGACCTGAACCAGGGCAGACTAATGAATATTGATTTTTTTTTCCTTCTGTGTGAAATCTGAATATCTCTCTTTGGTAACATTGCTCATTTTATTCTTCTCAGATGCTGGCTGAAGCATGGGCTTTGGAATCAGACAGAATCTGGATTCACCACTTATTGATCAGGTAATCTTGAACAAGGTACTTAATCCCTCTGAGCCCCTGTGTCATGAGTTGAAAACTAGAGAGAACTGTGCAGCTGAGAGAATTATTGTGGAAATAAATAAGACATCTGTGAAAGTACCTAAGCAGAGTTCTGACCATATTGGGTGTTCTCCATAAGTCATAGATCCTCTGAATGAACAATTAATAAAGAAGTTAGCATTGCTTCTCAATGTTCCAAAATATTGCTGTGATAAAGATACGTGCGAAGTACTGCAGACACAAGAGAGTACCTCTAAGTCTGTCTCAGGGCACAGGAAAGCCTTTGGGCAGGAGGTGGCCAGTGAGCGTGCATGTGCGTGTGTGTGTGTGTGTGTGTGTGATACTGGGTAGGGAGTGATCATTTCTGAAGCTGGAATTCAAACCCAGGCGTATGTCTAACTCTACAGATAAGGGAGCAGAAGTGGATCCCATGGAAAAAAACAAAGGGCATTTAGGCAGAAGGCACATCATATAGAAGAGCCAGGTGAGTTGAAAGTATTTTACAGACTCTAGAAATAAAGGAAGTTTCATGTGAAAGAGAATAAAAGGTGGGTGGTAGGTGGTGAGGCTGGAAAGGGAGGCAGGGACATCTCGAGATGTGGGGACAGTTGTGCGGTAGCAACTGACACGGCCAGGTCTGTGTGTAGCAGGAACACTGGCAGATCGTAGAGGCTGGCTTGGAGTGGGGAGAGGCTGGAGACCAGGAGATTTATCATCATCACTCAATTGAGTCATTAATACTAAAAACAACTATCTTTTATTGAGCTCCTGTAACCTGCCAGACAGGGCACTTAGACAGTTTTCATGTTTCATCTCTGGCCCCACAACAACTCTGTGAGGCAAACACAATTATCCCCAATTTACAGTTAAGGAAACCAAAATGTTGAGCAGTTAAGGAATTTGTCCAAAGTCATATAATAAATAATTTCTGAAGCTGAAATTGAAACCCAGATGTGTTTCTAACACTCAAGCCTCTGCTGTCCTGCGTCTCCTGGTCAGCAAACATTTGGAAAAGTGAGCCCCATCCTCAAACCACAGGCTGCTGGAGCAAGACTCTGCTCTGATGGCAGCCGCCTTCCTGCCTGTTTTTGACCCCCATTTATGGCTGTGGAGTGACATTGCCCCCTCAATCCCTACCTACCCGATGCATACAGATATGCACACACAAACACACACACACACACACACGTATACCATATTTTGACCCCGATTGCTGCTCTTGCTTAAACTACATCCTAATTCTGTCTCACTTCTTGGACACCATGCTTTTGCTGAGTCTTCCCTGAGCATCTGCAGTTCTAACTATCCCCTCTTGCCTGCTCCACCCTAGGGGGGGGCCCAGATTCTTCATCCTCTGTCCTCCCAGTCTGGCCATTCTGAAATAATGTTTAGTCCTTTCCACATTGCAGGATGGCAGAAGGAACAGAGAAGGAGGCACTGCATGGGTAACTGGAAGTGTGGCAGGAAGAGGAGAGCAAACAAGTGACAACAGATTTGCAGCTCTTGATCAAAGGCAGCTCAAATAAGATAAATCACTACATAGAGCATTTTTAATGAAAAGGGCTTTGCTGTACATCATTCTTTTCTTATTTTTACCCTAAAGGGACCATACCAAAAGTTGCTAGAGGTATTCCCAGGCAAAGGAGGCAGCATATTGAGTGGGAAGACATTGTGAGGCCGAGCACCTGAATGGAAGCTGCCAACCAGCCCGCCTCCCTGCCTCCCACCCTTCCTAAAGTTATTCTCTAGTAAATAGCCCTCCCACCTGGATTGGCACCTATTGAAGGGTGACTGATTATCAGAAACAACCCAGCATGGGACCTCTACTTACATAACTACAGAAAAGGAGAAAAGAAACTGATCAAACACAAATATAAACAACAACTTTCCAAAAATGTCTATCTCACCAAACAAGCAAATTTCACTTTGCAATGGACATCATCAACTAAGTAGAAGGAAATGTATGCTTTTGAAGAAAGATTTCAAAAAAGGAAGTTTAAAAAGAAAGAATAAGGAAGAGAAAGTAGGGCAAGATAGCGGATAGTGAGCAAGAAAAGTTCAGGAGAAAAGTTGAAGAAAGAAATAAACCCATCAAATGTTCAAAATAGCAAAATATTAGAATAGACACTAATTGAAAAACAAAGACATGGAGGACTGGCTTGAAACAAAAACATACGAATAAAAAATATTATCAAATTATGAGATAAAAGTCATTAGACAGTAAATTACTGGTACGCCAGTAGAAGACAGACTAAAGACATCAAATTTTGAATCAGAGTTAGGAAAAAGTAAGAACAGGACAATTAGAACAAAAAAATTCAAAAATACCTGAAAAGAAAATTACCATGAAATAAATAACAGAAATCTAGAATTTATACAGATTAAAATGGCATATTATAGCTCAGAAAAAATAGTGATACAGAAAAACCAGCTCTAAGATACAGCCTAATGAAGTTTTCAGACTTCAAGAATAATAAAAGAATTCAGTGAAATTCAGCATTCCTCATCTCCCACACACAAATATTCACCTATGGGGAAAACTGATGATTCCTCCATATTTAGTACTAGAAAATAAGGAGTGACTCAGATTTGCTTTCAAGTGTAAAGAGAGCAGATAGAATTTTTCAAGTATGCAAGAGATCAGGAACAAAACGCCTACGTGTCCTTCTGTATAAACTAGGTATAACTAAATGGTGGTTCAAAGTTGATATAAAATAATCAATATATAAAATAAGCAGAAAAATACAGAAAAGATTTCATTTTTATTTATATTAAGAAATATATCTAGAAATAAACTTAAAAAGAAAATGTGGAAGACATATGAAAAAAACCTACAGGAAGAAATCTTTGCTGAAAACCAATAAAAGCTTTATATAAAGAAAAAGTTATATTTTTACAGATACATTCCCTATTTTAAGGATCATAATGCTTCCTAAATTAATGTATAACTACAATTTTATTACAATCAAAATACTAACAGGCATTTTTTTAGAACTTGCAAGCTGATCTTAACATACAAAAGAAAAATTTAACATGGAGATATAGCCAGAAAATTTGGTTAAAAAAAGAAGCACAAAAAAGGGGGGAATGGCTCTAAATTACTAAAATGTCTCCAGTAATTTATAAAATTTGATGCTGTCACAAGTGTAGATAAGCAGTTCAGTGGAATGGAATAAAGAGTCTAGAAGCAGACACAAACACACTTGTAAAGGAAGCCCATTAATGGAGTTTAGATGACTGACTGGCTATGTAGAAAACGTAGCGCCGAATTCCTCTTCCTACCTCCTTTCTTCCACCGAAAATAAATTCCTGATTGGTCAAAGATTTAAGTTTCAAAAATGAAACTATGAAGTAACTAGGGGAGAAGATGAAATATTTAAAATATAATCTGGCAGCAGTGACATTCTAAGTATGACATGAAAACCCAAATCTATGAATTTCACTTAATAAAAAATTTAAACTTTCACATGGCAAAATCCACTATAAATAGACTCAGAAGACAAATGACGAATCAGGAGGAATATTTACAGCACAGATCACTGGCAAAAGGTGAATTTCCTTAATATCTAGAGTTTTACATATTAATATATTAATTTACATGTTAGCAAGACCAACAACTCAATTGAAAAATGAGGAAGGATATGAACAAGCAATTCATACAGAAAAAGTAAAAGAATACCCCCTTAAAGTATGAAAGGATGATTATATTGCTCATAGTTGAATGAAATTTTCATTATGATGAGATATCATTTTCACCTATCAGATTGGGAAAGATTAAAGCATCAGATAATACCTACCATTAGCAAGGTTGCAAATGGGTGCTGCAACACTGTATGCTAGCGGGGAACGTGACAGGGGAATTTGGTAATATTAACAGGATAAAATTACAAACATAAAAATGCTGTGTTCAGCACTCTTTTTAATAGCAACATTTTGCAGGCAACCTAAATGTGCAATAAAAGAAGAATGGTTACATTATGATAAAGTCAGACAAAAGAGTTTCATATGGCAGTTAAAAAAATGAAGTGCTGATGTGTAAATATCTCTTAGATTGATTGTTAGTTTTAAAAAAGGAGTTGCAGAACAGCAAGTATAAAATGAACTCATTCGAGTACAATGATAAAGAATATATACTATATCCTTTACTTACATGCTTGCATATGCATAGAAGTTTCTGGAGAATTACACATGAAACCATTTCTAATGTTCACCTTTGGTGAGTGGGCTGAGGAAGTGGGAGAGCAGAAAGACCCACACTTTGCACATAAAGAAAAGTGCCATGTGTGTCAATTTTATAATTTAAACAACTTCTATAATTAAAAAATGGAGTAAAAAGAAATTAATTTTATGGGGGAGAACAATGTTTCTTTATACATTCCAGCTAGTACAGCACTCTATCACCCTTCCTATTCGCTAGAGGGACATTGACACCACACATTTTCATCTTACTTGGCTCATTTGACAGCAACAAGAATTTTGCTGGACACAAACTGAAGAAGTTTGGGAGACGGGCCCATAGACAGAGGGCAGGAGTGAAGAAGGCACTTTACATTTTACCAAGTTATAAAAATTAGCAGCTTGATTTTTTTACTCAAAAAATACTTAGGGAAATAAATTTATATATCGCATTAGGATTAAATACTCAAGGTCGCCATTAAAAAATCCCAAGACCAATTTGAATGTACTTCCATCCTCAGCCAAATTGTGCTGGGTTCTGGGGCTATGACAACAGTAAAACACATCCTCTCTCCACAAGCAATTCTAAGGCTGGTAGGAAAGGACAAGAAACAACTTAAAAATGATTCAGTAAGTGTTACTATAGCTGACACTTACAGGAGAACTTCTCAAAGCGAGAAATGGTATACAAAGTAGAATCAGAGCTCCTTAGCTCACCATGTGGGACTGGGATGAACTATTCTCTCTCACTCACCAACGCTTCTCATCAGAAGCTGAAATAAGGGGAGAGAGAGGCCCAGTCTTTATTTTACTAACATAACCCATGATCCCTCTCCATAGAATTTCTTTCCAAGCACAGTGTGTTTCATAAAAAAAAACAAACAAAAACAAAAAAAGAAAAGAAAATCTTGCATAGCTTTTTTTCCTTTTTCTTTTTCTTTTTTCAGAAGGGGAATTTCCTCTATACCCTTCATGAAAATTTTTAGGATTAGATTCTTCCTGCACTAGAACTCTCGGATCAAGGCATCCTGCACCCAACATATAGGAATCAAGGTTACTTACCAAAGAGGACTTAGGAGCTGATATGTTATTGTTTGAAAAATCTATCATTGATTGACAGGCCAAGAGATTGCATTTCTGCCTGAATAATAAGAGTTTAAGTTCACAGAACACTCTCAGAAATGATATCTTATTTGATCGACACAATGCCTATAAACTAGGTATTAATAGTATTCTCCATCTGATAGATATTTCCAAATAAAGGATTAAGGAACTTACCTTATTTCATTTAAACCACATAAAACTGTGTAAAGCAGTTGTTATTTTCTTTCATACATCAGGATTTTTGCTAATAGTGTTGGTTAGGAGAAAGACGAGCCAAAATGCCTAGGTTCCATTCCCAGTTTTGCCACTTAATGACTGTGTGATCTTGAGCAAGTTGCTTAACTTCTCTGTGCCTGAGTTTCTGTACATGTAAAAATGAGATGATGATACTTTATGGGGTTACTGTGAGGACTAAATGAGTTAATAGATGAGAAGTACTTGGAACAGTGCCTAGTACATAGGAAGTATTATGAAATTGTGAGGTCTTACTCTGAACCTAGAGGTTTAGATTATTTCTGTTTTGTTTTGTTTTTTGAGACAGAGTCTCACCCACTCTGCTGCCCAGACTGGAGTGCAGTGGCACAATCTTGGCTCACTGCAACCTCTACCTCCCAGGTTCCAGCGATTCTCCCGCCTCAGCCCCCCAAGTAGCTGGGATTACAGGCATGTGCCACCACAGTCGGCTAATTTTGTATTTTTAGTAGAAATGGGGTTTCACCTTGTTGGCCAGGTTGGTCTTGAACTCCTGGCTTCAAGTGATCTGCCTGCCTCGGCCTCCCAAAGTGCTGGGATTACAGGCATGAGCCACCACACCCAGCCAAGATTTATTCTTGATTTGCATTTCACTGTACTGTGGTTTCCCAGAGTGTGTTTGTGGAATGTTACTAGCCTTTATGGGGAGAAAATTAAAGAGGATCATATTGTCAGACATATTTGGGAAGTGTTACATTAGATGAAATTGAATAGCTCTCTTCTTTATAATACCACCCAGAGCATTTAATAAATTTATGGTGAATGTGAATCTCTTTGGAGGGTTTCCCACCTAAACACTGGCACTGAGGCCTTTCCTTCCTCACTGTCTTTGACCTGCTGGCTACAAAACTCTCTTTCTGGAGACGGAGGACTTACAGGCATCCTTGGTCTTTGAATGGTGAAGGGCATTCACAAGGGGACGTTTCACTGGGGCCTGGCCATGTCATAGGGTCCCGGCTGGCTTTCTGCTGTGAGTGATCCACAGGCCAAATACAGACAGCATAGATAGAAGGCCTGTACCTCTCAGAGACAAGATCGAAAGCCAATATCCTCTTTTCCTGGTGAGTGTGGTGCTCCCTACAATTGTAACGAAGAACTGCATGTCACAGGGTGACCATGCGCTCTGTGGCTTCCCTGAATAGACATCAATGATACTTGCTGCCCTCTCCTCCACCGAGATGTCTCCTGTGGGGAGACAGAAGGGGCACTAGCTAAAGATCTTCTCTTTCTCCAGCCTCTCTCCAGTTCAAGTGGCCTGAGGAATTGTAAACTTTTATAAAGATGGAGTACAGAGAAAAAAATTGAGTTTTATATGACATTAGGCCTCGAAAGACGGGTGGGGAACTTGAGAGAATCGAAAGTTTGTAAAACTGTAACCAAAGTTTGTGAAATTCTTATAGTTAGCAAAGCACTTTGATTACATCATCTCCTTTGAGTCGCTGGACATTGCTGGAAGTTGTGTGCTTAGCCTGCCCATCTTATAACGAGGTAATGAAAGCCTAGTGGGATAGGAGACCTCTCTAAAGCCACATAGCTAGAGGTTGGCAGGGCTAGGACCAATAACCAGATCCTGACAGTCCAGAGTTATTGCTCTTTGACCCACGCTGTGGTGCCAGGCATGAGAGTGCAGGGTTATTGGAGGAGAAGAGTAGAGACAGCTGGGAGTAGAAGAGGAAATAAAAAATAAAAATGGGAAGGCAGCTTCACCACAGCATTGCCTTAGGACAGGCTCTGAGTAGAGCTGCCAGCCCTACATGTTTGATAAGACAAAACCTGCCAAAAGTGAAAATCCATCCTGCTGAGGAGTTTAAAAAATAATTTCAAGCCGGAAATTGCATTTTATCTTTTCATTCCCTGAAGTCCAAAATTCGCCTCCCTGCAATTGCCTTGATTTAAAAAAAAAAAAAAAAGATTCCAGCATCACAGTTCAACACACAGAGTCAAAAGTCCCTGTGCATCCATGCTGAAAATGGCCAATTGAATTGGCACGTCTTGCAATGAGACAGGAGACTGCACATCTATCAGGCATCGGAGCCCATTTTCATCATTCATTATTATTGGAGAAGAAAGAGATTTTTGCTCATGCACAGACAGAGGATAATACTGATTGCTGTGGTAAGATATCCAGGGACTGGGAGCTGACTATCACTTGTTTCTTGGGAAACAGTCTTCTCTAAATTTAAGGGCCAGGAAGACAAAGATAATAGCTACAAAGAAATTTTCTAAGCACTGTTTCTTCCCAGAGACCCATAGACATAATCGGAAAGAGGACTATATTATGGTAAAAGAGAGCATGGGCTTTGCAGTCAGGCCAGGTTTAAACCCTACCTTCCCGTTGACAAGCTGTATGACCCTTGGCAAGTTATTTCTACTGTCTGAGCTTTGATTTCCATACTCCATAGGTTTTATTGTGAGACTCAAACAAAATAGCCTATGTTATCAATAATGGCTTAAACCTGCACACTCAATCAATTATATGTCTTTTAATCAAAGTCATCATAATTCAGTAGGAAATGAGAAACCTTGGTTAGGGCAAATATTAATAAACCCAGCTGTCTGATGAAGAGCCACTGCGATCAGCAATAGACTAAAGCAGAAGTTGGTGAAAGTCAGAAGTGAGCAGACGTTAGACTGGCACCTTGGTTCATTCGCGTTCTCCATTCTATCAGCCCCAGAACCTAAGGCCTAGGAAGCCAGGGCAAGGGTGGAGCCTCCGATTCACAGCTGACCATGTGCCAGCTCCAGCTGAGAATGTAGACAGAGTAAACTATTCAAAGAGGCAGGCCAGGGGACACCATGCCTCTCATGTTACCTTCCAGAAACATGTCCTGGAATCCTGGCAGGCTGAGGGTTCACAATGCCTAGCAGGAGCCTGTTGCCAAGGGGGTGAAAACTAGAACCAAAACAAAGAGGCAGGCAGGGGATTGGCCGCTATGGAGTCAAGAAAATGCTTTTTTTCAGCTCATACAGAAGCAGATCAAGCAGAGGAGGTTGCTGAGGGCTGTTTCTGTTAGAAAAGCACCTCTCATGCCATCATAATCAGGCCCATTAAGCTATCATGAATATTACAAAGCACCTTATGTGACCAGCCAGGGTTAGGTGCATGTGAATAGTTGGAGGGGCTCATCCTCTATTTACGTTAAGTTAGTTCTTTGCGAAGCTGGACTTTATAGCCTGGCCCCTTACAGAACCAATTTTCCTGAGTTATGGTTCAATGCGAATCTCAAGGCTCTTACTGACAGCCTAAGAAATACCCCAGAAAGTCTGCTTCCTACACTGGTCATTATGTCATTTAATATTCTTTTAAAAAAGTAAAACAACTCTCATTTGGCAAATGCCTTTTAGAGTTAACAGATACAGTAGAAAGGCCATAGGTTTTGTGACTAGGGACCTGGATTGGAATCCTGGCTCTCCATACACTAGTGACACTCTGTCAAGTGGAGGAATCTTATTTCTTAATGGAGATAGTAACACCTTCTTGGAAGGGTGTTATAGGAATTGCAGAATTCACTGGATGTTTACAATGTGCAATGCACCCTGCTAGAGCTTTATAAGCACCTCACTAAATTCTTACAACAAACTTATGAGCCAGGGATTATTAGCCCCACCCCATCTGCTTTCCAAGTGCACAGATAAGGGATCACCTGTATTGCATTAGGTAAATTACCTGGAATCTCCCTGCTAGTTAGAGAGGGAGGGGCAAAGGTAGTGTAGGTGAAAGCTCCTAGGAGTTACTGAATGGGCGCCAAAGGATCATCAGCTACCTTTTCCTGCTTCTCTTAAATACCTGAAATCTTCCCTTTTGAATGACAGAAAGACTGAGCGTTGGCCTCTCATGGTTTTTTTGGGGTTTTGTTTTTGTTTTTGTTTTTTGTTTTTTTCCTTTTTGCCTCTTGGGCAGTTTCAACTTAACATTCATTAACAGTAACTCTGTTTTATGAATATTTTATTCCCCCCATTTTTTCATGGTTTTGAATTTCCTATTTTAGAACCTCTATTACAGCAACATTTGTTGGAATCAATTTAATAACCCTTTGAAAGCAGATAAACTACAAATCCAGGGTCTGTAAATGGGCTACTAGCTGTTGGATGGACACAGCCCTAATTTAAAAATAGGTCACTTTTTTAAAAAGTCAAACATACTAGAATGCTTGAATTCAAATGATGACTTAAACCTCCAGAGCCTAAACATGCATTTCAATGATAAATATTCCAAAAATCTTGAATGGCTCCTTCTCAGGAATTGCCACTAATATCTGTGGTATTATTTTCCCATCCTTAAAATGATGGTAAATTCACATTTGGGATGAGGGGTTTAATTTTTGGAAACAGATAAAAGTCATTCAGAAATAAAGTTGTTGACCAAGATGAATGATTAAACTGGGAAATGTGGGCTTTGGTCTGATGCCAGATCACTATTTGAAATATGAGACTGATGATCCTTCTCACGGGGTTTCAGAATTGGCTAGAAAGACATCATCAAATCCTAAATATCAGGCATTGGAAAAATATGCCTAGAAAGCCATTGAAAAGAGGAGATCACTTTTGAAGAAAGAGACACTGTCCTTCTGAGGGGAAGGATAACTTGGAGGTAGGAGGACCACAGCAAGGGGGAGCTGTGATAGCCATGGGAAGACAAGCTTAGGTGTGGTCATGGGAAGATGAGCTTAGGTGTATCCAAGGAGAACTTGAATTAAGCTTCTGAAAAGCAAAGGGGAGGCTGGGCGTGGTGGCTCATGCCTGTAATCCCACCACTTTGGGAGGCTGAGGTGGGTGGATCACTTGAGGTCAGGAGTTCAAGACCAGCCTGGCCAACATGGTGAAACCCCGTCACTACTAAAAATACAAAACTTAGCCAGACATGGTGGTGGCGATCTGTAATCCCAGATAGTCAGGAGGCTGAGGCAGGAGAATCGTTTGAACTTGGGAGGCAGAGGTTGCAGTGAGCTGAGATTGCGCCACTGCACTCCAGCCTGGGCAATAGAGGAAGGGTCCACAAAAAAAAAAAAAAAAGAAGCAAAGGGGAATAGGTGCTAAAAGCCAGAGAACTCCTCCTTCCTTGTTTAGTACAGATCAGATTGCTATGGAAAGAAACATCAGGAACTCTCATTTCAAGGGCCAAGTTTAAGTGAAAGAGGTGAGAGAGGAAGAAAGGTGGACATAGTCAGCACATGCAAAGAAAAGCAGAACAAATCTCAGGCTACCACATGATAGTCATTGGTACCTGGGCTAAGTATCTCACATGTATTCTGAGAGTATTCTTATGTATTCTCATGTATTCTGAGACACTCAGTTCATTATGCTCAAATCTAATTTAGCACTAATTTCCATTATTCAAAGGACTTTTATATCCTTGTTTCAATGAATGCCCACAACACCCTTGTGATGTGAGTGGGGTAGGTAATGTTATGAAACCTATTTGATAGTACGAAGGCCAAGATTCAGATAAATTTGTTGACTAATGAATCACCCAAGGTCACTCAACTTATTAGTGGCTAAACCATCTCTGCTAGAACTTTGATCTGTTGGCTTCAACTTTTGAATTTAACTATCTACTACTTTTCTATCCTCTTTATCAACAAAGACATTTACATTCTGAGATATTTTCTACAAAGAAATTATCATAGCAATTTTAGCAGTCTTTATTAGTATATTGGATATAACATAAAGAATAGCTTCAAAAATTAGAGAAGACTCTTCTGATAACTTGTGTTTCAAAACCTAAGAATACCTACATAGTTGTTCCATCACCCTCTTCCTTTGAATGAAGCAAAAGGAGTACAAATAACATTTCTTGTGATATAAGCTATGCTTTCTTTTCACAGATACTTAAGGTCTTCGATGAACAACCAATTATTCTTCCTAAAACCTACACCATGGCACAGACTCCTTCAGTCCTATTTGTCTGCCCAACCTAGCCAATACCGAGACAGATGGAGAACAGGTCCCTCTCAAGCTCTCATGACTCACTTTACTGCTCACCTCTTAGTAATCCAAATAGGAACCCAGCAATATTTAAGCTTCAGCAGCCTTGAAACCCAAACCAAGTTTTACTCCTACACCTGAGTTTGATCGAAATCTTCAAAGAATGCAAGGAAAGGCTAAGATGTAGACTGTTCAAAGATGGGATCTCTCATTAACTTCTGTCTCTTCAGTATCAGTATGATACCTGTAACATACTTAAAGTAGATGAAGAAAAAAGTGGGAAAGTTGGAAGGAAGGAGGGAAGAAAGAAAAGAAGGAAGGAGAGAGGGACAGAGTCCGGAGAAGGACCTGTATCTTTAATCCTGGCCAAGGATTAAAGCCTGGTCCTGTCTCTGTTCCTGGACCTTCTGGCAAGGCAAAGAAGTGAGATCCCTCAGCAGCCTGCTCTCCTGCTTGCAACCCTTGATGACTTTAATGAAGAAGCGTTATAAAAATACTTGGTTTGTGTTCATAAAAGCCACCAAGAAATAGGGAAAAATAAAGACTGGGAATTGACTGTAACCAGAGGCATTTTCACTAGGAATTCTTGGCTTGCTTTCTCTCTATGAGCTATGCCCACCTCAGGAGCTTTCATGTGGATAACACAGAGATTTTCTTTTGAAAAGACTCTTACTATGCCTTATGGGGTCTGTGAGTTGCACTCTATCCTCTGGGGCATAAATTTACTAAGGAGATGGTGGGGGTCATCATTCTTCCATGGACAAGCACATCTTCTCTATGACTCCTGCCAATCTTCCCCAAGACTATGCTGGCATGGTAGTCTACAGCGAGCTAGCAACCATGCTATGACTTATGCAGGTTTTTGCTTCACACATTCATTTTGCAATTATTTCTTGATTGTTTACCAGGTATCTGGCACTGTGCATTATTTCCCCTCCCCTCCCGCACAACAGTACCAGGGAAGACAGCAGAAGTTTGTGGTGGAGGGTTATGTTTCCCAGTGGCCCTTCGCTCATTTAGAAAATTCTGAACTTCTTCCCAGCATCTGTGGAGGCAGAACCCTTCAGTGCACTGGGAGCAGGATCTACAATGGCTTCTAATTTACTAACACAAAAAATTAAGATTTTTTTGCCCGATTGTCAAGACATTTACCATTCAGTGATACCATCCTCCCTTGCCCCACAAATATGCAAAGTGACAGACTCTCTCCTAATTCTAGTCGGGCTCCCCTAGGCCCTCAAGACCCCAAACTTGTGTTCTCTCCTTGGCCCATTTAGTCCAGTTTCAGCAAAAATCCTGCCGAATCAGTTTCATGAAAATCTCCCACCCTTGATATCTGATCAAATTCCTCATCCCCCATGCTCAATATCTTGTCATCCTGCCCTACCTTCAGCAAGAATCCTATCAAAAGTCTGTTTAGCCTGACCCTCCCTCCTATCTTTGTTATTTTATTTTCCCTTAACAATTTTCGATCCAGTGACCTCCCACCCTGTTCCTTGGCTCTAAGTCTCCATTTGTCCTTGTATTTGGAATGGAATTAGTTCTGTGTTGAGGTGTCTTTCTCCCTATTGCAATAGTTCCTGAATAAAATTTGCAAATACCATTTTAACTTCTGTCAGGTTCTGGTTTTCTTTAACACAAACTCCTCCCAGTCTTCTGTATTTCCTTTCATGTCAGGGTCACTGCTAGTCCATATGGTACCTTGGTACAAATTAGAAACAAGTGTTTCTTCCTGAAATTTTTTTTTCATCAACAATGAAGAAGATTGTTCAGAATATACTAATTTTGTTAGAACTAAACATTTTATTCTCATCTTCCAGAAAATTATCATAATAACCTACAAATGATGTTATCTGCAGTGTGACTATGCTCTTTAAATCTGGCACCTCTGGGCATGCATGACAGGAGTGCTATATGTTATGTCTTTCACTTGAGTGCTTCTGCTTCTCACTTCCTTCCATATAATTTGCCATCTTTCAAGCCTCAAATTACACCTCAGGCTCTCCATGACTATTTCCCTGATGACTTATTCATACACTCCTCAAACATTATTTGAGCACTTATCATGTGCCAGACTCTCATCTATGCACCAGGAATACACAGCAGGGAATAATGGGCAAAGATAGGCAAGGTTGCTGTTCTCATAGAAAGATGATACACAGATAAACAAATTGTTATATAATAGAAATGGTAGGGGTTCTACCTCAACAGTCAATCAGCTCTGGTGCTCATGAAGGGTCTCAGAGAAGCTGATTTCTTCTCCCTCTCTCCCTCAACAGGTGTACCCACACTGATCTCCCATGAGAGAAACCCCAGCTTTCTGGAACACTTCAGGGTGACTGCATCCCCACAGAAGGAGTGCCCTCTTAGTTCAGGTTTGCACAAGAAATAGATCCCAACCTCTCTGTACATGGAACATCAGCATTTCTGCAGATGAAGAGAGGTGCCTGTCTGATCTGAATAGCCAGAACACTGGATTAGGAGTGTGACTGGGAGTCAGACCACTTTCCTACTAGCCTGGAAGGAGAGCTGTGATGGCTCCCTCACTTCCTCCTGAAAAGACCTCAGTGAATTTCACTGAGAGCTTCCCCAGCCACCCTTTTGGCGGCTGGGACCTCTGCCCACCACCTCTGCCCACCACTGGGGTATTGCATTTACCCATGGCTTTAGCCACAGCTGATTTTTACTCATGGGTACCTCCTACTAGTCTGAAGCTGGAACTGTTCAATCCAGTGAGTGAAATACCAGAGAAACAAAGTTTTAAAAGTGCACATCACTGGGGAATGAGATAAGTTCCATGAGACCTCTGCCATTCTAGCTCCACAGGAGACAGTGAACCTGCTCACACACCCAGCACATTGCTACTACCACCAGTATCTGAGAAACCTATCCCACAAAGATTGTCTATAACCCAGGAACTCATACAGAGTCTTTGCCACTGAAATTATCCAGAGCTGAAGCAAGGTGACAATAAACTAGAAACACTAAACTCACATACTCAAAGGAAAAAAAATTTTAAACCCAGTTGAATCAAAATTAACTCAAAAATAATTAGAAGAAGTAGTGTACTCATATGAAAAGGAACCAGAAAACCAATTCTGGCAATATGGAAAAAACAGGATTCCATAATACCACCAAATGTCAACTAGCTTTCCAGCAGTGGATACAAACCAAGATGAAACCTTTGAAATCTCAAAGAATTAGTAAAGTTTATTATCAATTTACTGAAGGACACATAAAAGAAAGAAAACCAACATAAAAAATTTAAAAAACAATTTAAGATGTGAATGAAAAATTTTCTGAAGAGATAGATATTTTTTTAAAATGCCAATCAGAACTTCTGGAAAGAACAGACACATTTAGGGAATTACAAAATGCAGTGGAAAGTTTTAACAATAGACTAGACCAAGTAGAAGAATTAACTTCAGAACCCAAAGACAAGGTTTTTGAGTTAACCTAATCAAACAAAATAAATAAAAAAGAACTAAAGGAAATTAAGTCTCCAGGAAATACGGGACTGTGTGAAATGACCAAACCTAAGAATTACAGGTGTTCCTAAGGGAGAAGAAAAAGCAAAAAGTTTGGAAAACATATTTGAGGGAATAATTGAGGAAAACTTTCTGGGCCTTGCTAGAGATTTAGACATCCAAATTTAAGAAGCTCAAAGAACTTCTAGGAGACTCATTGCAAAATGGACATCACCAAGGCATACAGTCATCAGGGTATCTAAAGCCAATGTAAAGAAAATAATTCTGAGAGTAGTGAGACAAAAATATGAGCTAACTTATACAGGAAAACCTATTAAGCTAACAGCTGACTTCTCAGCAGAAACCTTACAAGCCAGAAGAGACTGGAGTCCTATCTTTAGTCTCTTTAAGCAGAGAAACTGTCAGCCAAGAATTTTGTATCCAGCAAAACTGTTTCATAAGTGAAGGAGAAGTAAAGTATCTCTCAGACAAGCAAATGCTGAGGGAATTTGTCAATACTAGATCAGTTCTATAAGAAATGCTAAAAGGAGTTCTAAATCTTGAAAGAGAAGGTCAATATGCACCAGAATAGAAACTCCTGAAAGCATAATATTCACAAGGCCTATAAACAATAACACAATGAAGAAAATAAAGTCAGTAGGTAAAAATCTCATAATGACTGGAACAATATCTCACATCTAAATATTAATGTTGAATGTAAGTGTCCTAAATGGTGTATTTAAAAATACAGAAGGAGATCGAGACCATCCTGGCTAACAAGGTGAAACCCCGTCTCTACTAAAAATACAAAAAATTAGCCAGGCGCGGTGGCGGGTGCCTGTAGTCCCAGCTACTCAGGAGGCTGAGGCAGGAGAATGGCGTGAACCCGGGAAGCGGAGCTTGCAGTGAGCCGAGATTGCGCCACTGCAGTCCGCAGTCCGGCCTGGGCGACAGAGCGAGACTCCGTCTCAAAAAAAAAAAAAAAATACAGATTGGCAGAATGGATAAAAAATTCACAACCCAATTAGTTGCTGTCTTTGGGAGATCACACCTAACATGTAAGGATTCTTATAAACTCAAGGTAAAGGGGTAGAAAACATATTTCAAGCAAATGGGAACCCAAAGCAAGCAGGAGTAGCTATTCTTATATCAGATAAGATAGACTTTAAAGCCAAACAGCCAAAAAAAAAAGACAAAAAAGGTCATTATACAATGATAAAAGGATCAATTCAAAAAGAAGATATAATAACCCTAAATATATATGCACCTAACACCATAGCTCCCAGATTCATAAAGCAATTACTATTAGAACTAAGAAAAGAGATAGACACCAATACAATAATAGTGGAGGACTTCAACCTTCCACTGACAGCACTGGACAGACTATCAAGACAGAGAGTCAACAAAGAAATACTGAACTTAAACTGCACTCTAGAACAAATGGACCTAACAGATATTTACAAAACAATCTACCCAAGAGCTGCAGAATATACATTCTTCTTATCAATGCATGTAACATTCTCCAAGATAGACCACATGATAGCCCACAAAATAAGTCTCAATACATTTTCAAAAATTAAAATCATGTCAAGTACTTTCTCAGACCACAGCAGAATAAAACTAGAAATCAATTCCAAAAGGAACCCTCAAACCTACACAAATACATAGGAATTAAACAATCTGCTCCTGAATGATTTTTGGGTTAACAATGAAATCAAGATAAAAATTAAACATTATTTTGAATGAATGATAACAATGACACAAGTTACCAAAACCTCTGGGATATAGCAAAAGCAATGCTAAAAGGTAAGTTTATAGTGCTAAATGCCTATATCAAAAAGTATGAAAGATCACAAATTGACAACCTAACCATCACACTTCAAGGAACTAGGGAAATAAGAACACACCAAACCCAAAGCTGGCAAAAATAAATAAATACATAAAATAAAATAAAGATCAGAGCAGAAGTAAATGAAATTAAATCTAAAGATCAATGAAGCAAAATGCTGGTTCTTTGAAAACATAAATAAATTTGATAGACCACTAGCTAGATTAACTAAGAAAGAAGATCCAAATAAGCTGAAATGAAAATGGAGAATTACGACTTAAACCACAGAAATACAAAATATCATGTAAGACTACTATAAACACCTCTCTGCACAAAAACTAGAAAATATAGAGGAAATGGATAAATTCCTGGAAACATATAACACCCCTAGTTTGAATCAGGAAGAAATAGAAATCCTGAACAGACCAATAGCAAGCACTGTGGTTGAATAAGTAATTCTTTAAAAAACTCAAAAAAAGAAAAAAGAAAAGCCTAGTGCCAGACTACTTCACAGAAAAATTCTATCAGACATTCAAAGAAGAATTGCTACCAATTTTACTGAAAATATTTCAAAAGATTGAGAAGGAGGGACTCCTACCTAACTCATCCTATGAAGCCAGAATCACCCTGATAGCTAAGCCAGGAAAGGACGTAACAAAAAAAGAAAACTACGCACCAATATCCCTTATGAATATACATGCAAAAATCCTCAACAAAGTACTAGCAAGCCGAATCCAATAGCACATAAAAAAAAATCACCATGATCAAGTGGGTATCATTCCAGGGATGCATGGATGGTTCAACATACACAAGTCAATAAATGTGATTCATCACACAAACATAATTAAAAACAAAAACCACATTACCATCTCAATAAATGCAGGACAAACATCCACTAAAATTCAGCATCCTTAATGACTAAAACCCTCAACAAACTAGGCATAGCATAGAAGGAATACACTTTATTAAAAAGTCAAAAATAACAGATACTGGTAAGATTGTGGGAAAAAAGGACCACTTATACACCATTGATGGGAGTGTAAATTAGTTCAAAAACAGTGGAAGACAGTGTGGTGATTCATCAGAGACCTAAAAACATAAACACCATTCAACCCAGAATTCCCATTACTAGCTATATATCCAAGGGAATATAAATCATTCCATTATAATGACACATGCACACATATGTTCATTGCAGCACTATTCACAATAGCAAAGACATGGAATGAACCTAAATGCCCATCAATGGTAGACTGGATAAAGAAAATGTGGTACATATACACCATGAAATATTATGCAGCCATTAAAAAGAATAAGATAATGTCCTTTGCAGGAACACGATGCAGCTGGAGGCTATATTCCTTAGCAAACTAGCACACAAACAGAAAACCAAACACTGTATGTTCTCACTTATAAGTGGGAGCTCAATGATGAGAACACATGGACACAAAGCAGAGAACAATAGACCTGGAGGCCTACTGGAGGGTGAAGGGTGGAAGGAGGGAGAGAATCAGGAAAAATAACTACTTGGTGCTATGCCTAATACCTACCTGAGTGATGAAATAATCTGTACAACAAACCCCCACGACATGAGTTTACCTATATAACTGATATGGTTTGGCTGTGTCCC
The DNA here is from genome assembly GCF_000001405.40 of Homo sapiens. Lineage (NCBI taxonomy): Eukaryota > Metazoa > Chordata > Mammalia > Primates > Hominidae > Homo > Homo sapiens. The sequence goes on from NC_000011.10 coordinate 111,031,400, forward strand.
CACCCATATATCATCTTGAAATATAATCCCTATAATCCCCATGTGTCCAGGGAGAGACCTGGTGGGAGGTGATTGGATCTTGGGAGCATTTCCCCCATGCTGTTTTCATGATAGTGAGGGAGCTCTCATGAGATCTGATGGTTTTATAAGGGGCTCTTCCTCCTTCATTCCTCACTCTTTTCTCTCTTGCCTACTGCCATATAACACATGCCTCTTCCCCTTCCACCATGATTGTAAGTTTCCTGAGGCCTCCCTAGACATGTGGAACTGTGAGTCAAATAAACTTCTTTCCTTTATAAATTACCGAGTCTCAGGTGTTTCTTTAGAGCAGTGTGAAAATGGACGAATACAATGACAAACCTGCACTTGTACCCCTGAATTAAAAAGTTAAATAATAGTAATAATAATAATAAAATCCATATATGACAAACCCACAGCTAATATAATATTGAACAGTGAAAAGTCAAAAGTTTTCCCCCTAAGAACTGAAACCAGACAATGTGGATGCATGCTTTCACCACTTCTATTCAACATAGTACTGGAAGTCCTAACCAGAGCAATCAGGTAAGAGAAAGAAATAAAGAACACCCAAATTGGAAAAGAGGAAGTCAAACTATTTCTATTTGCTGATAATATGATCTTATACCTATAAAACCCTGAAGACTCTTCCAAAAGACTCCTAGATCTGATAAATGAATTCAGTAAGGTCTCAGGTTACAAAATCAATATACACAAATCACTAGCACTGCTATATACCATCATTGACCAAGTCGAGAATCAAATCAAGAACTCAATCCCTTTTACAATAGCTACAAAAAAAAATCCAGAAATATACTTACCCAAAGAGGTGAAAGATCTCTAAGAGGAGAACTACAAAACACTGATGAAAGAAATCACAGATGACAGAAACAAATGGAAATATATTCCATGCTATGGATTTGAAGAACTGATATTATAAAAATGGCCATACTTTTCAAAGTAACCTACAAATTGAAAGATACTTCTATCAAAATACCAACATCATTTTTCACATAATTAGAAAAAACAATTCTAAAATTCATATGGAACCCAAAAAGACCAAGTAGCAAAGCAATCTCAAGCAAAAAGAATAAATTTGGAGGCATCACATTACCCAACTTCAAATTATACTACAAGGCTACATTAACCAGAACAGCATGGTACTGGTATAAAAGTAGATGCATAGACCAAATGGAACAGAATAGAGAATCCAGAAATAAACCCAAATATTTACAAGCAATTGATCTTTGACAAGGCATACAAAAACTTAATTTGGAGAAAGGACCCTCTCTTCAATAAATTGTGATGGGAAAATTGGATAGCCACGTGTGGAAGAATGAAACTGCATTTGTTTCTCTCACCATATGCAAAAATCAACTTAAGATAAGTTAAAGACCTAAATCTAAAAGCTAAATCATAAAAATTATAGAAGAAAATTTAGTAAAACTATTGTGGATTTTGGCCTAGGTGAAGAATTTATAACTAAGACCTGGAAAGCAAATGCAACAACAACAAAAATAAATAAATTGGACCCAGTTAAACTAAGAAGTTTCAGCACCCCAAAAGAAATAACAGAATAAAAAGGCAACCTACAGAATGAGAGAAAATATTTGCAAATTATTTTTCCGACAAAGGACTAATATTCAGAATCTACAAGAAATGCAAACAAATTAGCAAGAAAAAAAAACAAATAATCCCATTAAAAAGTGGCCAAAGGACATGGATAAACATTTCTCAAAAGAAGATATACAAGTGGCCAACAAACATGTGAAAAAATGTTCAACATCACCAATCATCAGGGAAATGAAAATCAAAACCACAATGACATACCACCTTATCCCAGACCAAATGACCATTATTAAAAAGTCAAAAACAATGGATATTGCCATGATTGCAATACAAAGGGAACACTTATACACTGCTGGTGGGAAAGCAAATTAGTACAACTTCTATGGAAAGCAGTATGGAGATTTCTCAAAGAATTAAAAGTAGATCTACCATTCAACTTAGCAACCCCACTACTGAGGATCTACACAAAGAAAAAGAAGTCACTTTATAAAAAAGACACCTGTACACATATGTTTATTACAACACAATTCACAATTGCAAAGATACAGAATCAAACTAAGTGCCCATCAACCAATGAGTGGATAAAGAAAATGTGACCATATATATATACACACATACACACCATGGAATATTACTCAGCCATAAAAAGAATAAAATAATGTATTTTGCAGTAACTTTGATGGAACTGGAGGCCATTATTCTAAGTGAAGTAACTCAGGAATCAAAAACCAGGTCCTGCATTTTCTCACTTACAAGTGAGAGCTAAGCTATGGGTACACAGAGACATATAGCATGGTGTAATGGACTTTGGAGACGCAAAATGGGGAGGGTAGGAGAGGAATAAGGGATTTAAAAACTGCCTGTTGTGTACAGTATATACTACTCGGGTGAGGGGTACACTATAATCCTAGACTTCACCACTATACAATTTATTCATGTAACCAAAAGCCACTTGTACCCCTAAAGTTATTGAAATGAAAAATATTTTTAAAAAGAAATGGAAGGGCAATAAAGAATGTAAAATGGTAACAGGCTAGTGAATGAGGGGATTACTTAGGAAAAGATGGTCAGGGAAGGCCATTCTGAAGAGCTGATATTTGAATGAGATATTAGCCATGCAAGGACCTTAGGAAGAGCATTCCAGTTATAAAGAATATAAAAGTCAAAGACTGAGGCAGGACTGTGTTTGGCATGTCCACGTGCCAGGAAGGAAGACTGCTATGGCAGGAGAGAAGTGACAGTGGTAGGGAACACAGGCAAAGACGTCAGCAGGGCTAGATTATATGAGGTTTTGTAGCCATGTTAAAGACTTTTGATTTTATTCTAGGATTTTAAACAGTATTTACAAGTTATATGATCTGATTTAAAGTTTTAAGATATCTCTCTGTCTGTGCTGCAGAAAATGAATGGGAAGAGCTAAAATGGACCAGGAAAGCTACTTGAGTGAAGAGCAGTTAGTCTATCTAACGTATAAGAGTACATTCCAATTCAGACACTTCCTGATTTCAAAATATATTATAAAACTACAGTAATCGAAACAGAATGATATTGGCATAAAGACAGCTGTATAAACCGATGGAACAGACTTGCAAGCCCAGAAACAAAATCATCAATATTCAGCAAACTGATCTTCAACATGGGTTTCAAGAATACTCAATGGAGAAAGAACAGTCTCTTCAAAAAATGGTCTGGGGGACACTGTATATGCACATGCAAAAGATAAAATTGTAGCCTTATCTTACACTATACACAAAAATAAACTCAAAATCAATTAAAGACATAAAGGTAAGACCTGAAACTGGAATGGTGATTCCCAGGGGCTAGTGGAAGGGAAATGGGGATTTACCAATTAATGGGCATAAAATTTCAGTTAAATAAGGTGAGTAAGTTCTAGAGATCTGTACCTATATATATCTGTACCTGTACTTTGTGCCTATAGTCATTAATACTTTATTGTACACTTAAAAATTCGTTAAGAGGATCGATTTCATATTAAATGTTCTCACTATAATAAAATACTTTTTTAAAAAAAGGAATTAATGAAAAATCTTCAGCAATGCACAGACTTTAGGAGGAGGCTTTAGAAACAGCTTTGAGACCAAGCTTCCAGGAGGACTTTCCTGTGGCAGGACCAGCTGGATAGGAACACAGCTAGTCCACAGCTTGACTCAGCCTGACAGAGAGGTCCCTTCTGCGTCAGGATAACCACCGGAGCATTTCTGCCACACGCTTCCACTCCACCAGCAGGAGCTCAGTGGCTTGAGGTGGGAACAGAGCTCTACCAGGACCTAGGATGAATCAGGCAGTAGCTTCCCAAGATTAGAAAAGATTCTGGGGCCATGGATAGGAGGTCTAATCAGAGCCTGTATGTGAATGCAGGAGTCCAATTACCGTATACCATGAAGATCAACACTGGATGCCAAGACCAAAGGAATCAGAGATAGAAAACAAGTCTGAAATATTTGTCCTAAGTGATTGGGCTGAGATGAGATCAAAATGGCAGAAGGCCAGGAAGCTGAGGGAGAAGAAGCAATTTTGTAGTCATTTGCATAATAACTTGATTAATATTTTTCTCCCCCATTAGATAAAAGCTCTGTAAAGGCAGGGACTGTGCTATATTTGTTTGCTCACCATAAAATAGCTTCATAATGGAGTACTACATTCTTGGCATTTATTCAGTCAATGTAAAAAGAGCCATATAGAGAGATTTTCTATTATTGTTCTAACACTTCCACTGAGAACATTGTTGCCTAGTTTCCTCATGTAAGACACTCCCTGACTGATGATGTTTTATTTCTTGATATTGGTGCTTGTTTCATGGCTGTGTTTGCTTGTGAAAATTCATGGAGTTGTAAACTTATGATTTGGGACCATGAGCCAGCAGATCTGACAATGCTAAAGATACTGTGGTGCATACGACTCTGGTTTTAGACTCTGTCACAACTAGAAGAATCCCAGAACCCTCAGTGTGTAGAACCAGGCCATCCTTCTCTGTCAGAGAAGTAGCAGAGTCTGCCAGGCTACAGGGCCCTAGTGTATTTGGAATTACACATCATTATGTGGGCATTATCAGATCCACCATGTCAGAAGGGTGAGTGCAGACAGTAGTAATATATCATACCCAATGGAAATGATCAACTCAGGATGGGGCCTGGGCAGTTGTATTAGTCTGTTCTCATGCTGCTAATAAAAACATACCTGAGACTGGGTAATTTATAAAGCAAAGAGATTTAATGAACTCAGTTCAGCATGGCTGGGGAGGCCTCAGGAAACTTACAATCATGGTGGAATGGGAAACAAACACGTCCTTCTTCACCTGGCAGCAGGAGAGAGAAGTACAGAGCAAAAGGTGGGGAAATCTCCTTATAAAACCATCAGATCTTGTGAGAACTCACTCACTATCATGAAAACAACATGGAGATAACTGCCCCCATTATTCAATTACCCCCTCCCACTGGGCCTCTCCCACAACACATGGGGATTATAGGAACTACAATTCAAGATGAGATTTGGGTGGGGACACAGCCAAAGCATAACAGCAGTCCAAGAAGCACAAATTAAGAATTTCGAGCAATTAGACCTGGTACAGTTTAGATATTTGTCCCTCCTCAAATCTCAGGTTGAAAGGTAATCCCCAGTGTTGGAGGTGGGGCCTGGTGGGAGGTGTTTGGGTCATGGGGTAGATTCCTTCCAGTTTGGTGCTGTCCTTGCAATACTGAGTGAGTTCTCATGAGATCTGGTGGTTTGAAAGCATATGGCATCTCCCCAACACCAACCTCCTTGCTCCCTCTCTCACCATGTGCCATGTGTACTCTTGCTTCACCTTCCTCCATGAGTAAAAGTTCCCTGAAGCCATCCCAGAAACTGAGCAGATGCCGGTGCCATGTTTCCTTTATAGCCTGCAGAGCCATGAGCTAATTAAACCTCTTTTCTATATAAGTTACCCCTGGTAATCACCAATCTAGTTTCAGGTCTTACCTTTAAGTTTTCAATCGATTTTGAGTTGACATTTGTGTATAGTGTAAAATAAGGCCACAATTTTATTCTTTTGCATGTGTATATACAGTGTCCCTCAGATCATTTGTTGAAGAAACTGTTCTTTCCTCACTGTGTATTCTTGAAACCCGTGTTGAAGATCTGTTTACTGAATATTGATGATTTTATTTCTGGGCTCACAAGTCTGTTCCATTGGTTTATATGTCTGTCCTTATGCCCATACCATTCTGTTTTAATGGTGATGTGGTTCATGGTAAAGAAGTATCCTATGATCACACACCCATTGCTGCACCCTCTTTGCCAAAAATTTGGTCCATTGGTCCTGAAGCAATGTTATGCAAGATCCCATGCTGGTAAGTTAGGCATCCTGCAAGTCCTTAGGTGTAGTGCTGGGAGAGGTATGGAGGGCAGGCAGTGTGAACCCATATCCAGAGTAGGTATTATCAGTTCCATAAGGAGTAATTACTCCCCCTCTGTAGGGTAAAAGGGCTATGATGTAATCAACCTGCTCCCAGTGGCTGACTGGTTTCCTCATGTGATGATGCCACGTTAAGGGTTTAGTAGAGTGTCTCCTGCTAACAGTTTGGGCACTCAGCTGTGGCAGTGGCTAGACCAGCCTTGGTAAGAGGGAGTCTATGCTGTTGGGCATAGCCTCCATCCATAAATGGCTCATTTTTCAAGCACTAGGGTGGCTGAGGAGAGAGCCTGGCTGACATCCATGTGACAAGTTGACCTCTTTGCCTGGTTGTTGAGTGCCTCTTCTCTGGTGGGCATTAATGTGAGGCAACAGAGACATGCCTGATTTGTTCTCCCTCCCATTGCCCATCCACATGTCTCACCCCCAGAATTCCATGTCTTTTATGTTTTAGTCTTGCTTCTTACAGACTCTAATCACCCAAAAACGTCATTTTCTGTGTTCATCCCAACCTCAGGCCACTTGTCTCTCAACACAAAGTAAATGATCAAATTCACTGCTTGCAACTATGCCCATTGACAGGATTTCCCTCTGGTACTGCCTATGTGGGTCACCTCTGAGTCCAGCTAAATGGCAGTAGCAGTTCACTTTGGGCTAGCACCTATATAGTAAGCCCCAATATTTTTGGGGGAGTTGGTCATAGAGAACCCCCTGTGAGGACATAGGTGTGAGGTGAACAGAGGTAGGTGACATAGAAATATGGGTCTTGTGTTAGGCCATTCTTGCATTGCTATAAAGAAATACCTGAGACTAGGAATGCAACCAGTCCACAACTAGTCCACAGCTAGCCTAGAAAAGTGAAATAGCCTATTAAAGACTTAGCTAAGACATTGGCTGTAGGATGGCTACTGGCAGTGTTTGAGTGCTCTTCTTCAAGATGACGTATATGCATACTAGTTTGTGTATGGTGCTGAGTACCCAGTAGCTGCAATGCACATGTCACAAAATCAAGAGATGAATATAAGATTAGTCCTTCTTATCATCACTGCCACAGACCTACTTATGGGATTTTTGCTTCCTATATCCACACACTTGGATTCTGCTAGACTAGATGTCCTGGTTGTTGGGATGGGGGGTGAGATGGGAAGGGACCTTTCCACTAAGAGATGTTTAAAGATCCCAAGTTATGGCCCCTACCTGTTCTCTTTGGGATCCTCATACTGGTGGACCAATATGCAAAGTAAAGAGTATTGAGGTGAGCATATGCAACTCTGGTTACCTTGAGAAGCTAGGGTTCTACAACACAATGGAGGCAGAGAGCTCAAGAGACTCTTTATGGTGAATCCATGCCCAGTATTCCATGCCCAGCAATAACGGTAAACAGACAATTACAGCATCCAAAGCCCCAAAATGCCAAGGCAACCTAAGGACTCAGACATCTTGGAGACAGAGGTCTGGGTTGTCCCACCTGGCAAGCAAACTCCACCAGATGAACTACTGGTTGAGGGTGAAGATTGACATTGGAGGAGACCCTGTAATACAGCCTTGGAACTTGTTGGAATGAAGCTGGTTCCATTAACTCACCTACACTAAGTTACTTGTAGAGATTGTGGCCTGGCCACCAATGAATTGGGCTTAATGGAAGGCTAAGAAATCTGTATGGTGAATAGTGTAAGGTGTAGACTATTATCAATTTCCTTTTGTTCATGGTCTTAACCTGCTCTTGTTCTTACCTTTGATTCTAGGCACAGGTATAACAATCAGCTCCAGATAAGCTTTGACCCACTTTTCAATGACAATGCCTTCCCTCAAATATGCCCCACAGGCTTCTTTGAAGGATACCTCAGGAAATACTATTGGCTCCATTCATGCACAATCCAGAAATGAAGAGGAGTTAATACTCCAAGAGGCAACCACTTGACAAATAGAGTTGTATCTTTTGGATTAATTCTCCCTTTTGTTCTTCAGCTGGACCTATTTTGAGACACAGGGTACATGCTCCTCAGAAGATCCCAGAAGGTTCAAGCACCACGGTAATAACTAATTTACTAAAATACTCTTGTACTTATTTCCCACCTCTCCTGTTCACTCTCCCCAGGCTCTCACTCCATTTCCCTAGGATCACATCCCCAAATAAACCATCTAAACACAAGCCCTTGTTTCAGGCACTGATTTCTAGGACCAGCACGGGTTAGAATACTCCCACAGTCACATTATTGAAGAATTGCCTCTCCTTTATAATTTTACATCCAACAGCCACACCATCCTTACTCTTTTAATTCCAATACGAACATTCTTCAGCATCACAGGAACCTCCCATCTTGACATCACCTCACCTTCTCTCACTTTGTTTCCCATTCAACACAGACCCATAACCCAACACATTAATCATCTAATTATCCTTTTCTTGGAAACCCTAACCCCTGGGTCTTTCCTTAAAGCACCCTCACACTGAAAAGTCTCAGAGAGAGGCATCTGTGGTTTTTGCTGTGTAGTGCCTATTTACCTTTCTCTTAATGACAGTTCTTCAATTTCCCCTGGGGGCCACTCTTTCCACTACCTGGTCCATGATGCCGCAGATATAACATGTGATGGGGCTCAAGACTACCAATATGTTGCCACAGAGATAGGTACAGGAATAATTCAGGCCATCAGGCCCAGTCAGAGGAAATGCCAGGACTTTTGCTTGAGTGACCAGGAAGAGTGAGGTGTCTTATTTTTCCTCCCATCCAAGTACTAACCAGGACCCACCCTGCTTAGCTTCTGAGATCAGACAAGATCTGGTGCGTTCAGGGTGGTATGGCCGTAGACATTATTGCCTGTTTCAAAACGGAACTAATCCAGAAGAGGCAGAGTTAAGCAACATCAGGCCTAATGACATCATTTGAACACCTGTACCAAATTTTATTTTAGGCATCTGGAACACTTGGATGTTTCAGTTCTTTAGCTAATGTGTCCCCTTATTTAAGCTAAGTTGGGTTGGCTTTTTTTAATTTGCAACCAGAGTCCTAATTAATTCTCCTCTACCAGTCTTATCATTTAACTTCTCTGCTTCTAATATGGTTAACTAAAATCCTGCTCTAAATTCATAGTCTTCTAAATTAATTGCTGTCCTCAACACCACCTCACAATCACTCTTTATAACACACACACACACACGGAATATATGTATCGCATATACACACATACATATAAACATATATGTTTATTTCTTTTCATTCCTCTTCTATAAATGGCTGTTTACAACTTTCTCTACCCTCTTCAAGCCTCTTTCTCATTCTGTCTTCTTTATATTCAGCAGAAGACTTGCAGGATAACTCACTAACCAAATCAAAGTCATCTTTCTTTTTTCAATTCTTCTATTTATAAAGGTTACTAGCAACTAGTTAACAACTACAGTATAATTATTATACTATAAATATTATTGAAGATTTTTTCTCTTTTGTATTTTAGAAGCTCTTTGAACTTTATAACCCAAGACCAAGCACAGCATCTGCTATGTTGTTGATGCTCAGGATATATTTTTTAATGAATAAATGATTCTCTCTTTTATCTAAATATAATCCACCTGGTAGATATATATGTGGCATATATATATATATATATATCATATATATATTTATATATGAACACACACATATAAACCTGTATGTGTATACTGTCAGTGGTATTATTAATTAGTACAGCCATTTTGGAAAACAGTATGGAGATTTCTCAGAAAACTAAAAATTTATTTATTATATATGATCCAGCAATCCCACTACTGAGTGTATATACCCCACCCCAAATTGAAATAGAAGAGATGTCCGTACACCTATGTTCATTGCAGAATTATTCGCTTCTGTTGGAAACAACCTGTCTATCAACAAACAAATGGGTTTTTAAAATGGGGTATATATACCCAATGCAATACTATTCAGCCTTTAAAAATCAGAAAATCCTGTCATCTGCCATAACACAGATGAACCTAGAGGTCATTATGTTAAGTGAAATGAGCCAGACATAGACAAACACTATATGATCTCACTTATATGTGGAATCTTAAAAAGTTGAACATATAGAAGTCGAGAGTAGACTGGTGGTTACTAGACACTGGGGGAGGGGAGAGGACCGGGAAAGAAGACATGTTAGTCAATGGTTACAAAGTTTCAGTAGGACAGGAAGAATAAGTTCTGTGATCTATTGCACAGCAAGGTGACTATATATAGTTAATAATAATGTATTGTATATTTCAAAATAGCTAAAAGAGAGTATTTTAAACATTCTCACCACAAATAAATAATAAATAATTGGATGGATATGCCAATTAGCCTGATTTGATCATTCCACAATGTATACATACATCAAAACCTCATCTTATACCCCATAAATACCATTATTTTCCATTAAAAATAAAATAAAACAAAAATACATGCGTGTATGCTTTTTTGTTAAATTAGTTTAAATCCTTTATATATAGACAAGTAAAAAAATACAAATGAAAGCATTTATCTTTTCTCCCATTCCCATACTACACAGAATACTGATCGTCGAGGGGGTCCTTCTTAGTAGAGAGCCTCTCTCTTCATCTTTAGCCTCTTCCTGATGCTTCCTAACCTCTGACTGAGAGTACTTGCTAGAGTCAACCCACATTTTAGAATAAAGCTAAATGCAACAATAAGTAGCCAACAATAAAAATGCACTATATCTTCTAAATTCGGAGAGCAACAAGAAATGTGGTAGCTGCTTAGAGTGGAACAGAATCTCAGGATTCATCTATTTCAACTGCATTGACAGAGGAGGAAACTGATACCTAGGGAAGTTAGGTGACATTTTCAGGTCACCCGGCATTGTTGGAACTAGAACTCAACTTCCACCCCAGAGGTTTCCTCACGATAGCACTACTCTCTTCATGATGCCTACTATCCCATCCAGTTATTTTAGGTATAGACAGTTTTCCAAAAGCTCTCCTTATGCATTTGCCCATGCAGGCCCCAGGTCAGGACATGCAGAACTCAGGAAAACGATGTTTGTTGTGATCCTATCTATAAAAGTCTCTCATTGTGCTTAACTCAGCTCAGCCTTTCCATCTACAGTAATGAAGTGATTTAAGTTTGAAGTCAGTACCACGATCAGAAGGGCCAGTGATGAGGAACTTTGGTGATTAACAAAATTCATTTTTTCTACCCCATCAGCCCATTCCATTGACACCCCAACTCCCAACTCTAAACAATATATGAAAAAGGAAACTTTACTCTGCCAATAGCCCAGTCTCTACAATGAGGTCCAGATATTTTGGAATACATATTTAACCAGGAAGCTGAAGTGCTTCAGCATGTATTTTTTTAAAAATAGAGAATTGTGAAGAATCAAAATGTTTATCTGTTCATGACACAATGAGAAACATACACCTTGGAACTAAAAAATAAGTTTTTAAAAAAGGTATTTAGAAAAAGGAGGAAGAGGCTGGGTGTGGTGGCTCATGCCTGTAATCCCAGCACTTTGGGAGGCCGAGGCGGGCAGATCACGAGGTCAGGAGATCAAGAACATCCCAGCCAATGTGGTGAAACCCTGTCTCTGCTAAACTACACACACAAAAAATTAGCCAAGCGTGGTGACGCATGCCTGTAGTCCCAGCTACTTGGGAGGCTGAGGTAGGGGAATCGCTTGAACCCGGGAGGCAGAGGTTGCAGTGAGCTGAGATCATGCCACTGCACTCTAGCCTGGCAACAGAGTGAGACTCTGTCAAAAAAAAAAAGAAAGAAAAAGGAGGAAGAATAAGCAAGTAACATGCAAACACCATTTGGCGATACTATTTCCAAGTGTGTAACCTTATGAAAGCTTTCAGTTGAACAATATTTATTAAGCACCTACTATGTGATCAAGGGAATGTGCTAAGTCCTAAGATGAGAAAGATCACTGAGATGGGAACTCTGCCCTCAATGAGCTCCTGCAATGATTACACACAGTTCTCCCGACTGCTAGTTCTCATTAAAGCCAACAGCCACTTCTTCCCCTATTCCCCAAATTCAACTCTTCCTCCTCCCATATTCTGTCATGTTCCCATTTAAGCCTCAACCATTTCTTTTATTTATTATTCATATTTTTTGAGACACAGTCTCTCTCTGTCACCCAAGCTGGAGTGCAGTGGCGTGATCTGTCATCTCTGCTCACTGCAACCTCCACCTCCTGGGTTTAAACAACTCTCGTGCCTCAGCCTCCCGAGTAGCTGGGATTAGAGGCACATGCCACCATGCCTGGCTAATTTTTTTTTCTTTTTTTTTTTTTTGAGAGACAGGTTTTTACCATGTTGGCCAGGCTGGTCTCAAACTCCTGGCTCAAGTGATCTACCCACCTTGGCCTCTCAAAGTGCCGGGATTACAAGTGTGAACCACTACGCCCAGCCAATCATTTCTTATTTGGGTAATTACAGTTAGTTTGTATTACCAGGTTGAGGAGCTCTTCACGCTTGATTCAAATTTAGAAAGGTCATGTGTTCTTGCGCCTAGTATATTACCTGTGGCATTCTATTTACTCTTCAGACCTTCTTCTGGTCCTCACCTGACTTCCTTCTTCAGGTCCTTCACCCGACTTCCCTCTCTTCATGACTGCCTTCTTCTCTCTAATTCACTACCCTTCCCCATCAGACTTCCTCCTTCTCTTGTCCTTCCTGCTGACTCCATGAACCTAAAGCTAATGTGCTCCTAGGTGACCTGGATTTCCATTTCCATTCCCAACTCCAAATCTTTCCTTTTTTTTCCTACCAAACTTTGGAATTACTGCACATTTCATATCTTCCAGACTTTTTTCTTTAAATTTTTTTTTATTTGTATAAATGTAAGGGTTACAAGTGTAATTTTGCTACATGGATAGACTACATAGTGGTGAAGTCAGGTCTTTTAGTGTATCCATCATTCGAATAACTAATATACCCTTTAAGTAATGTCTTATCATCCCCCCACCCTTCTGAGTCTCCTTTGTCTATTATTGCCTATCTATGTCCATGTGTACATATTATTTAGCTCCCACTTATAATAAAAAGATGTGGTGTTTTTCTGTTTCTGAGTTGTTTCACTTAAAATAGTGGCCTCCAGTTTCATCCATGTTGCTACAAAGACAGGATTTCATTTCTTATTGCACATTTCTTATGTATGGCTTAAGATTACTTCTTTTTATATATATGAATTTAAGATATATATATGATATTTAAGATATATATATATATGCCACATTTTCTTTATCGAATCATCCATTGATGGGCACTTAAGTTGATTTCATATCTCTGCTACTGCGAATAGCGCCGTAATAAACATTTGAGTTCGTGTATCTTTTTGGTATAATGATTATACTAGACTTCTTTTCTCTTGTTTCCTTCCTACAGTCAGCAGAAGGGAGAAATTGCTCACCTCCTGAACCTGAGAAATTCACCAGGCCCTTCCCTTTGAAGAACCAATTGGTCAATCCTACTCCTAAAATTAGGCTTATAACTCAGAGAACACAGGCTCTCCTTTTCATTGTATCATCTGTGGTCCCCCAGCACACATCTCCCTGTGGCTAAAGTAGGATTGCAGCCACAAAACAGAATTTCTTAGACTCTACTCACTCACGGTCTTCAAGAAAGCTGAGGCCCTTGAAATTCTTCCCATATAATTCTGGGAAGGCGCAAGCTCATGCTTTGGCTGGCACATGCCTGTCTCCACATCCCCCCAACTTTTCTCTTCTGCCCTGGATCACAGTAATAATGACTTCCGTTGCTGCGGATGACAAGGAAGTAGCTGTGCTGTGGTTCCCGCCAGCACTGCCAGTGCCTCTGCCAAGGCTGCCAACTGAGCAGGGCTCATCTGGATCCCTCATGCTCTGTCCTTAACCATGGAAGATGCTGCTGCTGATGCCAGCAGAAAGAGCTGATTCCATCAATGTCCCCACTGCCTCTGCTGTCAGTCTCCATGCCACACCACACACACACCACTACAGAGACACTGATGTCAGTGACAAGGGCGCTCTCTCCTATTTCCACTGGCACCAATTCTGCTGACATCTTCAGCTCTCAGTACCCCATGGAGATTTTAGCAAACCACTCTTTTATTGGTTTTTACCTATTTTTTTACTGGAGCTGCCTAAACCCAGGACTCAGATATGAATCCAGAGTTGCTGAATCATTGGACAGCTGAGTGATAAACCCTTGGGCTGCATTTAGCATCACTCTTCCCCTCCTGTACTCACCCAGAATGTCCTTGAGCCAAGCCCTTGCTTTTCAGCTCTCCCTTCCTTAGAATGAGTTCTGTTCTCATGTAAACAGACCTCTGGCAGGCTTATCCTGCCAGTTCTCCCATTATGCCAAAAAATCCACTAAAGAGTACAGGAGAAAACCTAGGTAAAAATGAGTGACCAAAAATGGGGACATCTGCCCAGAAAAGAAACCTCTTGACAATACCCTTTAGATATATATGGCCTAACACAGTGGTTCTCAAATGATAAGCTGCCATAAAGAAAATACATTAGAAAATTTACTAAAGAGAATCCTGTTTATTTGTCCAGCCATTTGTTTCTTGTGAATGAGAACTTTTTCTCTTAATTATAGCTTTTAGTGACTGTCAGTAACAGATATTTATTGCACAATTTCTTAGAATTCAATTCTCTCATGACCATAAAGAGCTAATATTTCCACAGAATCAAGTTCTCAATGTTTCTTAGGGCCTTATTTAGAGTTAATGCCTGGATATCACAACAGTACCACAAGCTTAAGTCTACAAACTACTGCCTCATGCCCATTCCCTCAAGTAGACATTTGCGGGAGGGACAAACCCCAGTGTAATTGCACAAACTGTTAAGAGTGCTATGATTCTTCCAAGGTGCCTACCCACAGGGCTCATTCAGATACTACAGTCTCTTTTTCCTAGGAAAATTGAATTTTCCCTGAACATTTTCTCATAAGCTAGATTTCTTTCTTTTGAGGATCCCTGTAGCTTATATAAACCATCTCCACTTTTCTCTGGTCAAGCTGTGGTAAAGCAGAAGACGTCTGTTTCTAATTGTTTTCTTACTCTTGGCTTTGAACTTCACACGCTTTTAGCTGATGCACTTCCTGAAATCACTTCTTTCCCTGGGAGTCTAGCATTGCTAATGCAAACCATGGTCATCCCCTTGGGCAGGTTTTATCTGCACAGGAATGTCTTGATCAGAGATTGCTATTCATATATCCTGCTTGTGTGACTGTGGGTATTATTTGATTTGATTCTATTAGATCAAGTTCATGGTAGACTGTCTTTTCTTTCTATGCTACACTGATTTTATTATGCTTTTTACATGCCAGTGGTTCTCAATACCGCCACACTTAACCTTTTCTCTGAGAACATCCTTTCAGTAATTTATCATAAAATTGCACACTGACTTGAGCTTGGGTGTCTTCAGTCAGCTTTGTCTTGATCACAATTGTTGCTCCAGTCCGTGGGCTTTCAGATCAGGAGAACAAAGAGGAATGGAAAAAAGCACACAACGAGGAATTCGGAGTCTTGTGTAAATATTATTTACAAGGAAGCATGTACAATAAATGCCATTTTCTTTAAAAAAAGTATTTGAATGTAATATGTGACAGAACTCATGGAGTTTTACATTTCAAACACTTAACTACTTCTGTGTCTTTGAGCAGGCTCTTAATTTCTCTGTGTTTCAGCTCTCTTCTGCATAAAGTCAGAACAATCCTGTCTGCCCTGTCACCTCCTAGAAGTCAGGATCATGTGAGATAATCCCATGAGTTGATTTAAAAATATATAAGGCACTACTCACCTGTAATTTGTTAATATTGTCACTAGAAGAGTAGAAGTAACGTGTCTGGAGAAAGAAGTCATTTTCTTATTAAATGAGTTCCCTTAACTCTCAGCGTTGGCCTTCTGATAAGCAGTGTGTCAGTCTGTTTTGTGTTGCTATAAAGGAATACCTGAAATTGGGTACTTTATAAAGAAAAGAGGTTGATTTGGCTCGCAGTTCTGCAGGCTGAACAAACAAGGCACCAGCATCTGCTCGGCTTCTGGTGAGGGACTCAGGAAGCTTTTACTCACGGCAGAAGGTGAAGTGGGAGCAAGTGTGTCACACGGTGAAAAGGGGACAAAGAGAGAGGATGAAGTGCCAGCTCCCTTTAAGCAACCAGCTCTCGCATGAACTAACAGAGTAAGAATCCCTCATTACCACAAAGATGACACCAAGCCATTCATGAGGGGTCCGCCCCCATGACCCAAGCACTGCCCACTAGGCCCCGCCTCCAACACTGGGATCACATTGCAACATGAGGATTGAAGGGGACAAATATCCAAACTATATCCAACAGAATAGACAGTTTCTGTGTGGTGAAATTCCAAGAGACTTGGAAAACATCCTTGACCCAAAAGATGCCTTTGCCGCCTGCTCACTGATATTTAAAATACAATCAATCACCAAGGACACATTTAATGGTTAGTGACTAAAAACTCATGAAGGAAAAACACGCTGACATAGATTTATTAAAATGTATGGTAAAAATTAAGAACTGGTTCTAGAACCCATCCTAGGAGCAGGTTTGGATGTTATGGAGTCAGGCAATGCTTGCTTGGTATTCCTGTCTCATAAAGCTTGTAGAGTTTGACTTCCTCCAGATAGTTTCTCACTCTTGGTTCATCAGTTCATTTCCAAATGGCATTAAAAGATGGTCAAACAGCAATCGCCTCCCAGAATCACAGTTGATGATTGACCACAATGGGTATCCCCACCCCCATATTGGGGACTGCTGGTCCAGTCTGTAGGTCCACAGGCTGGGCTGGGATATTCAAAACCCTCTTACCAAAGCCAGGCTGAACCACAGTATGTCAAAAATGAAAGGACATTTTAGAGACTAATCAAGGAATCAGTAACTTAAATAGCCACAGAGGACTGGTGGGTAACATGAATGTGTGAATGAGGACGGTATGAGACAATAGAGAGTGGTAGGGTCTGTGGTAAACTAAAGAAGGAACACATGTGCACCACAGATATTTAAATTCAAATCTAATTGAAAGTTGTGTTGATCAAATCAAATATGTCCACAGAATGACCACATTTGGCCACTAGGCTGCCAGCGTGTGACTCCTGATCCAGCCCCACTTCATTATAAAGGCAACCTGTGGGTACTACTGCAGTCACAGGAGCCCGTAAGGCCCAAGCTACAATGTCTCAGCTTGACGGTTAAACTTCAAACTCCCTGCGTCCAGATGAACCTCAGTTGTTCCTGAATGCATCACAACTTTGTGATTCAGTCACCATGTGCTTCTGTTCTGCTCTTTCTCATCCTCTCCTGCTCTATCTCCTCTTGGGCTGCTAATTTTTTTTTTTTTTTTTTTTGAGATGAAGTCTCGTTCTTTCGCCCAGGCTGGAGTGCAGTGGCGTGATCTCGGCTCACTGCAAGCTCTGACTCCCGGGTTCACGTCATTCTCCTGCCTCAGCCTCCCGAGTAGCTGCGACTACAGGTGCCCGCCACCACGCCCAGCTAATTTTGTATTTTTATTAGAGACAGGGTTTCACCATGTTAGCCAGGACGGTCTCAATCTCCTGACCTCGTGATCCACCCGCCTCGGCCTCCCAAAGTGCTGGGATTACAGGCGTGAGCCACCACGCCCAGCCTTGGGCTGCTAATCTTAAAGCTGTGGGAAGAACCTCAGTGTATGGAATACCAATGGTGCCTTTTCAGAAACATCTATGTCTATTCCAAGGGTGCTACCCCAGTGTCCTCAACACACCACTTTCAGGCTGCAAAGAGGGGAGAATCACTCTCTGTTTGATTCAGTGCTGCACTTTGCCACCTGGGCCCCAAAGCCACACTGGGTGAGCCCAGAATAGCAGAAGGCCTCTTTGGAAAGCAGTCCCTATGGCTTCTTTTCTCTGTGCTCATCTCTCCTGCATAACTGTAAGATAAACACACAAACATCATCCATCTCTGTCAGAATGAGCCACAGGGCAGGCACGATGCACAGACCGCCAAGAAACGTTTTCTCCCCACCCATCCCACCACCAAATAAACAAAAGCAAATCTGCAAAATTGTTGCTTTCACTAAAATATTCCCAGGAGTTTACACTAACCAAAAGAATGCACCTTCTCTGTTTAAAGCCTCATCATGAAGAAAACTGTGATCGGTGCAGTAAGTTGGGACTTGGCTTATATTTGTGCAGCTAAAGGGCCTATTCAGTTGATTCTGCAAGAGCAAGGGTGTCCCCAAGAAGTACTGAATCTCACTTATAGCAAGACAGACAACTTCTGGCAATTTCTTTTTTTTTCTTTTTTTCTTTTTTTGAGACAGAGTCTCGCTGTGTCGCCCAGGCTGGAGTGCACTGGCACACTCTTGGCTCACTGCAACATCCACCTCCCAGGTTCATGCCATTCTTCTGCCTCAGCCCCCCGAGTAGCTGGGACTACATGTGCCCGCCACCACTCCCAGCTAATTTTCTGTATTTTTAGTAGAGACGGGGTTTCACCATGTTAACCAGGATGGTCTCAATCTCCTGACCTCGTGATCTGCCTGCCTTGGCCTCCCAAAGTGCTGGGATTACAGGCGTGAGCCACCACGCCTGCCGGGCAACTTTTAACTACAATGTTTTAGCTTCTACACATAGTACCTTAAAAAAAATTGTGGGATTGACTTTTATTCAGCGTATCGTGACACATGGTCATGCATCATGTAAGGTTGAGACTACATTCTGACAAATGCATCCAGAGGCGATTTTCGTCATTGTGTGAACCACATAGAATGTACTTACTTACCCAAATCTAGGTGGCATAGCCTGCTACACACTCTAGGTTCTACGGTATAGCCTATTGCTTGTAGGCTGCAAACCTGTAGAGTGTTACTGCTGAATACTGTAGGTGATTGTAACACAATGGTGAGTGTTTGTGTATCTAAACATACCTAAACATGGAAAAGGTACAGTAAAATGTATGACGTAGCAAACTTACGATACCACTGTCATCTATGCAGTCTGTCATCAACTGACATTTTGCAGTACATGACTGCATATTCATAAAGATTTTGAGATTTTAAGAGGAGATGTGTCTACAAATGATGCCACCAAGAGAGTGAAAACACAATCTACAAAACTGGAGAAAATATTTGCAAATTATATATCCGATAAGTAACTTGTATCTAGAATATATAAAGAACTCTTACAACTCAATGATAAAAAGATAAATTAAAAATGGGCAAAGATTCTAAATTTCTCCAAAGAACATGTGCAAATGGCCAATAAGCACATGAAAAGATGTTCAATGTCATTATTTATCAGGGAAATGCAAATAAGAACCATAGTGAGATACCGCTTGACACCCACAAGAGAGCTATAATCAAAAGGAGAGATAATAACAAGTGTTGTCGAGGATATGGAGAAATTGGTCCCTCAAACACTACTGGTAGGAATGTCAAATGGTGCAGCTGCTTTTGAAAACAGTTTTGCACTTCCTTAAAATGTTAAACACAGAGTTACCATATGATCCAGATATGTACCCAAGAGAGTTGGAAACATGAACACACAAAACTTGCACATGAGTGTTCATAGAACATTATTCATATTAGTCTCAAAGTGGAAACAACCCAAATGTCTATCAATTCATGAATGGATAAATAAATGCTATTTATTTATTTATTTACTTGTGAGATGGAGTCTCACTCTGTCGCCCAGGCTGGAGCGCGGTGGCACGATCTCGGCTCACTGCAACCTCCACCTCCCAGATTCAAGCAATTCTCCTGCCTCGGCCTCCCGAGTAGCTGGGACTACAGGTGCCTGACACCACACCCGGTTAAAGAGGGATAATATCCAGAATCTACAAAGAACTCAAACAAATTTACAAGAAAAAAAACAAAACAACCCCATCAACAAGTGGGCAAAGGATATGAACAGACACTTCTCAAAAGAAGACATTTATGCAGCCAAAAGTCACATGAAGAAATGCTCATCATCACTGGCCATCAGAGAAATGCAAATCAAAACCACAATGAGATACCATCTCACACCAGTTAGAATGGTGATCATTAAAAAGTCAGGAAACAACAGGTGCTGGAGAGGATGTGGAGAAATAGGAACACTTTTACACATTGGTGGGACTGTAAACTAGTTCAACCATTGTGGAAGTCGGTGTGGCGATTCCTCAGGGATGTAGAACTAGAAATACCATTTGACCCAGCCATCCCATTACTGGGTATATACCCAAAGGATTATAAATCATGCTGCTATAAAGACACATGCACGTGTATGTTTATTGGGGCACTATTCACAATAGCAAAGACTTGGAACCAACCCAAATGTCCAACAATGATAGACTGGATAAAGAAAATGTGGCACATATACACCATGGAATACTACTATGCAGCCATAAAAAATGATGAGTTCATGTCCTTTGTAGGGACATGGATGAAGCTGGAAACCATCATTCTCAGCAAACTATTGCAAGGACAAAAAACCAAACACTGCATGTTCTCACTCATAGGTGGGAATCGAACAATGAAAACACATGGACACAGGAAGGGGAACATCACACACCGGGGCCTGTGGTGGGGTCGGGGGAGGGCAGAGGGTTAGCATTAGGAGATATACCTAATGTTAAATGACGAGTTAATGGGTGCAGCACACCAACATGGCACATGTATGCATATGTAACAAACCTGCACATTGTGCACATGTACCCTAAAACTTAAAGTATAATAATAATTAAAAAAAAAAAAAAAAACTAGCCCAGTTCATGGCCCCTTTAGCAGCAGCCCTGAGACGTTTTACAGCCCTAGACCCTTAAAGGTCAGAAGGCCGTCTTATTCTCAATATGCATTTTATTTTATAACCCAATCTGCCCCCGACATGAAATAAAGCTCCAAAAATTAAATTCTGGCCCTCAAACCCCACAACAGGACTTAATTAACCTCGCCTTCAAGGTGTACAATAATAGAGCAGAGGCAGCCAAGTAGCAATGTATTTCTGAGTTGCAATTCCATGCCTCCACTGTGAAACAAACCCCAGCCACATCTCCAGCACACAAGAACTCCAAACGCCTGACCGCAGCTGCCAAGGGTTCCTCCAGAACCTCCTCCCCGAGGAGCTTGCTACAAGTACTGGAAATCTGGCCACTGGGCCAAGGAATGCCCACAGCCCAGGATTCCTCCCAAGCCATGTCCCATCTGTGCAGGACCCCACTGAAAATCAGACTGTTCAACTCACCTGGCAGCCACTCCCAGAGCCCCTGGAACTCTGGCCTAAGGCTCTCTGACTCCTTCCCAGATCTTCTCGGCTTAGCAGCTGAAGACTGACACTGCTCGATCACCTCGGAAGCCTACGAGACCATCACAGATGCTATGGGTAACTCTCACAGTGGAGGGTAAGTCCTTCCCCTTCTTAGTCAATACAGAGGCTACCCACTCCACATTACCTTCTTTTCAAGGGCCTGTTTCCCTTGCCTCCATAACTGTTGTAGGTATTGACAGCCAGGCTTCTAAACCTCTTAAAACTCCCCAACTCTAGTGCCAACTTAGACAATACTTTTTTAAGCACTCCTTTTTAGTTATCCCCACCTGCCCAGTTCCCTTATCAGGCTGAGACACTTTAACTAAATTATCTGCTTCCCTGACTATTCCTGGACTACAGCTGCATCTCATTGCCGCCCTTCTCCCCAACCCAAAGCCTCCTTTGCATCTTCTTCTCCTATCCCCCAACCTTAACCCACAAGTATAGGACATCTCTACTCCTTCCCTGGCAACTGATCACATGCCCATTACTATCCCATTAAAACCTAATCACCCTTTCCCCGCTCAACGCCAATATCCCATCCCACAGCACACTTTAAAAGGATTAATGCCTGTTATCACTCGCCTGCTACAGCATGGCCTTTTAAAGCCTATAAACTCCCCTTGCAATTCCCCCTTTTCACTGGTCCTAAAACCAGACAAGGCTTACACGTTAGTTCAAGATCTGCACCTTATCAACCAAATTGTTTTGTCTATCCACCCCATGGTGCCAAACCTATATACTCTCCTATCCTCAATACCTCCCTCCACAATCCATTATTCTGTTCTAGATCTCAAACATGCTTTCTTTACTATTCCTTTTCACCCTTCAACCCAGCCTCTCTTCGCTTTCACTTGGACTAGACCCTGACACCCATCAGGCTCAGCAAATTACCTGGGCTGTACTGCCACAAAGCTTCACAGACAGCCCCCATTACTTCAGTTAAGCCCAAATTTCTTCCCCATCTGTTACCTATCTCAGCGTAATTTTCATAAAAACACACGTGCTCTCCCCGCAGATCATGTCCAGCTGATCTCTCAAACCCCAACACCTTCTACAAAACAACAACTCCTTTCCTTCCTAGGCATGGTTAGATACTTTCAACTTTAGATACCTGGTTTTGCCATCCTAACAAAACCATTATATAAACTCACAAAAAGAAACCTAGCTGACCCCATAGATCCTAAATCCTTTCCCCACTCCTCTTTCTGTTCCTTGAAGACAGCTTTAGAGACTGCCCCCACCCTAGCTCTCCCTGACTCATCCCAACCCTTTTCATTACACACAGCCAAATTGCAGGGCTGTGCAGTCAGAATTCTTACACAAGGACCAGGATCGTGTCCTGTAGCCTTTTTGTCCAAACAACTTGACCTTACTGTTTTAGACTGGCCATCATGTCTCCGTGCAGTGGCTGCTGCCACCCTAAAACTTTTAGAGGCCCTCAAAATCACAAACTATGCTCAACTCACTCTCTACAGCTCTCATAATTTCCAAAATCTATTTTCTTCCTCACACCTGACGCATATACTGTCTGCTCCCCGGCTCCTTCAGCTGTACTCACTCTTTGTTGAGTCTCCCACAATTACCATTGTTCCTGGCCCGGACTTCAATCCTGCCTCTCACATTATTCTGGATACCACACCTGACCCTCATGACTGCATCTCTCTGATCCACCTGACGTTCACCCCATTTCCCCATATTTCCTTCTTTCCTGTTCCTCACCCTGATCACACTTAGTTTATTGATGGCAGTTCCACCAGGCCTAATCGCCACACACCAGCAAAGGCAGGCTATGCTATAGTACAAGCCACTAGCCCGCCCCTTAAAACCTCTCATTTCCTTTCCATCGTGGAAATCTATCCTCAAGGAAATAACTTCTCAGTGTTCCATCTGCTATTCTACTACTTCTCAAGGATTATTCAAGCCCCCTCCCTTCCCTACACATCAAGCTCGAGGATTTGCCCCCACCCAGGACTGGCAAATTAGCTTTACTCAACATGCCCCAAGTCAGATAACTAAAATACCTCTTAGTCTAAGTAGACACTTTCACTGGATAGGTAGAGGCCTTTCCTACAAGGTCTGAGAACGCCACCACAGTCATTTCTTCCCTTCTGTCAGACATAATTCCTCAGTTTAGCCTTCCCACCTCTATACAGTCTGATAACAGACCAGCCTTTATTAGTCAAATCAGCCAAGCAGTTTTTCAGGCTCTTAGTATTCAGTGAAACCTTTATATCCCTTATGGTCCTCAGTCTTCAGGAAAGGTAGAACCTACTAATGGTCTTTTAAAACACACCTCACCAAGCTCAGCCACCAACTGAAAAAGGACTGGACAACATGTTTACCACTTTCCCTTCTCAGAATTCAGGCCTGTCCTTGGAATGCTACAGAGTACAGCCCATTTGAGCTCCTGTATAGACGCTCCTTTTTATTAAGCCCCAGTCTCATTCCAGACACCAGACCAACTTGGACTGTGCCCCAAAAAACTTGTCACCCCTATTATCTTCTGTCTAGTCATACTCCTATTCTCCGTTCTCAACTACTCATACAAGCCCTGCTCTTGTTTACACTGCCAGTTTACACTGTTTCTCCAAGCCGTCATAGCTGATATCTCCTGGTGCTATCCCTAAAATGCCACTCTTAACTCTTGAAGTAAATAAATAATCTTTGCTGGCAGGACTATGCTGAATCTCCTTTGGCACTCTCTAATTAGATGTCCTAGGTCCTCCCAATTCTTAGACCTTTAATACCTGTTTTTCTCCTTCTCTTATTCCGTTTAGTTTTTCAATTCATACAAAACCGTGTCTAGGCCATCACCAATAATTCTACATGACAAATGTATCTTCTAACAACCCCACGATATCACCCCTTACCACAAAGTCTTCCTTCAGCTTAATCTCTCCCACTCTAGGTTCCCACGCCACCCCTAATCCCACTCGAAGCAGCCCTGAGAAACATCGCCCATTATTTCTCCATACCACCCCCGAAAATTTTTACCGTCCCAACGCTTTACCACTATTTCATTTTATTTTTCTTATTAATATAAGAAGACAGGAACGTCAGGCCTCTGAGCCCAAGCTAAGCCATCATATCCCCTGTGACCTGCACGTACACATCCAGATGGCCGGTTCCTGCCTTAACTGATGACATTCCACCACAAAAGAAGTGAAAATGGCCTGTTCCTGCCTTGACTGATGACATTATCTTGTGAAATTCCTTCTCCTGGCTCATCCTGGCTCAAAAGCTCCCCTACTGAGCACCTTGTGACCCCCACACCTGCCCGCCAGAGAACAACCCCCCTTTGACTGTAATTTTCCTTTACCTACCCAAATCCTATAAAATAGCCCCACCCCTACCTCCCTTCACTGACTCTCTTTTTGGACTCAACCCACCTGCACCCGGGGGAAATAAACAGCCTTGTTGCTCACACAAAGCCTGTTTGGTGGTCTCTTCACTTGGACGTACATGAAACTACGTATTTTGATAAGTTATTTTTTATTTTCATTTAATTCAAATATTTTTAATTTGAGACTTCTTTCTTTCACCCATGTGTTATTTTTAAACATATTGTTTAACCTGTAAATATTTGGGGGTTTTCCAGCTATCTTTCTGTTATTGATTTCTTCTTTAGTTCCACTGTGGTTTGACAGCATATTTTGCATGATTTCTATGCTTTTAAATTTGTTAAGGTGTGTTTTTAAGGCTCAGAATGTGGCCTATCTTGGTGAATGTTCCATGTGAACTTGAGAAGAATGTGAATTCTACTCTTGTTGGATGAAGCAATCTATGAATGTCAATTTGACCCAGTCGATTGATGCTACTGTTCAACTCAACTATGTCCTTACTGATTTTCTGCCTTCTATTTCTGTCAATTGCTAATAGAGGGGTATTACTTTCTCCAACTATAATAGTGGATTTGTCTATTTCTACTTGCAGTTCTGTTAGTTTTTACCTCATGTATTTTGTTGCTCTGTTGTACATACACATTAAGGATTGTTATGTCTTCTTGGAGATTTTACCTCTTTGTCAAAATAATGTCCCTCTTTAACCCTGATAATTTTCTTTGCTTTGAAGTCTGCTTTAAAATGGAGGTTTCTATGTTAGATACAAAATAAAAATATTTATTTTTTGCAGTTTACAAAATAAATGAACTAAAAACAATTTTACAGAATGTTTAAAAACAAAGGGATAGAATAAAGGCAAAACTAACCAAAAAGGTCTGATGTGGTAATAT
The DNA here is from genome assembly GCF_000001405.40 of Homo sapiens. NCBI lineage: Eukaryota > Metazoa > Chordata > Mammalia > Primates > Hominidae > Homo > Homo sapiens. Next base: position 111,056,875 of record NC_000011.10, read on the forward strand.
TCAATATTAAGCAAATTAGAATTTAAAATAGAACTTAAAAGAATTAACAAAATTAACATTAATTAACAAAACATAACCTAATTAAATAAAGAGAGATACTGTTACAGTAGACAGGCAGACATCAGAAAGGCAGGAGAGGGCCCCACCAACCAGCAGGAATGCCAGGCGACCATCAGGTGATAGTCAGGTGGTTGTTAAACTGTCGAAAATGATAATTGGTCACAGCCAGTGCCAGGAAAAGGCAGTCTCCCAATAGGTAGAAAACATTTGAAATTGGTGATCAGCAGCTTCCTGATATGATCTCAGGAGTTTGGCAAGTGGGCTCAAGCGTGCACACTAAGAGGCAAAATGGCAGAGTTTAACTGGTATATGACCTTCCTCTTGGAACACTCGACTGGTAAGGGAAAAATGCCTCAAGTGAGCATGAGTACAACATCTGTGAACACATTGCACATGTGGCCCCTTGCAAGGGCTGGCAGAGCACTATGCATGTGGATAGCCCACCCCAAGGGAAGAGTCAGGGGAGAAGTAATGCAACCCCGGAAGCATGCCAATGTATAAAGCCTCAAGTCAGGCCGGGTGCAGTGGTTGATGCCTGTAATCCCAGCACTTTGGGAGGCCGAGGCGGGCGGATCACGAGGTCAAGAGATTGAGACCATCCTAGTCAACATGGTGAACTCCTGTCTCTACTAAAAATAGAAAAATTAGCTGGGTGGTGCATGCCTGTAGTCCCAACTACTTGGGAGGCTGAGGCAGGAGAATCACTTGAACCCGGGAGGCGGAGGTTGCAGTAAGCCGAGATCACGCCACTGAACTCCAGCCGGGCAACAGAGTGAGACTCCGTCTCAAAAAAAAAGCCTCAAGTCAAAGGTCAAACCATGCACTTGATTCTCTTAAGTCAGCCACTTGGCCCTCTTCCAAGTGTACTTTACTTCCTTTCATTCCTGCTCTAAAACTTTTTAATAAACTTTCTCCCCTACTCTAAAATTTGCCTGGGTCTTTCCTTTGGCCTTATGCTCCTTTGTCAAATTCTTTCTTCTCAGGAGGCAAAAATTCAGATTGCTGCACAGCTGTATGGATTTGCCACTGCTAATAATACTATATAATAATAAACATGAAACCTCTCCAAAAAGATATAACAAATATAACTGTATATGTACCTATCAACCTCATCTTAGACTACATAAAAATAAAAAATTGACACATTTACAAGGAGAAATGGATTAATCTACAAGCATTAGTTGTTGACAGTTTTAATATACTCTTCTCAAAAAGAACAAGCAGACAAGAAAATTATAAGAATGCATAAATTTGAACAGTATAATTAACATATTTAATCTGATCAATATGTATAGAACCCTGTACTTTACGAATAAAGAATACATTTTTGTTTTTCAAAGACATGAATTAGTTACAAAAAATGACCATGTACTAGAACTCACAAAGGAAATATCAACCTCTTCTGAAGAACTTAGAACATGTTCTCTAACAATGCAATTAAACAAGAAACTTTTTTTTACTTTGAGCAAAAACATTGAAACACACACACAAATAACACAGCTTTTCTCACCATTCTCGGGTGCTAAGCCTTCAAATCACTTTCATTCACAAGAACAGTCATTTTAATTCACATAACTGCATATTCTCACCCAGTTTAAAAATTTTCTCTTTTCAATTCCAGTTTGCTTCACCCAGGAAACTGCAGAGGGGCAGGGGGTAGCTGACTTTTCTCTCCTTGTGAGCCTTGCTGGCCTCTGTCTCCACCTCCCTCCCACATTGCTTCTGGGCCTGCAAAGTTGAAGGCTGAATGTGGGCGATCACTGGAGGAGAAATAAGAGACAAGAAACATGCTCTTGCCTGCCTGCATAGACATAACCTGGAGATGGTACCCTGGAGCATGACCTGCTAACTACATCTCCCTCAGGGCATTTTGTGACTTCCTCAGAGATGGTCCCAGGGGGATCCTTAAATTGCAACTGACTTGACAGGGAAACTGAGGCTCACACAGGTAATGGATTCTTCTCAGCCAGACATTGTAGTTCCTCCTTCTTGAGCATCCATCAGCCCACCCCTATTGGGTCTCATGGCTCTTCAGGCAATCTTGGGTGGAATTTAAAAAGGCTCAAGGGCCAAGTGCAGTGACTCATGCCTGTAATCCCAGCACTCTGGGAGGCTGAGGTGGGAGGACCACTTGAAGCCAGGAGTTCCAGACTAGCCTGGGCAACAAAATGAGACACTATCTCTACAAAAAATAAAATAAAATAAATTAGTCAGGCATGATGGCACATATCTGTAGTCCCAGCTACTCAGGAGGCAGAGGTGAGAAGACCGCTTGAGCCCAGGATTTCAAGGCTGCAGTAAGTTAATATGATCATTGCACTAGCCTAGGTGACAGAGCAAGACCCTGTGTCATAAATAAATAAATAAATAAATAAATAAATAAATAAATAAATAAATAAATGGGCTCCCCACACTGATCTGTGTGAGCCAAAGCTGTTTTCTGAGAAGCATGCCCTCATCTTTCCTCCACCAAGAATGGAAAAACTCCCAGTGCAGCTCCTCTCTCTTGAATTGGCCACCTTAGATAGATCTAGCCACAACTTTCAATCTAGTCTTTATGTTCCCCCGATTCCAGCATGCATCATTTAAGGTACTTGATTTTTTTCTCTTGAGTCCCCCTGTTTCTCCTGGCTTAAGAAGAGGCAGAAACGAGAGCCCTCTCCTTTTCCACCCCTTGAGGTGGGATGGGGGACCGGGAAGAGAAATACACAGGTATTTGACATCTTACTACACAGACATCTTCTATGATCCCTCTAAATGGATGATTGCATAACAGTACAAAAAAATGAGTTTTATGCCACCCTCTTTGAAAGTCTTGCACTGGTGGTTTAAACACCCTATTTTGGAATCTAGGAATATTTGGTCTTTTGAAAGAGGCCAGAAAGAGGCCATTTAATAACCTGTTTCATGACCATCATTATTACTAAGCAATGGAACACATAAATAAATAGGATGGATCTTTGTCTTTATGAGTCTCCATTTCTAGAAACATGCATTACACATTTGCATGGTATTTTCAGGCTTACTCACCTTAACCCCAAGGGCTATGGGAGTGCCAGGAAGTCATGGCAGCTGGGAAAGCAGATCATTGGGAGGCAAGAGAAGATCCAGCCATTCTAGCTTTTCTCAAATTCAAACTCATACATTTAAGCAATTGTGAATTTATCAAGTGCTTCTTATTTTTCCTAATTTCATATTCATGGTGACCCCTGTGACTTTGTATTATTTTCCCAAGTTCTTCCTACAGAGTAGTACACTGAAACTCAGAAAAGTTAAGTTCTTATTTAAGGTTATGCAGCTGGTTTACAGCATAGAGGAACTTGAACTCACGCCCTCTCTCCAGCACGCTACGCTCTTGCCTAGCTGCATTAAGAACCCACAGAGTTTAGCTGCTTCTTACCAAAAAGTTGAGATGGAGTAGATTTTCAAAAGGCAATATTTAAAAAAAAAAAAAGCAGGGTGAACACTCCTGCTAGTCAGCCCCAGAGTTCAAATTAAGAAGTTCCACTAGGTAATCATGCATATATTTGGAACTGTGTATTGCAGAGTCTCTTAGATATATGGTTTTCTGGGAATGCATTTGTCATGTTTAGCATTCTAGCTTATTTCTGAGATTGGAGATAAGTCTCTGAAAATATCGGTCTAATAAGGAAGAAGCACTAAGCAAGAGGCTCCAGAGAGTGGCTCCAAGTTGGGGTGGACAGAGGTTTTGATTACTTTGTGATTTATCACGTTTAATTTTCAAAACAAATTAAAATATTTTCCCTCCATTTCATGCCCCAAAGCCTTGGGACTACGTATGGCAGTCTCTCTTGGCAGCTGAAGCAGTTTGGAAGAAATAAGTGGCTTCTCATAAGAGTGAGTGCGGGAATGCAAGATGATATCAACAGCATGTGACCAGACCACTTGGCTCCCATATGCGTCCCCCGTAAATGAAGTTGGTCAGATGACCCATAAATATAATGTATAAGACAGGCATCAGGACTGTTGCTACTCACCCTTTCAGTGTGGGTCTCTTATTGATTGTTACCAATCCAACTCCAGCAAGTGACAGCCAGGAGTCCTTTTTCCAAAAGACAGACCTTTAGCTATAATATTTTGTCATAATCGTGTGGCTTGTGTTTTATCAGACAAGAAATCAATGTTGTATATCTAATTTAATTCAAATTAAGGAAAAGAAACTCTATGAATATATGTGGGGAAACACTTTTTTTCAATTTTATCTGCCTAGAAGTAGAATTATTTTTAAATAATTCTCAAGCAAAAATAAATTAAGACCTTACACCTGCCATAAAAATCAACTCAAAATGCATCATAGCCCTAAATGTAAAACATAAAATTATAAAACTCCTACACAGGAGAAAGCCAAGGTCACCTAGGTAACCTTGGGTATGGTGATGACTTCTCAGATACATAACAAATGGCATGAGCCATAAAAGAAATAATAAGCTAGACTTTATTAAAACTAAAAACTTCTGCTCTGCAAAAGGCCATGTCAAGAGAATGAGAAGACAAGCCACAGCCTAGGAGAAAATATTCGCAAAAAAAAAATACCTGATAAAGGACTTTTATTCCAAACACAAAAAAACTTTTAAAACTCAAAGATAAGAAAACAAACAACCCAATTAAAAACTGAGCCAAAGATCTTAACAAATACCTCACCAAAGAAGATATACAGGTGGCAAATAAGCATATGAAAAAATAGATATTCAACATTATATGTCATCAGGGTAATACAAATTAAAACAACAAAGAGATCCCACACACACCCACTAGAATAGCCAAAATCCAGAACACTGACAATGCCAAATGTTGACAAGGATGTAGAGCAACAGGAGCTCTCATTCATTGCTGGCAAGAACGAAAAATGGTGCAGCCACTGTAGAAGACAGCTTGGTGGTTTCTTACAAAACTAAACATACTCTTAACCATACAATTCAGCAATCATGCCCCTTTCTATTTACCCAAAGGAGTTAAGAACTTATGTCCATATAAACACCTGCACACAGATGTTTATAGCAGCTTTATTTATAATTACGAAAACTGGAAGTAACCAAGATGTCTTTCAATAGTCAAATGAATAAATAAACTATGGTAAATCCAGACAATGGCATATTATTCAGCGCTAAAAAGAAATTAGTATCTAGCCAGGAAAGACATGGAGGAATCTCAAAAGCATATTACTAAGTAAAAGAAGCCAATCTGAAAAGGCTACATAGAGTGTAATTCCAAATATATGATGTTCTGCAAAAGGTAAAACTTTTTTTTACTATTATAGAGGCATTAAAAAGATCAGCAGTTGCCAGCAGTTAGTGGAGAGAGCAGGATGAGTAGCCAGAGCTCAGGAAAGTTTTAGGGCAGTGAAAATACTCCAAATGATACTACAATAGTGCATACATGTCATTAAACATCTGTCCAAACCCATAGAATGTATAACACCAAGAGTGAATCCTAATATAAACTATAGACTTGGATCAATGTAGGTTCATCAGTTGCAATAAATGTACTGCTTTCGTTGGGGATGTTAATAATGGGAGAGCCTGTGCATGTGTGGGACCAGGAGATATATGCGAAATCTCTGTGCCTTCCTTCCAATTTTGCTGTGAACCTGAAACTGCTCTAAAACAGTGAAGTCTTTTTAAAAATGCACATATGCACACAAGTAAAATAAAATAAAATAGGGAGTAGTTTGACCCCACCATTATTCAGGGAGTTGACTCAGGCCTGGGACACATGAGTTGGAAGCCATTTCTTGAAGTGCTCAGGGAAGTGTCACAAGGACAGCCCCGAGCTTATGCAGGTAAACTGGGGCCACACCACACCCTAGAGTCTCTGTCTCTGGGCTTCAGTTGTCTCATCTGAAAAATTGAGAGTATCATGCAAATCTGAAAGCGGAGAAATCAACCAATTATTTTGTAAAGTCTATTCAAAGGCTTACATTTGTGACTATATGATATTCTATCCATGAAATGCCCTTCAACAAATTGAGGGAAAGAAAGGAGATTATGTTTGTGTCTTGCAAGAGTCAGTGGCATAGTGGGGAATAGCACAGTTTTTGGTGAGGGCTGCCTGAGTGTGAATCTTGGCTCAGCCATTCAATGGATGTGTGACTTGGGCAGGGAGGTCAGTTGCCCTTCTCTGCACCTTGGCTTTATCATCTTTACACCTCACAGGGTTGTAGTCAAGATCAAATGAGTTCGCACATATAAAGCATTAGAATAGTACGTGGCACATAGTAACCTCTTAGTCAATGTTAGCTATTACTATTCTCCTTTTTCATACACATTAGTGTACAAAGATAGACCCTCCAACCCAGTAAATATATTCAAGGTGGGACAGAGGAAGGACCCACCAGAATAGTGTTATCTGGCCTGTAAGAGTGAACTTAGGTTACATCCAAGTATTTAGATGAGTAATAATGAGTAGTTGACTCCTATGATGTACAGACACCTTGCTGGGCACTTTATATGCATTATCTTTGATGTTGTTAATAATCTTTCAAGGTAGATAGTAAAGCATTATTACTCTTCTCATTTCACAGATGAGGAAAATGAAGTTAGAATACGTGTCCAAATCCACAGGGTAAGTGGCAACACAGCAATTCAAACCCAAGCCCATTTAAATTCTCAAACATGCTGCCTCCAGAGTAAGCATGGCCACTCTTTGAATGCCCACTTTGGGCCAGGTATGCTGCTGGCCACTTGGCTTTATGCAATGTCTCTAGACCTTATAGTCCTACAGAATGGGCATTATTATCTCTACTTCTTTTCTCAAAGATCTGCACCAAGCCTCCTATTTTCTTTGCATAGTGCTTACCAGCAACAGTGAGGTGGGAAGCATCTGAAATTTTTCAAAGTAGGAGTTGAGATGACATTGCTGACAACACTCGGATATATTTATTTCCAACCATGCCAACTGGCACTCTGGCACTTCATATTAAATAATGAGGCTCATTCAAGCTGGAGGGATGACTCATTCATTGCCTGTCAGTACTAACTAGTGAGACTTGCTGACTACAGCCTAAAGCCAGGGACCCTCTCTCATTAGTGGTGGGGATGCCTACCCTCACCTCCCAGCAAGAACTAAGGGCTTAGCATCCTCATTCCCACTTCCAACCGTTACCCTACCCCCACTTGCCTTGAGAAGCCAACACAAGCGACAGAAAGCTGAGCCTAATTACCCTAATGGCCTGTCACAGCACAACAGCTCATGAAATCTTTACTCAGGGGTGAGTGCCCAGGCTTGCATATTTATTTTTAATTATAGCATCTCACAAAGTCAAGAGAAGTTGGAATTTGCCTTGCTGTGACATTTAGGAGTCCCCAACTCAGTTGTAGTTTGCTTATTTTGGGTGAGTACTCTCATCAGGCATGCTGTCCGCAGGGGCTGACCATTTGTGGTCATCTCACGTCCTGTGTTTGCTTGGCTGCAGCAAGAAGCAGGCTGCTGCAACCGCTGGTCATTTGTATCTGTTTGGAAGATTCAACAGGAGAGGGAGGCTTGCAGAAAACAAGCTTATGAGATGAGGGTGCATTGCTGAGCTCTGCAATATTATTTTCTTGCAAACTTGTGTGGTTCCTTTACCTCTCTGGTCCTCATTTTTCAAATGTGGATTTTAAGTTACAGCTAAAACAGGTGATTTCTAAGAATTTTGAGATAAAATAATCAACCTTTTGATTCTAGAAGCATCCATACCTGAGCCTTGCCAAAGGGATGCTATTCTGTTCAAAATCCTGCAAAGTGAAGTATTTCCCAGTTCTCCCTTTCTGTCTTCCCATGGTAAGCCATTTCTGGAGTTAGCAAGTCTTGTCATAAGCAAGGTGCTTTCTTAAACATTCTCTAATTAGCACTCTTTCTTTATAATCTTTTATTTATAATCTTTAGAAAGGCCAATCCTGTTATTTGGCTGCCTCTCTAAGTCTTCTTACAGTCTAAAGTCTCTCTAATTTAGACTTCTTGCCAGAATTTGGGAGTCGGCCTTGTTATTCATCAGCGTTCTCTTTGACCCAGAAGATTCTTAAGCCTCATTCTCCCAAAAGAGGTGGGCTTGTGCTGCAGTTCAATGGAACATTTCTCAAAAAGTGTTCTATAGAACACAGGTTACCAGGGATATAAAGTAAGTGCTCCAAGAAAGGGCTCTGAAATCAAACACATTTTGGAAATTCTGGGCTGAACAGAGTTGAATAAGCATCTTATCCTAGGAAGTTGGGGTCTCTCTTCCTTGCCTGTTAGAACTGGGACTGCGGAATTAGAAAACTGGGGCAGAATTGTCCTATCCTGGCAGTTACCTGAACCTTCCAGACAGGAGAAGAAAGTGAGAGAAATACCTTTCACTCCTCCCAGGCTAAACCCCACCTCTGCTACAGAGGACATCGTAGAGGAATGAACAAAGTCAAGGTCTTGGAAAGTACACAAGCCACCAATGCTCACCTCCCAGCTCTGCACTTTCTACTTGTGTGATATTAGGCATATTCTCTCTCCAAGCTCTATATCCTTAACAAAGGAATAGGGATAAAAATACCTGCCATGCAGGGTTGTTGTGAAAAGTAACTGAGAAAACACAAATAAAAGGTTTACAGTTACTCAGACAATTTCAAATATTGTCAGAACCAAAATCCAATTCCCTTGATTACCAAACAAGCCACCTACCCCTATTTGGAGATGGGGTAGGGGACACTCATGTCCCTTCTAACTGAGGCACCCCGTCCCTTCTTCCTACTTAGAAATGGTATTGTCCAGACCCCAAGACAGACATGCCTGCTCAAGGGATGCCAAGCCTGACTTTGAACAGCATTGACAGCCAATCCCTGCCACAGGCAGGAAATTCTGTGGAGGAGCAGCTTGTCAGCAGTTTGAAAACCCATGGAGACACCAGAAATGGAAGATTGCAGTGTCCTCTGGAGAGTGAAAAGGGAAGCACCCCATTCCTGATGTCAGCAGGAAGCCCTGCAGGGCCATCCTGACTACAGGAGAAGTGGGGTGTCCTCAGGAGACCAATCAATTTTCTTTTGCCACCTCCAGTCTCTAAACAAGATGAAAACTACCAGCCCTTAGGCATGTTTCAGTTGGCTCACGCAGTGGTTTTAAAAAGTCACGTTAGTTGCCAAGGTTTAAAAATTCAGAGAGTCCACATAAAAATTCACATTTATAGCTTCTTTTCTTTTTTAAATCTAAATATTCCTGCATCATAGCAATTGATCAGGTTAGAGTAGATGCAGTCCTCTTTAGAGGATGGTAGCAACTCCATTCTCCAGTAACCATCCTTCCCTATTTTATTATAACTTGTCTTCTTGACTTACTGTGTTACTCAATGGCACTTCCAGGCATCTGAAATGGAACATAATTTATTTAACAAATTGTGTGCAGGTACTGTCCTGGGCTAAATGTACAAAACAAGCTAGTGAGGGAGGAAGATATGCAAACAATGGCAACAGTACTTAGATGCTCTGGCAGACATAGACAAAGCCTGTGGGACTCCAGAGGTGGGAAGGACAATTGCCTAAAAATAATAATACTTAGAATTTATTGAGTGTCTACTATGTGCCAAGAATTTATCTGCCTAAGGAGTCAGGAACACCTTCACAAAAATGTTTCAGTTGGGGAGCCCTTCAAGAATAAGAACATTGTCAAGTAGAGAGGGGCATTTCAGACAAAACTGCATCTTCAAAGGCTGTAGCAAATTAAATGCTTACCAACAGTGTATGAGGGTTCCCTTTCCTGCACATATGCACCCATTTTTTAAATCAGATTACAGTAGACCTCCCCAACTTATATAAGGAGGATATGTTCCAAGACCGCTAGTGAATGCATGAAACCATGGATGTTATCAGTACCAAACCTTATATGTACTGTAGTATGTTTTTTCTGTACATACAAACTTATGATAAAGTTATAATTTATAAATTAAGTACAATAAGAGTTCAACAATAATAACTAATAATAAAATAGAACAATTATAACAGTATACAGTAATAAAGGTTATGTAAATGTGGTCTCTCTTTCTCTCTCAAAACTTCTTATTGTACCATATTCACCTATTTTCAGACCACAGTTGACCACAAGCAACTGAAACCTCAAACCCTGGAAAGAAAAACCGCAGGAAAGGGGGGACTGTTTAATTTGGTTTTGGATATTGAGTTGTGTGAACAAGCCAAGAGAGTCCAGTGAACAATGGAAATTATGACGTGGTTGCTGCCTTAGTTGCCTGAGGGGCTGGGATGAGAGAAGGGCCTATCAGCTTAGTTGGGGGCTGGAGGGACTCTGAACTCTATCCTACAGCCAATGGGAATGCATCAGGATTATTTTTTATTTTAAAATATTTAATTGACAAGTAAAGATTGTATATATTCAAAGTGTGCAATGTGATGATTTGATATAAATGCATATATAAATAGTGGAATGATTATCAAAATCAAATCAATCAACATGTCCATCATCACCCATGCTGTACATCAGAACCCAAGAACTTGATCATCTTAAACCTGAAAGCTTGTACCCTTTGATTGACATCTCTACATTTCCCCCACCCCAGTCCCCTAGTAACCATCATTTCATTCTTTGATTCTATGAGTTTGACTTTTTTAGATTACACTTATAAGTAGATCATATAGTATTTGCCTTTCTGTGTCTGGCTTATTTTACTTATTTTCCTTTGGGTTCATCCATAAATAGTAGTCTTTTCATAAATAGTAGTCTTTCCTTCTTTTTATGGTTGTATAGTATGCCATTGTATACATGAGTATATGTATATATACACAATGGAATATTACATGTAGAATATATATTATTTATATGTTTTCATAATGGCTGTATCAATTTACATTTCCACCAAGAGTATATAAGGGTTGACTTTTCTCCACACCCTCACCAACACTTGGTATCTCCTGTCTTTTTTATGATAGCCATCCTAACATGTGTGAGGTGATATTTCACTGTGGTTTTGACTAGCATTTCTCTGATGATTCATGATTTCTTCTAGGAGTTTTGCAGTTTCAGATCTTACAGTTAAGTCTTTAATGCATTTTGAGTTAGTTTTTGTATGTGGTGTAGAGCAAGAGTCCAATTTCATTCTTTTGCATGTGGATATCCAGTTTTCCCAACATCATTTAATGAGGAGACATTTCTTTCCCCACTGTATATTCTTGGTACCATTGTCAAAAACTAGTTGACCATATATACATGGATTCATTTCTATGGTCTCTTTTCCATTCCATTTGTCTATGTGTCTGTTTTTATGCCAGTACCATACTGTTTTGATTACTGTCGTTTTGTAATATAGTTTTAAATCAAGAAATAGGATGCCTCCAGCTTTATTCTTCTTTCTCAATGTTGCTTTGTCTAATTAGGGTCTTTTGAGATTACACACATATTTTAGGACATTTTTTCTATTTCTGTGAAAAATGCCATTAGAATTTTTATAAGGATTGCATTGATTCTGTAGATTGTTTAGGTTATATGACATTTTAACAATATTAATTCTTCCAATCCATGAACATGGGATACATTTCCATATATTTGTGTCATCTTCTATTTCTTTTATCAATGTCTCATAGTTTTCAGTGTACAGATCTTTTATCTCCTTGATTAAATTTATCCCTAAGTATTTTATTCTTTTTATGCTGTTGTAAATGGGATGGTTTTCTTAATTTCTTTTTCAGATAGTTTATTTTTAGTGTATAGAAATGCATCTAAGTTTTAACTAGCTTCTCTACAGCCCTTCCTTACAACAGACTTAGATAGAGGTAAAGAGTCAAGGATCCTGAAAAGGAGGAGAAACAGAGGGATGGAGCCCGTGCTAGTCACTGCCCTGTCCAGACTACTGAAAAGTGAGGCTGGTGTGAATTCGCCTAGACTGGTCCCTACTACCCTTACTCAAGTCTTCTATAAGACATATTCAGGGAATTCAAAGTTTGCATAGATATTAGTCCAAGTCCACATAATGAGAAAGGTAAAGATGATGCCAAACATACTGACAATGCATTTGAAACCCAAGTGTGATTCATATCCCTCTATCTTGAGTTAATAATATTCCTTCCACATCAGAAGATAGGTTTGAGTCTTTCTAAGTGTCTATAAACATACGTTTTCTCTCAAAGCCATGCTCAAAATACCGTTTAGAAACACATGCTTTCATCACTGCTCCTTCCAGCATCTTCTTTATTTTTTGTTAAATACTTCTGCTTAGTGAATCACTTCCTTTTGGCAATGCCTATTCATGCTAATATGCAAAGGGGTCATGGGGCAGGTCTGGGGCCACTTTGCCATGCAGATTATTTAGAAGAAGCAACATGAGAGCCCTTTGGGAAATTCTCTAATGTAACTGAATCAGAAAGTAATATCCTGTTTTGTCTGCACTCTGCTCTAGTCCTCATGTGTCCTGTAGGGGAATCCTGGAGTTTCTCCCTGCCTGCTGAAAAATAAACAAACCACCGGCTCCCAGCCCTACCCTAGAGCCATCCTAGGGAATTACACTGAAAACAAAGTGTGGTCAAAACTGAATCAAAAAGATGGAAACAAAGCCTTAAAGTTCTCATTAGCTGCTGATTTTACTTCTTGGAGCAGAAATTTCAATATTTCCACGTAGAATAAGCATTTATATCAAGAGTACCTGACTTCCAAACTTTTCATGTAAGAGGACCTTCTTAACTTCACATGGTTTAAAAACTCTTCAAAATACTGTCAATATCAAGCAGTTGAAAAAGCACTAATAAAATGAATTAGAAATTTAGTGAGGGTCTTTAGAGGAATTTTAATTCTATTAATCATGATAGTATATTTGTTTGCCCATTGAAAAATGGCAGCGCTCATACATGTGAGGCTTCTCTTTTTTGCTTAGTCTGAAGTGTAAACAGTATTACTTGGTAAGCAGATTGATCATGGAAGCTTTTGCAGGAATCTTTTTCCCACACTCCATCCCCCACAGGAGTCCTCTACCTGCAGATTGAAAATCACTGTGACTCAGAAGAAACAGCAAGGGTGCAGTGTTTTGTGTTTCTTTTAAGTTTGTTCTTGTTTTGCCAAAGAACAGAATTCTCTGTGATATCTGCAGAAAACTATTGGGATTTGGTCAAAGCCCTGTAAAACTGCTCTGTCTGCCTGCCTTCCTTCTGCTTGAATTGGCCACAACCTCCTTAAAGGATAGGTTCCTCGAAGGCCTCTTCTATCATTTACTTCATCATTAGATAATCTTTTCTCAGGGTCTGTAGCTCCATGCGCTATACTTAATATGAGTACCATCATTTCTTTTCCAGGAGCTAATACTACAGGAAGGACCAGGTTGTCTGGACTTTACAGAAGAAGAGACAGAGCAATGAGGCTAGAAAGGGCACCCCAGGTCATCAAGAATCCAAAATTCCATACAGAATTTAGTCATACACTACATTAATTATTTTACCATCATATACTGAATGTATGCTATATGTCAGGTAATATGGAACAAAACTTAAAAATCTGTCCTCAAAGAGGTGAAAGACACAAGGTAGCGATGCTTTTAAGCTTCTTTGAGAGCTGTGGAAACACAGAAACCAAAATAAGTTAAACTCTGTGAAAAGCAGTAATGAAGCGTCATAGTTCAGAGAAGGGAAAATTGTCCTCCAGTCAGGTAAAATCTGGGTAGGCATACAAAGGAAGCTATGTTTGAGTTGGGCCTTGAAAGACAGGGTGATTTGGATCATTCTTTAGGTCCCATGCCAGGCCGGGAGCAGTGGTTCATGCCTGTAATCCCAGCACTTTGGGAAGCCGAGGCGGGCGGATCACGAGGTCAGGAGATTGAGACCATCCTGGCTAACACGGTGAAACCCCATCTCTACTAAAAATACAAAACAAAACAAAAAAATTAGCTGGGCGTGGTTGCGGGTGCCTGTAGTCCCAGCTACTTGGGAGGCTGAGGCAGGAGACTCCAGGCTGGGCGACAAAGCGAGACTCCATCTCAAAAAAAAGAAAATCCCTTCCCTGCCATAATGTTTGTGGTCTGGGTCTGGAAATTAGAGTTGTGGGAAAATAGTCATTTGGCTTTCACTTAATTAAGGAAGACTTTTCAATAAAGGATAAGTGAAGGCGTCTTTGAAAGAAGGCAAAAGGGAAGTGCCTATTACCAGACAATAACACGCTTTCAGATTGTAAGGGCTAGTCCAGATTGCAGTAGATTCTACTAAGCCTGAATGAACGACTCCCAATTACAGGCTGAATTGCATCCCCCCACCAAATTCATATGTTGAAGTCCTAACCCCCAAACCTCAAATTGTGTCTGTATTTGGAGACACAGCCTTTAGAGGGGCAATTAAGTTAGAATGAGGTGATTAGAGTAGGCCCTAATCCAATATGAGTGGTGTCTTTATAAGAAGAGGAAATTAGGACATAGAGAAGAAAGACCATGGACATACAGAGAGAAGATGGTCACCTATATGCCTAGGTCTTAAAAGAAACAAACTGCCGAACCCTGCCAACACCTCGATCTTGGACTGCTGGCCTCCAGAACTATGAGGAAATACACTTCTGTTGTTTAAGCCACTCACTCCATGGTACTTCATTATGGCAGCCCTGGCAAACAAATACATTCCTTCTGATACATTTTCCTGTCTTAGACTCATAATGCCTCCAAGATTAGCATTTTTACTACATCCTTATGCAAAGGCCATTGACATTTTACACCTAACCCCCTCTTGCTTCATTTTTCACAATCCTTCCCTACTTGCTACCCCACCAGCAGCCTTCCCTACTTTCACACGTTACACTTTGCACACCCTCTCACGGCATCATGCTGCTTGGAGACTTCTGCACTCCAAAGAAAGTCCATGACCTTGTGGCTTTGTGCACGTCCTCTTCTTTGCCTCTTGTCTATTTGGGGAGTTCCTTACCATTTCTCAAAACTCCACTCAGAAGCATGACCTCTGGGTAGGCTTCCCTGTCCTCCCCTCCCCAATTCTTAATGTCTCACTCCTCTATATTCTGAATATAATTGCATAATTGCAGTTATTGGTATTTTACTTCCTAAATAGTGAGTTTCTTTATGAACTCTGTCTCATTCATCTCTATAGGCCCACACCTAACACACATCCTGGCATACAGCAAGTACTCAGTAAATGCTTATTAAATTGAACAAGTAATGAAACATGTTGTCATCAAATAAATTCACATTTTAACAAATAAACTCTTAACTGGGACAGAACAAAAAAATGGTTCTTTTGGGTTGAAATTACAACGGTACAGCATTTATCTGCTTACCAAACACTTTTACTGCCATTAAATATATATGTTAGGGACAGAGGTGACCTTAAATCCTGGATCAAGCATCTTCATTTGCAATGTAAGAAAATTGAGTGAAGTGAAGAAATTTATCCAAAGCCACATCACTAGTCAAGTGGAAGACATTCAAACATAGACACTGAGAGCTGACCTAGAGCTTTTCCACTTAATCCAAATTGTAGTCATTGCTTTGGACCTAGATCGAATCCAGGTTTTCCATGGATCTCTTCTGATTGTTTGTATCCATGCTAATGCTCTTCTTCTCTGGAATTGTTATTGGCTCAACATACATTGGCTATTGATCTTGCTGCCTCATGTAATGTTCCATAACTCTGTCTTCAGAACAGGTTTTGAAATCAGAAATACTGAAATCCAAATCCCACCTCTTCTCTCTCTCTCTCTCCCTCAGACACACACACACACACACACACACACACACACACTAGTACGACGACCAAAAATAAACTGGGGTGGGTGCTGCCATGGGTATGAAGATTTCTGGTACTTTCGTAGGCAGGATTACATCTCTAGGGCTGTAGAACGAGTGATTCAATACAGGGAAGAAGGAGCCTTGGCCCAGGATGTAGCAGGTGAGTCCTTTAGAGGAGCTTGCTTGTGGCCAGAAATCCTAGGACGGTCACAAGTATAAGAAAATGTGGACCCTCTCTCTTGTGAATACCAGGAGAGGAACTCACCTGAAGCAAATTTACATCCTCGCTATTTCCCCTGGTGAGCATTCACATACAATCTAGTTCTAGATGTGCCAGAATGGACACAGGGTGGGGAAGCCTTGTTTTGTCATTCCTGCCTCTCGTTGGCTGCTGTGCCAGATTACTTGGTGCTGGCTTATGGTGTAGATAGAACACTCCGAAAGTCACCTGTAGTATGTCATGGCCAGCAGAGCACTGGCAACCTGAGGCCACACTGTGACAGCCACTGGGGCCATATGGCTTGCTGATGGCCATGAAGCTTCATCTTTGATGGAGGTCATCCCTGAGACCAAGCTACCAGAATGCTGAGCCTGGAAGCAAATAGAAAACTGAATAGGTCCTAGTCTTTGTGCTTAAAATACACTTGCAAGAAAAAGAACTGAGGGAAGAAATCCCTAAATGTCCAAAACAGTATAAGGTGATAGCTCATGCCATAAGATCACTGACTAGAAGATGGATCAGGAGCCATCCAATTTCACACGACTGGGGCCAGAATCAGCTTTTTTTTTTTTTTTTTTTTTTTGTGAGACAGAGTCTCACTCTGTCTCCCAGGCTGGAGTGCAGTGGCAAAATCTCAGCTCACTGCAAGCTCCACCTCCGGGGTTCACGCCATTCTCCTGCCTCAGCCTCCTTAGTAGCTGGGACTACAGGCGCCTGCCACCATGCCCAGCTAGTTTTGTTTTGTTTTGTATTTTTAGTAGAGACAAGGTTTCACCATGTTAGCCAGGATGGTCTTGATCTCCTGACTTCGTGATCCGCCCGCCTTGGCCTCCCAAAGTGCTGGGATTACAGGCGTGAGCCACCGCGCCCGGCCCAGAATCAGCTTTAAAGTTACACGACAAGAGTGAAGAACAACACAGCCTCGAAGAAAGATATGATATTTCTCACGTTTAGAAAAACTAAACTATTTTTCAAGAAGCTGAAGTAGGAAAAAAAGAATGAATGAAATGCACAAACAAAAATAGTTAAACATTCTAAAGAAAGTGTGCAAAATATTCTCCTTAAGAAAAATGTCAGATCAAGTCCCTAACTGGATGCGTACTAAAGAAAGTAGATCTAGCATAGATAATGGTCACTGGGAGCTGAACAGAAAGAGAGAGTCCAATGGGAGATCATTAAAATGATCATTCAAAAAAGGGCTCTGAAGAAACTGATTCATATTCCCAAGCTAAATCTTTCCTTATAAACCCTTGAAGAAGAAAGTAACCAAATATATATTGCATTTGATGAACAAGACCAAAAAAAAAAAAAAAAACTTAAGGATTATATCAAAACTCTCTAGAGGAAGAATGCATCTTGGGAAACAAATTATGCAAAGATTGAAAGATTAGAAAGCTTAAATTTAAAATAATGACTGAACCCTAACACAGAAATGAAAATAAAACCTCACAGGTAGAAGGAAAAGACAATCTAAAGATAAAAGAGAAATGTCCCTGCAGATGAGAGCATGATCCATACCCCTGAGTACCTGGATATTGAAATGAGACAATGCTAGGGGAAGGAATGAAGAGACCTCACATGTCCTTTGAAAAACCAGACTATTGCTGTTGAAAACAAAACTCAAAATATGTGGTTAGTAATTCAGAGCCCAACAACCTGGGAGAAGAAGGTGCACACACTGGACCAAAATTAACTGAAGCAGATGTTACATCTGAGCTTTCAGGAAGGGTATTTGAAGTTTTGGTAATCCAGTTACATCATTTGGGCAGCTTGTGAAGACCAGGGAATCTTTTGGATTATTAGATCACCAATGGCAGAAGCCATGTTCAACTTAAATGGCCCAGGAATCCAGGATCCAAAGCACTGAGTGTGGACCAGGTGTCCCCTCCATAGGATCCAGATCCCAGGATGATAATCGCTTCATAATCCTAAGCCAATTTTTCCTCTAGATGGCTAAGATAGAGTTTACCTTATTGCTCACAATGTCAGTTATCTCTCTAGACCAGCCTAACTCAAAAGTTTTAATACACTTTCCTTTGATAGAGAATAAGCTCCAACATTCTCAAAATTGAAGATCAGTAGAAAGGATATTGACATGCTCTTGGAAGTTTATGTCCTCAGGTCCTTTTCTCCCACCTGAAAGTGGAGCAGCTAGCCCAGGCTTCCTTCTTTTGTCTCAGTATCCAGGCAGGTGTCCCATATTGGAAATGGATTTATGGGCCAAGTTCAAGAGAGAAATCTTCTGTTCCTCCCTCTACTCCAATAAACCCATATAAAGCCCCTTCAAATTACCTTCCACCCAGGGGATATTTGAACCATTCTATTCCAGTTGCACTGTAATGGAATGCATCTACCCCTCAAGGAGGTGTCCTTGTCATCCTTGTCCAATGAATGTTCTCCCCACCACTGCTTTGGAAAGAAAGAGTGAAAAACGGTGGTGCTGATTTCACCTTCAAGTGAGCCTTCTTACAGAGATCTAAAAAGAGGAAAAGTTTCCATTTTCTAGGTCATTTTGAATGTTTCCCTTTTTAGTTAAACTGCTTTTGTTTAAATGTTGTACATCTATTCAAACTGAAGCTTGGTAGAAGTATAAATCTTAGGGCTGTATTTCTGAGTGAAGATGACTTATAAATTAGGATCTTATGAATAAATTAGTTTATTAATCTTAAGAATAAATTATTTATTAGTTTATAGGTAATGTGTTGTATTTTGGTTTGATTAATCAGTCTACCTATTAGTTTATAGGTAATATACGGTATTTTGGTTTGATTAATCAGACATAAATTAGGATCTTATGAATACATTATTTTAGTTTATTAGTTTAATAAATTATTTAGTTTATTAGTTTATAGGTAATGTATTTTGGTTTGATTACAGTCTACTAAAATAGGCAGTAATAGCCATTTTGCATGGGCAGTTCATCAACTAGATACATTTGAATTTTTTTTTTTTTTTTTGAGACAGAGTCTCGCTTTGTCACCAGGCTGGAGTGCAGTGGCGCGATCTTGTCTCACTGCAACCTCGGCCTCCTGGGTTCAAGCAATTCTCCTACCTCAGCCTCCCAAGTAACTGAGACTACAGGCGTGTGCCACCATGCCCAGCTAATTTTTTGTATTTTTTTTAGTAGAGATGGGGTTTCACCATGTTAGCCAGGATGGTCTCGATCTCCTGACCTCATGGTCCGCCAGCCTCGGCCTCCCAAAGTGCTGGGATTACAGGCATGAGCCACTGTGCTCGGCCATACATTTGAAATTTTAAAGACTATTTCTATTTACTAAGATCTGTATTTACCATAGTTATGAAAAAAAGTGAAAGTAACTCAATATTTACATTTTTATTAATTTTAAATAAACAAATATTAGTTCTATCCTTCTCCTTTAATGATGGCTTGAAGGGAGAACAGAGATGAGAGCTGATATTTCCTTAATGTCTTCAGCACACATACTTTTCATGGTGGGCACTAGATCCTCAAACACTATTGAATACAAATGTGAATAAATAGATCAATGAGTTTTTTTAAAAAACGTTCTTGTTTTTAATCTCCTTATCTAATTTTACATCTATCATAAAATATTTTTCTAAGTTACTAAGTCAACCATTCTGAAATGTAGCACTTAGCATTTCCTGGTGGATTTATAGACAAGATCAGTCTTCATTCTGGGTTTCCCACTCTCAAACTTTGCTGCTGAGTGCGTTTGATGGTTAACACTACCAATTCATTTTAAGACTGCTGAGTATAATTCCAGTGTTAATAATTATAAGAGCTAGCATTTAATGAATGTCAGTACCAGACACTGAGTGCCAGACACTATGCTAACCATCTTCAATGTATTATTTTCTTTCATTTCTCATGAGATCTAGAAGATATGTTCTCTTATTTTTGCCTTCTTAATCTTAACATACAAAGAAGTTAAATTATTCACTGGCAAGTAAATAGCCATGTTTTGAACTCAGATCTCTCTCTCTCACACACACACACACATTCTCTCTCTCTAAAGTCTAAGCTGTTACTTATTATGCCATACCCACCTCATTAATGAGGCAAAATACACATTTACAAAATACACTGTCCTGTACATATGAACGTGTGTGTGTGTGTGTGTGTGTGTGTGTGTGTATGCTATCAGTCTAATTATTTAATGGCACTTATAGCCTTGGGCCAAGCCATTTTAACTTCTTTGCCTAAGCTGCACTGTGACCAATGGTCTATGCCTATTTTTGGGGATGAATGTAATCCTGCCCTATAAACTCAATGATAACATTAATTCAAATGCTGAGTTCTTCAATAGGGATCACCAGCTTGTCCAACCCTAAGAGCTATACCGTCTAAGAAAATTGCCAAACCCCATTACCAAGGATGTCTGCTTATCTAAAGTCATTATGGATTAAGCCTGGAAGATATTCAAGAAATTTTTACCAAGATTCTATAGAAAAACAATGAATCAATGCTGAGTGTCTCTTAAGGGCATCATAAATTTTAATGTGTGGTGAGTTTCAATATTACATTTTTACTTAACCCTGTACCAGATAAGAAGTTCCAGATGAATTTCCAAGTGTTATTTAAGGAGAGTCTAAGAAAACTTTCTGAAGTGTTTTTTACTTTTCTGTCAGCATTAGGTACTACATATAGTACATAATGTTGTTTATAAACTTAATTATTACTGTATAGTTTTCATCACTGATTAAAATTTCTCTGGAAGTATTAGGTTTCAGAATTTAGATAAAGAATTAATTAATCTTGAAATAGAAAAGTGGCAAATCATAGGTGACATCAGTAGTTTTCAGTTTTCTCTAATTAATTTTTCTTTTCCAAGAGCCAACTACTAACAATCCAGGAGTCTACAGCTTCATAGCCAGGCACTTTCTTAAATGAAATCAATTCCTGGCCTCAAGCCTGGTGGATAATAAAATGTCCGAAGCAGCACATTTAAAAAAGAGATTTGAAAAAAGGAAGGAGCTGGAATCTCAGCAAAGCAGAACAATTTATTTGTAAGAATTGATCATCGACTGCTACAAACAGGAAATGAATATTGGAGTCCAATGCTTTGGAAATCCACAGCAAGCTCAGCTCTTCTCAATGGGCTATGGATTGAATCTTACAGATCAAATTAATCTTTCTAGAAATCTTGAGTGTAAGAGAGATTTTAATTAATGCTAAAGTAGCACAAAATTAGCACTGTAAGTTCTGCCTAGATTAATTCTTTCTTAAACACATTGTTGTATAAGATCCAGGAAATTGACTGCCTAGACAGTATCGACATGTGGCTGTAGCCTGAGGCTGAATCTCTGGGTACAAGTACTTGTCCTCTTTCCCAGTGCTGGAGGGAGGCAGGCCCTGAACAGTGATGGAGAGACTGCCCAGTCATGCAGATTCAAGGGTGGTGAGTTCATCATAAAGAGACTAGGGAGACAGCAAAACTGATGCCATGCTGGAGGACTGATTACCCCAGTCTTTTGTATAGATGCAGGTAGAAGACCCCAGCTGTCTTTTTGTTTCTCTCCTGGCCTGCTGAAATCTCTTTATCTAAGTGTTCCTACTTATTCCCTAGAAAAACAGACAAGATGCAGCAAAATTAAGAAACATGGGGAAATTGAAAACATTCCAAAAATTTTCATAAGTTAAACTCTTTTTTAAAATTCTCGACTTCTATTTTGAAAGGATGCTCAAAATAGAGCAATAAGTGCATTGTTCATTGGAGACCATGGCTCTTTCAGAACATTTTAAATGATAGTCTTCAGATCCACTTATAAATATTAAGCACATAGCTGTTGGGAGGTAATTCTCCATGGGTCTCTTGCATATCTGCACATCTTGCAAGTAGAGGTATTAACTATTAATATCCTTTGTTCGGGACTATCCTTCAAAGGGAATGTGTACAGCAAACAGTCTTGGACAAGTGTCTCTTTCTAAAGCAAAGTGCAAGCATGATTACTGCTCATTATAAAAGATATGGGGTTCCTTATCTCCAGGTTTGTCTCCTGAAATGAAACCAACTACATGTGCAGACATTCATCAGGTCCTATCAGCATTATCTCCACGGGACTTGAGCAAGAGGAACTGATGCATATATACTCATGTTCATGCCACTTGCTGTGCCATGACTGTGAAGTCCCTCATCTCTAACTTAAGAAGTTTCATGCCTTCTACCAACATCCGTGAAAATGACAGGCTAACTTGTCAGGCTTGTGAGCAGGGTAAAATTGCAGACCTTTCACTGTCCTTGACAATAATACAGGGGCTGGCACACAGAAATAGCATAATACATGTTAGTGTTCTCACTTAGGCCTTGGTCTCTGCTATTTCTAGAGTCCACTTCTTAATCAGCCTCCCAGTGTGGTCCTTTCCTCTCCTTCCTACTCCGCAGGCTGGTCCTTTTGGTCATTCTAGTTAAGGAAGGCATCTGCTTCTTTGATCCCTAAAATTCCCTCCACTCTGCGGGATTTCTTGCCCTCCTTGGGTTTCTCAGGCTTCACCTTTTAGAATTCCTATCATCATGTTAGTACCATCCATATCTGGTCCCTGAGGAATCTTTCTTCTCATTTTCAGATTCTCTGCCCTCCAGGTGACCCCTTCCTTCTGTCTCTAGATCCAGGGGGATTTTTTTTTTTTTTTTTTTTTTTTTGAGACAGAGTCTTGCTCTGTTGCCCAAGCCAGAGTGCAGTGGCACGATCTCGGCTCACTGCAAGCTCTGCCTCCCGGGTTCACGCCATTGTCCTGCCTCAGCCTCCTGAGTAGCTGGGACTTAGGTGCCTGCCACCACGCCCAGCTAATTTTTTTTTTTTTGTATTTTTAGTAGAAACAGGGTTTCACCATGTTAGCCAGGATGGTCTCAACCTCCTGACCTCGTGATCTTCCTGCCTCAGCCTCCCAAAATGCTGGGATTACAGGCGTGAGCAACTGCGCCCGGCCAGGAATTTTTTATTTAGCCATTCCCCAGCACCCTCTGCACCATGACATCAATGCTCCTGCCTGAGACTCTGAGGCTATTCTCCCCAGGCTACCGCTTACATGAAACACTGTCGCTTCACCCCTTCTTTCTTTGTGCTTTGTATGATTTGTTTACTACCATGTCTGTCTCTCCCATTAACCAGTAAGCATTTTGAAGAACAGGATGTCATATTCCCTTTTACATACCCTGATAGACTGGTGCTCTTACAGATAACAGACACTCACTTGTTAAAATTAACCATCATTCTGCATATAAAAGTAGTGCAGGCATACAAAATCATTAATGTCTTATTTTTCACACTGTTCACAGGGAAAGAAGAGGGTCATTGTGTCACATGGACCATTTCCTCCCCCTGATTCCTCTGACCTCACCGTTGCTGTTTCTGAGCACGCTATTGCAGATGACTACTTTGGTAAGCGCTAGAAAAGATGGCATCATGACCTACGTGCTATGCTGAAGAAGACAGGAGTAAGGGTAGAGCTACCAGAGGTAACTCCTAGGGGTCTTGAAGATCTAAGTGACAGTGAAGGAAGTGCATTGTTCATTGGGGAAAAGTTAGTCAAGGTTATTTCGGACGCTTCAAAACATGACATGGGTGGGTATGCACATAGCAGGTATGCAGAATCTGAAGAATGGAGAGGGCTTTAGGGTCTTGTTAATTTCTCTAAGGCAAATACAATAGGGATGGAATGACTACAGAAAAGGAAGGCCTTATTTTAATTTGGCTTTTAAAAAGTTTCTCTAGGCTGGGCATGATGGCTCACACTTGGAATTTCAGCACTTTGGGAGGCTGAGGCAGCTGGATCACCTGAGGTCAGGAGTTTGAGGCCAGCCTGTCCAACATGGCAAAACCCCGTCTCTACTAAAAATACAAAAAATTAGCCAGGCATGATGGCATGCACCTGTAATCCCAGCTACTCAGGAGGCTGAGGCAGGAGAATCGCTTGAACCCAGAGGCGGAGGTTGCAGTGAGCTGAGACTGTGCTATTGCACTTATTGCACTCCAGTCTGGGCAACGGGAGCAAAACTCCGTCTCAAAAAAAAAAAAAAAGTTTATCTAGGGTGCTGCCCTTGAGGCAAGCAGAAAAATGACCTTGAAGTGGGAGGATCTCTTAGTAAACCCAGATGTCTGATTCTACCCTCCACTCTGTCCCCTCTTACCCCACTCCTGGCTGTCAAAATGAAGGGTTTCTCCAGGCCCACCAAGTCCAGAACTGCTCTTCTGCACTTTCTCTCTATGAAGAGGAGAGGACATAAGGCCTGGGGAGAACAGCTGCTCCTTTCATCGCACTCCTTGCGGCATGCTGGAGATGAAGACATGGGGTGTGCACAGCATCTTCATTTTATTTTCTAATGTGCCTGGCACAAATGCCAAAGACAGCTACAAGTAATTGCTATCCAAGCTCCAGTGAACTAGAACATCTTCATTTAAGTCATGCATAGCCTGGAATTTTTTTTAAAGGAGAGAAAGATGACTTTATGTAGCAGTTGCTAAGCAGCCAGGCTCTCGGGAGCTCAACACACACTCAGCTTTGCAAAATCTCAGCAGCAAGCCACACTGCCCTCTTTAAAAAGCTCTCCTTAGGCAAACCTTGTGATTTTCACTACATCCCAAAATGTAAGCTGCTCTTGTTTGTTTTTAACTACACACCACTCCCACACCCCATGAACTAGTAATAAAACTGGGAGATGATTGTGATAACCAAATATCCTACCTCACTGAGGGCCTTGAGGCAGCCTAATCTTTGGGCAGAACTCCAGTGAAAGTACTGGAAGAAATGAGATTTCATAGTGGTTCATTTATTGCTTTACATGTACATGGGGGGGAAATGAAAAACACAGAGAAGTATAGAGCAATAAATAAAAATTATAAAAATCTCAAGGTTCAGAGCACTCAAGGGTAATTTGTGTGATATTTCCTTCTACAACCATACACAACAAAATAGGGATCATTACATGAATTGAACATAATGTGTGCAAAATAGTAGGCATATTTACTCAATAAATAATTTTAATGAGTGGATGAGCACATTCCATTTTATGTAAATTTTTCAGTGAATATTGCAGTATCTCATATTATTAAAGATTTTTCATGCTCAATTAATATTTCTTCACACATATGTATTATAAATCTTTTGTCTATTTTTATCTGTTCTACCATTATTAGGTACTTACTTTTTCCCCTAATTTTTAGCTAGTTTAAGCAGTGGTGTTATAAAGTCTTTTTAACCTAATTTTATTTTCATAAATAATCTTTTTTAATATACATAATTTATTTTTCAGATTTCTTTAGGATAGATTCCTAGAGGTAGAATTATTTAACTAAAAGGTATGAATTCTGCTAAATTTCTCAATAGTTACTGTCAAAGTGCTTTCAAAAATATTGGTAATAATTTATATTCCCAGCAGAGATTATGCGAGTTCTTGTCTCACTGCAGCTTTATTAGCATAGTTTACTGTCATGCTTTCAACTCTGTCAATTTCATTGACATTTTATTCCATAAAAATTAATTTATTGTTATATATACATGTTATTTTGATTTGATATTAAATATTTTTTTCACACTTTCACGGCCACTTCCATTTATTCTCTTGTGAACTGTGAATTTACTGGCCTTTGCTGGTTGCTTTTTTCTACTAGGGAGAGGAATACACAAAGGCATGAACACCAGGAGACAGGGGTCATGGAGCCACCTTTCAGGCTTTCACAGTCCTCTAAACATCAGTTTAGGACTCTTAGGCTCACTAACTCCTGAGCATAAAAGTACTGACATTTAAAAGGCCAAGAGGAAGGATTTGTTTTCAGAGAGCTGTTAAGGTGTTTTGTGTCTCCCATTCTACAACCCCTCTGGAAGGGCCGGGACAGAAGGGTTTCCCCTCATCATCAGGCAAGGGAGAGTGAGGGCTGGAGAGTGAGGGCTCCAGGAACGCCACTCAAAGAGCATAGTCTGCATCCTCTGGAGTTTGGGGAGCACAGGTTATGAAGAGCTCAGCCTAGGAGCTGCCAGAGGAGACTGATGAGCGGAAGAGTGAGGGCCACCCTCAGCTTAACCACACCCCTCCTGCATGGGAAGGACAGAGTATCTCTCTGATGAAATGGGGACCACGTGGAGGTGGTCTGACTCCTGCATAAGATGACTGCTGGGACAGGCTATGTGCAGCCGCTGGAAGAGCTGCCTGCCAGATGCCCAGGGGCTAAGGGAGGAATCAGAGGTAGCTGGCAGAGGGACACCACGGCACATGTTAAGAACCCACCATCTATATTTTTATATCATGTTTACTTATGCTTAAGAATATATGCTGAATTACTTGTGAAGAATGCATTTGAAGCTATTTTAAATGTGTTTTTATTTGTAAGACATTACTTATTAAGAAATTGGTTATTAGGCTTACTGTTCTAACCTAGTGGTAAAGGTATTTTAAGAATTTGCAAGTACTTTAGATTTTCAAAACTGAATAAGAGAGAAAATTATATAACCATCCTGCTGTTCCTTTAGTGTAACACAATAAAACTCTGAAATTAAAAAAAAAAAAAAGAACCACCCCTCTGAGAGCTCCAAATGGTGGTCCTTCCAAAAACCCAGGAGAGTCCCTTCTGAGAGAAAGAATCAGCATTGGAGACAAAGACTCATCAGCACACCCAGAGGGCACCCTCTGGTAATCATCACTGTGCTGGTGGGCAAGACTTTTCCTGTCCCCCGTCTCCTTCACCCCTCTCTTTAAGGAGCCAGAGCATGCAGTAAACTGAATAGAGGCTGTTCCCTAACAGCCAAGAAGCCTAGGGCATTCTTTGCCCTTATTGATGCAGAATTTTTGTTCCTTAGTTCAACTAAAATGGGTTCTTGTGTAGGCACAGCGGACACACTGAAGGGTGAGGAGAGCAGAATTTATTGGGTAAAAAGGAAGAAAGAAAAAGAAAAAAACACTCAGCAAAGCGAGGGGGAGTGCTGCCAATGAGCCCCACCTCACGCATTGATTACTAGACCATGATACAGGAGCTGAAGAGGCCAGGCTCCTGCCCCCTGCACAAGGCGAGAGGTTCCCATGGCTTCAGCCTGTTCCCCCAGTGCGCATGTGGACATTATTCAGAAAGAATCAGTCAGGAAAGGGTGGGAGATTCTCTGGGGACACCCCTTATCTGCCTCCTGTATCTATCACTGTTACTGTAGCTTTCTGGTCCTCGTTGACGGAGGAAGGAAAATACAACTTTAAATCAAACTTACAGTTTTAATTTTAAAGTACACTGGATATTACAACCACTAAAATTAGAGTGTTTTCTTATATTAAAGTGACCAAAATGCATTTTTAAAAATCTAAATGGAAATCTTAAAACCTTTCCATATTTTCAACAAGGGATGAGAAAGAAATATGGTCAAGGGTTAGCGTGAGAAAGAACAAGGTTATCTTATCCTCATACTCTACCAAGTTGAACTCAGTCGAATATCTTGTAGAAGGATATCAAACATTTCTCTGTTTTAAAAAATATTTTTCTTAGGTATTCTAATCTGTTTCTTTTTATAGATGATCTTTGAATTTCTAAAAAAAATCCTAATTAAGGTTTTTATTGGAGTAGGCCTGGACTTAATTTGGAGAGAATTTTCTCTCTAGAACATACATTCTGGAATATGGTACCTCTCTTTTTATTCAATTATTTTTGGATTTTCCAGTAAAGTTGAACAATAGTCATCTTCACTACATCCTATACATTTATTATTGGGTTTAATCCTCTAAATTTTGTCATTTGTTTTTATCAATGTTTTTGTCATTGCTACTAGAAATAGAATATTTTTCTTTCAGGTCTTGAAACTGGCTATTGAGTTTTAAATTAAATGTAGCAATCTGTATACTTATATTTTAACTAACCACTTTACTATGTTTTATTAATTTTAAACATGTTTTATTTGATTATCTTATATTCCCTAGGTCTGTAGTTAAACCATCTGCAAATAATGGTACATGTGTCTCATTTTATAGCTTTCACTTCTGCATTGTATTTTACTGCATTGTTAAAAATCATAAAAAAAATTATCAGTGGTGATATAGATCAGGTAGGCCCTATACTTGATTTAAACTGTAATTTTTTTAGTGTTTTGACATTGAGAATGATGTTGGCTATTGTCTTTAGAAAGATGTCCTTTGTGTGTTAAGGAAATAAAATGTTATTCTTAGTTTTATAAAAATAACATCAAGAATGAGTATCTAACTATTTTGTTAAAAGCCATCACATAAAGATATTTTAACACCTCAAACACCAACTCTTTTGAGTGTCTAGGCATAATTTAAACTTTATATTATAAATTTTGTCTATATGCTTATGTTTTGCCTATAATAGAGATATAAAACATTGTCACCTCTTAACAGATTTTTAAAGCCCCATAAAAAACTAATCAATTAACTAACAGGAGTATTAATAACTAGAACTATATATATGTTCAATTTTCAGCATAGGAGAAATGAGAGATTTTTTGAAGAATTATCTAATCAAGATAATAGCAGCTAACGTTTTAATCACTTGTAAACATTTAGGAAAGAATGAGGTAATCACCAGGAGACAAAATATGGTTCTCTGAGAATAACACATACCAAATGAACCAATCTAATTTTCTTTTTTTTCATAAAGTTATTAAATGAGAGGAAGTCAGCGAACAGATTGAACCAGGATTTCACAAATTCATTTATTTGGTAAAGTCTCTCACGATGTCCTTCTAGGTAAAATATTGAAATGTAGATGGTAGCATAGAATTGGGGCTATTTGAAATTAGAGTATAAAATTGGTTCTGTGTTCTGAGGAGGAATTAATCAGGAGAGACTCTTAATTCTTTCTATAAATATTTTTATCAGTAATCAGGATGAAGGCCTGCACATCAAACTTCAAAATGTCACAAAGCTGGAAAAGAGAAAAATCAAAAAGCCAAAAATATCAAAATTTTAAATGATCCTAATAGCTTGAAGCATAAGGCAGAATTAAAAAAAAAACAATATAGTAAGTAAGTGAGGTCTTACATAAATCTATCACAGAAGTATAGGATGAGGTGACTTGACTGGCTTGGCAGCTGTTCACATCAACACTATAAAAAAAAAAGTTTTCTGAATGTCTTAAAATATGAGACTTCTGGTCAATATAGAGTGGCCTGATATGGGTGTCCTAGGTTGGTTCCCCAGGAAGCAGACTGTGATGCGGAGGTTAGTAGACAAGATGTTTCCCAGGGGAGCCCTGGGAATCAACCTCCCCGAAAGGGTGGGAAGGAAGCAGGAACAGGTAAAGAGGGAAATCAAGCTGCGTTACAGATTCAGGGACTGCCATGATCAAACTCATGGCGAGCTTGAGAACTAGAATGATTCTTCAGAATTGTCCTGAGTTGGGCCAACATGGCCTGGCCTTTGTGCTCTTGCATTAATCAGTCACTCGATGCAGGCTGCCTAGGGAAAGAGAGGAGCATGACCTTGGACAAAGGGGCTCCCTGCAGCTGAGGTAATCCCTGAAGGGGCCGACAGCTGAGCACTATCTACAGACAGCACTGCCAGCAGCTGGGTCAACAAATCCTTCAGTGGAGGGGTTTCTAGGCCATGCATCACCGTGTTCACCACAGTGGGAAACCCCAGTGCCTGCTCCAAACCCATTGAAATGCTGAGGGGAATATATTTTTTAAGATGTTTTTAATATATGGTTAAGCATAAAAAAGCAAGAAAGGATGCCAAAAATAAAAAAAAAGAATGGACAAGCAAGGCACAAGAACCAGACATATGCCTGAAAATGACATGGTTTCAAGTCCATTGAGAAGGAAATTAAGACTTTAGGCTCTATTCCCAGTCATCCACCAGAAACGAGAACCGCAAACTCATGCCACTTGTGAGTGTGTGGTCCACATTTTTACTAGCCTCAAGGTGAGACAACCCTAAAATGAGATAGCAACATAAAAATGGATCTAAAGCTGGTTCTATGTAAAAAACTTCAGCAGAGGAAAAATTCAAAAACACCCCATGGGATTTTCCCACCCCTAGTGCACCTGAGACTCCCATGATAAAAACACCAGATGAAGATGATCTCACACATGCAATGAGGAGGATGGAAGGGATAACTTCCAAATGCCACAATCTACAGAACTTAGACCATTCTGAAAGAGACCAAAATATAATATGTTTAAAATACTCAAGGACATAAAGGAAGAATTAAGATCCAAAAAGCAAATAAACTGGGGAAAATCACAAATAGAAATTCTAGAAATTAAAAGTACAGACACTGAAATTTTCAAAATGTATTAAACTGGAAAACTGGTATGCAGACATTACTTGGGATGCAGCTCAGCCAGATAAGTGAATGAAAAATATGAAAGTGTCTGGTATGTTTAATAAATCTTGTAAGATATTTAAAAATCCTTTTCATCCATTAAATATTTATTGAATACCTACAATGTGCCAGGCAGTGTGCTAGACATTGGGAACACAATAATGACCAAGAAAGAGGAACATTTACTCAAAAATTTTATGTTGTCTTCTCCGAAATGCAATTCACACTTTTCCAAGCCATGACATCTACAAAATTCGGTGAGTAAATGCAATGATAAAAAGTAAGAAATATCTGATAGTCTTGGGCGATGTTGACATGATGAGAAAAAAAATTTGTCCCCCTGTGCTTTTGCTGGTTAACTATATCTGGAGTAATGTGATCCTTTCTGGAAACCACAATTTAACATTGGATGTTGACAGATTAGAGTCCAGACTCAAAAAGCAAGAATATAGAATAGCCTGGATCATACGTCATTTAAGAAAGAGTTGATGTGTGCTCTACCCAGGAAAGAAGAAAATAAATGGGTACAAAACCCTCTAATACTTTTCAACCTAAAATATTATGATTCAGCCCAAGGCTTCTGTGTCAGATATTAACTGTTTAGCTCTTTCTTCCCCACCACACAGTTAGACTATCTTTCCCAGCTTTCCCACTAGTCAGATGAGGTCATATGACTGAGTTCTAGCCAATGGAATGGGACAAGAAGTGCTGTCTGCCGCTTCTAAACCTGGATGGACCTTATGAGCTTCACACATGCATTTATATCTTTTTCACCATCTGCCAACTTGGTGAAGAACACAATGACATTGAAAAACAGTGCTGAAGTGGGTAAAGCTACAAGCTGGAAGAAGCTTTGATTCCTGAGTCACTCCATGGAGGAAAGCTTCCATCAGCCAGGTACAGTTACTATGGACATGATTGAGGAATACACTTTTATCCTATGTTAGCAATTACACATTTTTTTAATAATAGCTAACATTACCTTAATGAATACAGTTTCTATTTCTTTTTCTTTTTCTTTTTTTCAGAGACAGGGTCATGCTCTGACATCCAGAGTAGAGTGCAGTGATACAATCACAGCTCACTGAAGCCTCGATCTTCTGGGATCAAGTAATCCCACCTCAACCACCAGAGTAGCTGGGACTAAAGGTGCATGCAGTCATGCCCGGCTAATTTTTTTTATTTTTAGTACAGATGGGGTCTCACAATATTGTCCAGGCTTGAATTCCTGGACTTAACCAATCCTCCTGCCTCAGCCTCCCAAAGTGCAGGGATTACAGGCATGAGCCACTGTGCTTGGCCTAATATAGTTTATTTAAACAGGATTTCTCATCCAATTTTCACACCCAGTTCCTGCCTAATTCATTCTAATAGGATTCTATTTACCTCAATTCTATTGCTCCTAGGGAGGCACTCCTGCAGGAGAAAAGCTATGTCCCAACTTGAAATTCTATTTGTGATAGAGGTTGGTATATCATCTTGTCACTAGTCCAGCTTCTGCCAAAAGAAAGGCATTTCTTACCCATTCGCCTTCTCCAGAAATTAATCCAGGTGTTTGCTCCTCAACCAAGCTGAGTTACTTAAGGTCTCTTTCATGCTCATGTTTATATCCTCAAAATTGTCATAGTGCTAGGTATATAGCAGTTGATTGTTGATTGAATCAATAAAAAAAGAGTTACAAATGTGAAGCTCTTTGAATCTTAATGAGAAAACCAAACAGCAGTATTTGGCAAAAACAGAAAAAAATCCACAGTGAGCTCTGTATACAAACACATAAAACACATTTCTATACAGGTTACATATGTCTATGCACATGTTTGTATACAAAGGAAACAGGTTGATTTCAAATCAGCTATTTCGGCATATAAAACTAAGAGCTTCCTTTTCCATTCTCTTTACAAGATCAAAGCAACCTGAATGTGTAGCTATTTTTAAAATATACACAGGGTTCCCCTGAGCTAAATGGTCTCTCACTAGTAAATGAGTAATGGTAATGAGATTACTCTGGGAATAGCACATGCCAGAAAATCATAGTACTCAGGAAAAAAACAAAACAAAACAAAACAAAAAAAACAAGCAACCAAGCCTTTCAGGAAATCTTAATCTTCTGCTACTGAACAAACACATCTGGCCAGCTCAAGGTCAAATATCTAATAGATCCCTGACTTTTATGAAGAGAAATAAAAAATGCAGGCAATGCTCAAGGATAATGCATTCTTACCTTTCTCTGAGATCTGTGCCCCGTAATCAGAAATAAGAGAATGAGAAGAAAATATGGCCCTTTTTGTTATTTTCAGAGACAAACAGAAAAAAGACAGTGCTTGCTAAATAGAAAGCATCTCATTATTATGCACCTCAACCAATGCTCCAGAAACCTAAACCTACCCACTTTGGCTAACCTGCCTGTCTCCTGCACAGATCACATTGCATAGTAGCTATGCACTTCGACATATGCCATCTTCTCCTCATGTAAGATTCGTGAGGACAGGAATCATTGTTGACCACACATTTGGTTCAAGGGACCTGGCACAATCTGAGGCTTTAGTAGGTGTTTATTAAATGCTTGTCAAATAATCTTGGAATTTTCCTAAAAGTATAAGGCTAATGGTGATGAAATCTCTCCCGATTATAAGTAGAGTTGGAAGAAAATAACACAAAAATAAACCATAGTCACCCACTCTCTTTCCTGACTAGAATGTAAGTTCCATGAAAATGGGAATGTTGTCTGTCTTATTCAGGGCCATGTCCCCAGCGTGCACTCAGTAAGTGCTTGTTGGGTAAGTGAATGACCTTGCTCATGTAATTCTTTCAGAAAATTTTATTCAATAACATAAGCCTTATCATGATGAATGCTTGACGTTATCACTTCCCCAATTTCCTTTGTATGCTCATAACTTGACAGCTGGCTTCCCACATGTGTTTGCTTTCTACTGATGCTATAACAGATTCCCCAAAATTTGGCAGCTTAAAAGAACACTCCCTTATGATCTCACAGCTCCATAGGTCAGAAGTCCAGGTAAGCTCAGAGGCTCTGCTCTGAATCTCACAAGGCTGAAATCAATGTCAGCCAGGCTGGGCTCTGATCTGGAGGCTCCGGGGGAGAATCCACTTCCAGCCTCATTCAGGTGGTTGGTAGATTTCAGTTCCACATGGCTGTAAGACTGAGGTCCTCATGTCCGTGCTGGCTGTTGACCAGGGTCCAGCTTCTGAAGTCACCCACATTCCCTGGCTGGTAACCCCCTTCATCTGCAAAGCCAATGAGCCAATGAGGCTTTCTCACACTTCTGATCTCTTTGACCTCTCTTTCTGCCTCTTGTCTCCTGCTCCTGCCTTCTTCTTCTGACTTATTCTCCTGCCTTGCTCTTCTGCTTCTAAGGATATATGTGATTACATTGGGCCTATCTGGATGATCCAAGATAATCCCTCCATTTCAAGGTCAGCTGATGAACAACCTTAGTTCCATCTGTAAAATCCCTTCATAGCAGTACTGAGATTAGTGTTCGACTGAATAACCAGGAGTAAGAATTTGGGGGGATGTCTTTAGAACTCTACCTACCACACTAAGAGTGAGCAAACCAAAGATAGTGCCCAAAATGATAGCTGGTCTTTATGAAGCCCCATCTTAGAAGTGACATCCATTGTTTTCGCTGTATTCTAATTGTTAGAAGCAAGTCAATAAGCCCAGTCCACACTCAAGGAGAGGGGAATACACAAGGCCTTGAATACTAGTCATCAGAGATCACTGGGGACCATATTAGAAGCCACCTACTACAGAAAGGAAATATCATTACATCTTACCATCTGGTTTGGCTATTAAAAGCATTTATGTGATCATAATAATACAAATGAAACATTAAGCTCAGCAAAATTATCATAACATTATACCAAGAGGGAACGGTGATAGCATAGAATAGAAAGGTGTTTGATAAAAGAAGCAAGAAGGAAGAAAGCTAAGTCCTCCTAGTCAATTGAGGGAAATCAATACAAAATACCTAAAAATAGCAAATCAAGAAGTAGTATTAAGTATGTTATTTAGAGACAGGAAGGTGAAATGTCAATCATGTAAAAAAGATGAAAGTGCCTCTGGAATGGGGAAATGTCAGCAGGGGGGTGTTGCTCATAACAGTGGCTGTTTTTTAAAATAAACCTTACAGAGTTCTTTGACTCTTTAAACCATGTATGCACACGACTTCTATTAAAATAATTGGAAAAAAACAAGAAAGGAGGGAGCAAAGGCTTTCCACAGAAAATTGTGAAATTATTTGCATGCAGTGAAAACAATGTAAAATATCTCTAGCTGAGATGGGAAACATTGGCCCAAGAAACACAAAATAGGATGCAGATAATGAAGACAGATGCAGTGAGACAATGCAGTGAAACAGCAGCTGTCTGTCCAGCTGCACATTTAAGCCAGCTGACCCACCCCACCCTGACAAGTGAGTGGCCAGCAAGGCCAGCCCAGAATCCACCACTCTTTGCTGCCCCCCTTGTTTTTGAGTCTGGCTCAGCTCCTTCCTGAGGCTGGGTTTTATTTCTACATATCAGCCTAGCTTCTAGCCTTCCAAATACTTTTGATGTTAATTTCACAGTTTTCAGTTATTTGAGATATACTTGAATCTGTTCCTAAGCCAAACTCATTTCCACCGTAGGACCTCCACCCTGGCTCTTCTGCAGGAATGCACTGTGGCTGGATCATCCTCTAGCAGCCTCGCCCTTGTTATTCATCTCATTCAAATGTTTCCTTCCAGAGGAGGCTCTCTCTGACCATCCAAATTAAATGTGCCCTCTTCCACAGCCCCACCACAATTTATCACATCACTCATCTTGTCTTATCCCTAGCATTTGTCAAAATGCAAAATTATCTTGTTCATTTACTTTTGCCCTCTTTATTTTATTAACCATGGTATCCCTGAAGCCTGTATTATAAGTGTGTGGCACATATCAGCTACCCAACAAATAACTGTTGAATAGAAAAATGGGATTAGGTAGTGTATTAGTTCATTTTTACTGCAATAATGCTGCATAACAAATCAACCTAAAACTTGAGATCTTAAAACAGCAGGCATTTCTTTCCTTGCCCATGGATCTACAGGTCAACTTGAGTTTGGGTGATCTTGGAAGAGCTTGGCTGGCTTAGGTTGGGTTTAGCTCCAGGCTGTGGGTTGTGTTCAGTTCCACCACCACGTGTTTCCTTGTGCTTCTCAAAGAAGAGGCTACCTGGGGTATGTTCTTCTCACAGGAGACCACTGGAAAACAAAGAGGCAAACAGAAGCATGTCATGCTTCTTGGAGCCTTGGCTGGGTCTGGCTATTACTTCCTTGCACTTTCCATTGGTCAAAGCGATCACATAACAAAGCCAAACATCAATGAGGTAGGAAAATATACTCTGACTACTATCATTTATGATTATGACACTAAATTTAAAACATATATAATATAGAGATAAAAATGTCCGTATCATTGCAGCTAATTAAACATTAAGTATGTAACAGAATATTAAAGCTGTAAGAATTTGATCTTATTCAAGCGCTTCATCTTTCAGATGACAAAACAGACCCAGAAAAATGGGAGTGAGAGAATACTACAGAGTTTATGGTAAAGGGGTGGACACGTAACCCTATTAAAGAGGAGTGAAGAATTAGGATGAATAATTTAACCTGATCTGATTGAATGAATAAATGAATTGGACTGAGGGAAATGAGCCAGCAGAGGAGAAATTAAAAGCACAAGAGAAAAAGCAAAGTCCTGAGAAAGGTAAGAGGGATGAGATGAAATGCACTGGTGGAATGTAGACCTTGGAAAGGAAATATCTTATCCAAATGCAGGAAAGAATGAGTAGGTGTGTGGACACACTAAGGAAGGAAAAATAGGAGTTGGAAGAGTTCAGGTCTGTGAGATAGAGTAACCACTTGAGGAACATACTCCGCAATAAAATGTCCAACAACTCACACTCAGGTATAACATGATTGGTCATGAGTTCCCAGATGCTAGAACTCATCGCCAACCAGCTGTCCTCACTAGCATTGCAGGAGGGTTTTACTGTCTATATTTACAGAGCACCAAAATGTACTCAACACAAAGTCAGTG
Source organism: Homo sapiens (assembly GCF_000001405.40). Lineage (NCBI taxonomy): Eukaryota > Metazoa > Chordata > Mammalia > Primates > Hominidae > Homo > Homo sapiens. The sequence goes on from NC_000011.10 coordinate 111,093,153, forward strand.
AGCGTTAGGATCATTCCAAGAGTGTGACCTCAGTTTTCTCAGTGAAGTAGATGTGAGAGTCATTTGTTTAAAGTGAAGGTGGCAAGGGTTGTGTAGGTGGCTTGTGTCCACCACGATAAAGGTTTAGAATAGGGAACTGGGAAAGAAGTGACCAAAAGCACTTGAGGACCTGACCACCAACACCAACAGAGGGCTATTTGCACTAACATTAGACCATGAATGGGAGTGAGCAGTATCCATCTATGTGGTTGAGTGATTTCCTCCACTCAACCGTTTATAGAGTGTTTATTGTGGGCCATGAAAACCAGGTACAGTTCCTATTTCCAAGCAGATTATGGTCTAATCAATCCATGCCCAGAATGAGTTAATGACTAGAGAAAGGACTCATAATTTAGAATTAAAACTGAAAACTGAAACAGAGATTCATGCAAATGTAACCTTTCCATCTCATCTGTGTGTATCAAATGTCACTGTCATTTAATTTTCTAATAAACTGCAGACATATACGTGTTTAAATGCAAAGTTTAATGAAGTCGATAAAATACGAGCATAAAACAGTAGAATGTAAACTCCTTTCCTGTCCTTTACTGCCTAATTGAGAGATAAATGTCATTTACCTCAAGATAATATTTTCACAAAAGCACTTAGAAGAGTTTCAGCTCAGTATTCCAAAAGGATCACTGTTGGCCACTATTGTTTATGATTATAATAGTAAAATTTAAAATATACATATATATAGACAGAAACCTCCATATCATTGCTGCTGATTAAAGATTAAGTGTGCGTGTCATAGAATAAGAAAACTGAGAAGAACTTAGCCCTGGTCCAACTGCCTCATCTACACTTAAGAAAAAATACCTGAATAATTGAGGAAAGTTATTTTGCAAAGGGCATGCAACAAATTAGTGGCAGAACAGAAGTAAATCTCAGATCTCCTGATTCCCACCCCAGGGTCATTCTCCTGCAACAGGCTGTTTCCTTACCTATTCGTGGCTATCTCATTATACAGGGGTCCCAGGTTGTCAAGACAAGCAGCTCTGAATAGACTGTTATGAATACATTTACGTCTCACCCCCAACTATGTTTTTAATCAACTAGAACTTAGTTCTAGATTAGTATAAATATACATTCTTTGGTCCATTCTTTTGAAATAATATTGAACTTTACTAAGTTACTTACCGTTTTATCTCACATATTTTATCATTTTCTTCTGTATTTATTTCTCCTTGAATCAGAGAACTTCCCACAAGCATGTTTTCAAAGAGGATCTTCATGTAGTAAGCCTGAGGTCATGTATACCTGAGAATATCTTTATTACATCCTAATACTTATAATAGTTTACATGAATATATCAGAAATATAATTTTTTTTAGCTGGACAACTCCATTATCTTGCATCCAGTGTTGTCATTGAGAAGTCTAATGTCAGCATGATTCTTATTCTTTTTTTATTATTATACTTTAAGTTCTAGGGTACATGTGCACAACATTTGTTTGTTACATATGTATGCCTGTGCCATGTTGGTGTGCTACACCCATTAACTTGTCATTTACATTAGGTATATCTCCTAATGCTATCCACCATGGAATACTATGCAGCCTTAAAAAAGGATGAGTTCATGTCCTTTGTAGGGACATGGATGAAGCTGGAAACCATCATTCTGATTCTTATTCTTTTTTAAGTGATATGATACTTCCCGGTGGAAACTAGAATTTTCTGTTTGCTTTTTATGTACTTAATGTCTATAATGTTTCAGGTGTTCTAACCTGTTCGGCACCCAATGATTTCTCTCAACCTGAAATTCAAGCAAATTTTTGTTTATGCTTTTTCCAAATATTTCTTTTCTTCCAGTTATTTATTTTTTTTCCTTTCTACGGGCACCTTTGATTTGCATGGTGTCACTTCCATTCTATCCTCCATATCACTTGTTTTCTCTTTTATATTTCTAATATTTTTATTACATCTTGATGCTTTTTGAAGGAGTTTCTTAACCTGATCTTATAGCAAACTAATTGTTCAGCCATATTGTAATACATTCATTTATGGAGTTCTTATTTCAACAGCCATATTTTCCTTGCCCAATTTTGCCACTTGATTCTGCTTTTTTAATTCAATCAACAATATTCTTCTATATCTTTTTGAAAATATAAATTAGTAGTGAATGCTTGACTTATTAAGGCCATGAATTTCATTGCATGTGGTATAGCTTATTCACTTGGCAGTCTTTCTTAAAATTATTATTATTATGGTAACAACACTTAACATGAGATGTACTATCTTAACCAATCTTTAAGTGTATAAATACAATACTGTTGACCCTAGGTACAATGCTGATCAGCAGATCTCCAGAACTTACTCATCTTACATAATTGAAACTGAAACTATATACCTGTTGATTAGTAACTTCCCATTTCCCACTCCCACCACAACCTGGCAATCACCATTCCACTCTCTGATTCTACATGTTTGGCTGTTTTAGATACTTCATATAAGTGGAATCATGCAGTATTTGTTCTTCTATGACTGGCTTATTTTATTTAGCATAACATCTTCAAGGTTCATCCATGTGGCGTATTTCAGGATTTGGGTTTTTTTTTTAAGGCTGAATAATATTAGCTTTTTTTTTTTAAGGCTGGACAATAATTTTAAAAGATGTATGTCTATCCATACCTTTTTTGTAGTGTTTCCTGTGGGCTCATATTTCCCTGGTTGGTAATATGAAATGGGAGACACAGCCAAACTCTCATCCCTGGTTATCGTGCCTCTCCTAATATGCTTAAACAAGAAGGGGGCATGCCCCAAAGTGGAAGACCCTGGCTCTACAGCCTGACTCTGCCCATCATTATGTGCACAGCTCCTGCTCCCTGTCCCCAGTGTGAGGTTCCTCTGTTGATTTTAATTTACTAGCCCTCTAATGGGAAGTGGGGTGGAGTGATAAAATACCCAATACCACCACCAATTTGCTGTCTAACGGTTCCTCACCACAGTGAGCACCAGCATGGCCCTGAGGTTGCTGTGGATCCTGGCTGCACTGGGATAGAACTGATGGGGATTTGGGTTTGTTGTTGTTGTTGTTGTTTGTTTGCTTGTTTTTTGAGACGGAGTCTCGCTCTATCACCCAGGCTGGAGTGCAATGGCACGATCTCGGCTCACTGCAGCCTCCACCTTCTGGGTTCAAGCGATTCTCCTGCCTCAGCCTCCGGAGTAGCTGGGATTACAGGCATGCCACCATGCCCAGCTAATTTTTGTATTTTTAGTAGAGACAGGGTTTCGCCACGTTGGCCAGGCTGGTCTTGAACTCCTGACCTCAGGTGATCTGCCCACCCTGGCCTCCCATAGTGCTGGGATTACAGGTGTGAGCCCCCAGGCCCAGCCGGGATTTTTGGTTTTAATGTTTGTTTTTGTTTGGCTTTCTAGAAAAAATCCACTGGTGGAGGGACAAGCATAGGTCCTCAAATAATAGACTGGAAATGGAAAGAAAACCTAGCTCTATAACTCCTCCACTTTATCCTCAGATCCTGGTGCCTCTCCTACCACAGCTACTGTTTTCTCCCATATAAGGATACAGGCACTTTCTCTCTCCCCAGAGCCATCCCAATTTTTAATGTTAAATGCTCAAATCTATACACTTTCTTGTCCCTTCTATGGCATTTCTGCAATTGAGTTTGGGAGAAAGAATTAGAAGTAAACGTTTTTATATCTTTTTTTTTTTTTTTTTTTTTTTTACTTTAAGTGATTTCCTACAAAACGTATGCCATGTTTCCTGAATATGAACTTGGTTCCAAATTTTCTGAGTATTTTTAATTGCATCTGATATGACTTTTGTCTTTAAAAGCTCACATTTTTTTACTTCCATGTCTTTCCTGATGTTTGGCAAATTGCTATTTAACATTTTCTGTTATCTTAAAGTTTATTGTGTTTCAAAAGAGATGTCTAAACGTTGCAGAACTTTCTCCTTAGTTCAGCTAAAACCGGGCTCTTGTCACATGACCAGGAAAGATTAGGCTCGCGGACACACACAGAAGGGTGAGGAAAACGGAATTTACTGGGGGAAAAGGAAAAAGAAAAAACTCTCACCAAAGCAAGAGTCCTGCTAGCAGGTTTCCCGCCTCACAGATTGAAGCCCAGGTCGCCACACAGGAACAGGCTCCTCCCCGCTGCAAATGGCGTGAACTTCTGGAGGCCCCACCCCGTTCTCCCAGTGCAAAGGTGGGCGTTATTCAGAAAGAAACAGTCCGGAAGGGGCGGGCTTCATCCGGGACCAGAAGTCCGGTTTTTCAGCCTTCAGGCTGTTTTAGGCTTGAAGGCAGGGTTTCGCTGGGGACCCTTGGCTGCCTCCTGCCTCTGTCATAAGCATAAACCATAGATTTGGAGGAATGCATGATGAGTCAGAAAAGCCTTCCCATTCTGGGATCTAGTTGAGATTCTCTGTTGGGCTAGGAAGAGAGGGTCTGAGAGAAACAAAATTCCTGTAGAACTTGTGGGTCCCTTGCAAAAAGAAGCTTGGTGAAGAAATGCTAAACTCTCAAACAGAACTGATGAATATAAGAGGGGAACTCAGATCCCTGGGAGACACAGACTTCGGAGGTGAAAGTCTGGGTGTTGTGTCAGCAAAGACTGGCCCATAGCTGCCTCACAGAGTGTCCCTCGCTCTGGTGGAGTCTGAGAGCCACTGAGAAATCCTGGGCAGCCAAGATTGCCATGGAAATTGTCAGGGTCCTAGGTGGTCCCACAGAGTGCCTGGTGGCCTGGTGGCTTGACATGGACTGAGAGTTGCAGGTTCAATTCTTTGGAACCAGAAGGGTCGTAGAAGAAATGAGGAAATTCTAGGAACCTAAAAAACTGTTTTCAGTTAGAAACATGTGACAATTAGCAACCATAATAGACTAATTACAGACAATGGAATGTGAATGAGGATTACTCACAAATGTTGGTCTCTATAAAAGACAAGCCTTGGTACAGCATCACACTCCCATCCCCCGATTCTGGGGAGAAAGACAGGGCATCCCAAATCAACTGAAACTAAGCACTACAGTTTCAGTGGTATGAAGACTCACAATATAATTTTTTTTTCTGTTCTAGAAACTCACATTTCTTCTATCTCATTACCTGTGGTCAGAAATTACCTCATGTGGCTTCAACAGGGCATTCTGTACTAACCATGGTAAGCAATCTGCTCAGTCCCCAAAGCATAGGTTCATGTCTGCCACAAATAGAAAGCCCTTCCTTACACCTCACACAACTTCATCTTCTAATGCCTGAGTGTTGCAAGGGAGCTGGTAGCAGTCTCCCCTTCACTTGAATCCTAATGTAACCATGATTGAACAATCTGGACCATGTGAAAACTCTGCATTTATTTCTGTATAATCACCCATGTAACTATACTGGTCTTCTATATTATACCAAAATGAGAAGAACAAGTCTTGTTAAAAGATATAATTCAGTACAGAATCTAAAACCACCACAGAGTGATGCCTGTCAGTTTGACAAAGCATTTAAGCCCTTACTGGGTTTAATGGCAGGCAATGGCAAATCTCTTAAGGTTTGTAGCAGTGGCTGTCAAGGTGCACATGTTTTTGCATGTAAAGGTCATTTTATTTCTACCTTAACTATTATATAATAATTAACATTTTGTCACTTCCTTTATTTGACATTTTGCATATACTTTACATACATTAATTCATTTAACCTTTACAAAAATCTGTGAGCTAAGGACTATTATCTCCATTGACAACTCAGGAATCTAATGGCAATGAGCTCAAGGCAACAGAGGTATTGATGACCAACCCAGGTCTACAGGCTTCCAAAGCCTATTCTTAACCATTAAGCTATTCTATCATCCCAGTAGGTCTTTTCTCCCCAGTGCAAACTGTCCCAACAAATGTAATTAAAAAGAAAAATATCTGGTCATTTAGGGACACCAGCCATGAAAATGTATTTCTAATTCAGGAAGAGGAGGCGGGGGAGGGCACTCTCTACTAACCATGGTAGGCAATCTGTTCAGTCCCCAAAGCATGAAGTTTGATTTTTCTTTTTATCTGGCGTTTATGTTCAAGGGAATATAAATGTCAGGAATCAAGCATTCCCTCTGGATGGTGGAGTAATAAATAACTTTCATACCATTTTGCACAGATGCTGTGACTAAATTGAGATCAGGAAAGATATAGACAACTATAGCAGCAAACTGATGATGAATCTATTTTTAAAAGCAACTGTTAAATTAGAAAGATTTTTCAAAAAAAAAAGCTCAGAAGGAAATAATTTGGGCACAATTCTAAGAAATTCAAAGGAGATTCAAAGCTAGAATGAATGAACAATCCACTCAGCCCAAAAAGGGCTGAGGTAATCATTTCCCAGTTCTAAATATAATTTTGAATATTTTTGAGGCATGAGGCAAAGGAAAGTTTTATACCTTGGAAGCCTTAAAGTATTAATGGGAATAATAGTAAATATTTCTGAAATAATAAAAACCTTGTGCTCTAAATAAAATATAAAGGGGAGTATCATGTCTGTCTTTTGGGAAACATATCTAAAACCAACATATAAATATTCATCATAAGTTAACTCGATTTAATTCCTTTAGCAAAAATTTTGAACCACTCCAGCTCAGTGATAAAATTCTTGGATATTTTTCCTAAGGACTAACACAAAAATGTCAATAACAACAAATATTCAATGAAGCATTATTTTGTAATAGCAATATATTAGAAATAAAACCAGAAAAGGAAACTAATAATATAAAGGAAACAATTATTTATCAGGTATAATCTGGGTACTTTACTGATGTTATTGTACTTAATAGTAATAATCTAGATATACTTTTCCTAATGAGCAAATAAGTGCAAAGTAGTTAGATTACCAGTCAAAGATTAAACGGTTGGTTAATAAAGGAACAAAGTATAATCTAAACAACATCTAATAAATGGATGGTTAATTATATACACCAATTTAGTATTTTTTCACAAAGTCATTAAAACTAATAGTTCTGAAGACTGTAGAACAGAATGAACAATGCTTAAGATGTAATATTTAGTTGAATATGTACACACACATATACACACACGTAAATGTCTCTGTGCTATAATTAAATATGTAAAATTATATTTACAAATAGACAATGCATAGAACATGAAGACAGATGATATTTGTTATAGTAGTGGCATTATAAATGGCTTTCCTTAATTTTAAAATTCATTATTCAAGAAATACTTATTGAGAGCCTACATCAATGAACAAAAAGTCCCTGTCCTTGTGGAGATCATTTTATAGTAAGGGAGACAAATAATAAATGAATTAATAAATTAATATACTACAAGAAATCAATTAATGATAAATTCTATAAAGAAAAAAAGAAGCAGAGTGCAAGGATAAAAAGATATAGGGTGTGTATTTAGAAACCTTGGTCAAAGAAGGTCTTCCTGACAAGATATTTGCATAGTAAAGTAAGACTGAGTAAGCCACACAGATATATGGAAAAGCATCACAGGCAGGAGAAATAGCATGTGCAAAGGCCCTGGGGCTGAAATGGGATGCCAGATAGACAGTATAAAGATGGGGGGAGGTTCACGTAGAAAGTGAAAACAGGGTAAGAAAAGGGTCACAAAATTATGCCTATACTCTAATAATCCTGTTAAAAAGCACAGGAAAAAACACAGTAAAATAAAAAGTACAATATGTTGGTGATGAGTTATCTTGGTGTAATGTGATTTTTAAGAGTATTAATTCCTAAACCAGATTGTCTGGGTTCAGATCTCAGTTTTGTAACCTCGGAGAATTTGCATAGCCTTTCTGTGCCTCATCTGTAAAGCAAGGCTAATAATCATAGTACCTTTAGCATTGTTGAGAGGTATGGAAGGCAGAATAAGATCCCCATAATGTCCATATCCTAATCCCTGGAACCTGTATGTTACCTTACATAGCAAAGGAGATTTAAGTTTGCAGATGGAATTAAGGTTGCTAATCCGCTAACCTTAAAATAGGAAAATTATCTGAGGTTATTTAGCTGGGCCCACTATAATCAAAAGGATCCTTAAAAGTGAAAGAAGGAGAGAGAAAGGGGGAGTGAGAGAAAGAGATGTGATCACAGAAGCAATGTCTGGCTTTGGGGATGGAGAGAGGAGCCATGAGCCAAGAAACGTGGGCAGCCTCTTGAAGGTGAACAAGGTAAGGAAACATTCTTTCCTGGGGCCTCCAGTAGAAAAAGAAAAAACGCAGTCATGCTGACGCCTTGATTTTAGCCCAGTGAGACCACATTGGGCTTCTGAACTATAGAATTGTAAGATGATAAAGATGTGTTGTTGCAACCCACTAAATTTGTGGTAATTTAGCAGAGCAGTAACAGAAAAGTAATACAAGAAAATTAAGTGAGTTTTTGTGAGCAAAATATTTAGAATCATTCCTGGTGCACGGTGAGCATTCTATAAGCTGTTCTAATATTTAGATGGTGTTTTCTACCATGTTTTCCAATAAACAGTAAATATTTATTTGTTAAATTAAAAAAAGGGGAAAGACTACTTAAAAGGGGAAAACTTTATCATTAGTGTTAATAACTAATACATGAAAGAAAATTTTAATTGCAAAACTAAATTAATAGAAATCTAAAACAAAAATAATGAAACAGAAAAAAAAAACTGTTCTCTATATTAAAAATACCTATTGTTTTTAAGATATGTTCTTCAGTTGCTAACAAAATACTGACAAGTGGCTGGGACTGGAGTAGATTAAAAGAGGTTTTATTTTGGATGTGTGATTTATAGACTATGAGGAAAACCATGAATCCATTTAGAATCCAGATGTGGGTCAGCAATCTGAAGCATGGAGTCCAATAAGTTCCTTTACAGACAAGAATCATAAAAGCTTGGAATTTCACTCCTAGTAAAAGCCTCTAGGAATTTGTGAATTTCGTTTTCATTCCAACAGGAAAGTAACAAATCAAACTGTAGCAAGTCAATCGAGAGCACCCCCTCCCTTAATTCTTGGCTCCATCAGGTCTTCACGGCACTCAAAAATTTCAGTTCCATCCAAACACTTAGCAAGCATCTCCCATATGTATGGCCAGATCCTGTGTTAAGTAGCATTGAACTTAAATACAGTCAGTACATAATCTGTAACTTTTATGGCCAAAAAAATAGTCTCACTATTTTTAAAAATTGGAACATTTACTACTCTTGCTCATTTTTTATTCAAAAATATTTATTGACTGTCCTTCTGAACATATTAAGATATGAAATACTTTCAAATAAACTACATGGTTTCTCAAATAGTTTGTAGAAAGGGAACAGGAAACTTTGTAGCTTTTCTACTTTACTACTTTGGAATCACTTTTAGATATCTAATTATTTAGATGTTTGGCAAAAAAGTCAGAATATTTATAATTCCATAAGAATTATGTAACAAGATGTTTGTCAAGACGTTAGATTTTAAAGGAGTACATTTGCTTTCTTAATTTAATTTGTTTTTATTAAAATAATGCACAAAAAAGCAAATACTTGCCTCTTTCTCAATTCCAACTCCCCAGAATCAGCCACCTTCAATATTTCTGTCTGTTTCTTCTGGTGTTTACTTCCATATTTCTAAATCATTTATTTATATTTTTCCTTTATGATTTTAAAAATTTAATTGAGATCTATTAATTTCTAATATATAAGATGAGAATCTGACTCTTACAACCCTGCCCCTCGCCCTTTTACACACAAATAAATGTATTAACTCACCTTTTCCTAGTCTTCTAAAATTACAACATCACCGTTTTTGGTTTAATCAATGTTTACTGTTCACATTTTATCAATATGTAGAAATAATGTGAGTAAATCAATATAGTGTATTGTAGCTTCATTTTCTTTTTTCTATAACATCTTGCTATCTAGAATTAATAATTTCCACATTTAGTCAAATTGTTTGGTTTACTATGTAACTGTCACTCATTCCCTAACTCTGACAGAGCTGAGTTCTAGCACAACTGAAAGCCCATCAGTTTTGCTTTTTACATTTTTTTCTTGCAAACATCCCTGCTGGAGCCTTCTTTCCTCATGCTCTGAACAGGACCAGTTGCTCTGGAGGTCTGCCGCACCACATTTGTCCTAGACTTTTCTTCCCAACATCCTGGAAATTGCCTTTATCTTGTTTCTATGTTAAAATCTCTGTTTCCAAGACACCTTGACTTCTTCTCTCTTGGAAGATGTCATAACTTTAGGGAAGCACAGTTTTCAGGAGCTTCTTGAGAAGAATCCTTGGGACCTAAAATTGTTAAGAACTTGCAGGTCCAAAAACATCTTTCTACCTTCATGTTTGATTGTTAATTTGGCTGGATATAAAATTCTGATTTATAAATCCATTGTTTTCTAGTTTCTTATATTGTTTGCTGGAGTCTAATCTTACCCTGATTCCCAATCATTTGTATGTAATGATCCCTCCCTCTATCCCTCTATCCCTCCAACCCAGACCCCTGGAGGTTTTTAGATTTTTCCTTTATTTCAGGTGTCCTAAAATTTTTATGGTGATATGCCTTGTTTTAGTTTTCGTTTTTGTTTTTCATCTCCATTTTCTGGTCAATCTTTCAGCCTTTTCTTTGAAACTTAATTCTCATAGTTCTGGGAAATATTTTTAGAAAGGATCCTTAATAATATTTTTTCTTTATTTCTTCTGGTCCCTCTCTTTGGAACTTCTGTTAACTTCTATTATCATATCTTTTGGCAGTCTTCAACAGATCCTTTAATTTTCTTGTCTTTTCTCATCACTTTTGGGAGATATATTTTGAAATATTTTTTCAACTTTATTTTTCAAGCTGTCCACTAAATTTTTAGTTTCTGCTATCACTTTTTAATATCCAAGATCTTTCTTTTTAAATCAATCCATTCTTTTTTATGGGCATGTTTTCTCATTTTGTGTTTCTGAGCATATTTCAAAGCTTCATCGCTTTTCTTTTTTTCTGTTTGTTCAGTGCATTGTTAGAGTCTTTCCTCAAACATTTGATGATTTGTGGATACCTGATTGGAAATTAAGTAGCTCTGTGTGGGACTTACTAACTGATAGGCTTCACTGCAAGATGGGCAGGTATGGACACAGTTGTCTTTTTGAGGGACCATAAAAGTAGTCTCCATAGCACTTCCTCCTTGTGCAAGTTATGCTTCCCAAATGAAAATCTTCCAGGTTCATTGCTTAGGATAAAGGAAATGGTTTTACAAGTTTCACTGTTAGTGTTCAGGAAGCTGAGTGGGGTTGGGTTGGAGATCTCATTTCCATTTGCATATTTACATTTAACATTCTCTGTTTCCAGTAAAGGGACTCCTCTAACTTACCTGCAGGTGTGTGCAGCTTCTCCAATTTGAGGACCTGTGTGCTTTTATCTAGAGAATGTGTTTACTAGCTTGTGTTTACTGTCTAGAGAATGTGATTCATTCTCTCTAGAGTGAACCTCAAATCCTTGGCCAGTGTATGGGGGAACCGTGGCCCCAGGAAAGAAGATCTGGGGATTTAATCACCAATATATATAAATATTTTCAACCAATCCATCTTTTTAAGCCCCATCCTGAGCCTCCTACTTTTCCAGATACCCATGGTCCCAAATTCCTGTGCCTTCCTCAAGTTCTGCAGGATCAATCGGTTTGCTTTCATTGGCTTTTCATACTACAGGCTTGGATCTCTGATCTTTCAGGCCACTTAAGTCAGTTACTTTTAGTTCTTCCAAGTTTCTACTTCCAAATTTAAAAAAAATTATTTGTTACAAGTTTATGCTTTTATGTCCTTGTTAATTTATGCCTCTTAAACTTTCTTTTATTGTCATTCTAGTGAGACTTGGGGGATGAAGCAGAAGAAAACATGTATGTTTATTCTGCCATGTTTATCTGAAACAATCTCTTTTATTTTATAAAATAATTCAATATTCTTTATTATTTTCATAATAATATTTAGAGATTTTGTAAATATGAAGCATTTTCTTAAGTAACTATATAGTGATTGCAAGTAGAGGCATCCTTAGACGCCCGTATTTTTAATTTTCAATATGTAGTAGTTAAAAGTGTAAAAACTGGAAATTAACAGACATAGAATTGAATTATGGTATAGCCACTTACTGTTTGTGTTATCTGAGGCAAGTTATTTAACTTCTCTAGGGTTTTGCTCCATTTTCTATAAATTGGGACTAATAATGACACCTATCACATAGTAAAAATTAAATGAGATAATTCATGTAAACCTTCCAGAACATAGTAAGATGCCAGATGATCATTTTAAATATCCTATAACAACGTTCTGCTTTTACAGGGCAAAGATACTAACTCTTGCTTCTTTTTCTTTTTCTTTTTTTCTCCAGGTTTATTGAAAATGTTACAACATTTCAGAAAGATTCAAACAGCTCCATGTGGTGGATAGTCCAATCTGCAGGTCACTCAGCCTACAGTTGGGATGAATTTCCCAAAGTCCAAACCTTCAGCATTTCTCCAGTATCAAGATCTACTTCAGTGATCTCCTGATCCAAGCCTGAGACCTCAGGAGCATAATTATCTCTCCTTTCTCTCTTCTTCTCCTGCAACCTGATGGAAATACCTCTTACTGGGCCCCTGTGAATCTGCTTCTTCAGATGCGTGACTCAGCCTGCTATCTTGTTGCAGAGCTTCTTGCTGGGGATAATGACAGTCTTCACCCACTTGCTTGTTCATGTGGAAATCATTACCGGGGTGCATGTAATACTTTTCTATGATGACCCAGGCTACCTTCTTCACTGTTTTGGTGTGAAGGCTGCCCATCTTGGCAGGTCCTTGGTAAAAGAGGCCAAACTCTTTATACTTAAAAATTTACTTTGCTCATCTTACAGCCTTTTACATCTAAATATAGTTTCATCAAGTAACATTCTTACAATTATATTCATTTTTTATTAACCCTAATTTTGAACAGCAAATTCACTTTACTAGCATACTGAGGCAATCAATGACATAATTTGGATTTTGCAGTGATTAAATAGAGGATTGGAAGAACATTAAGAGGGGAAAGAGCAAATCAGTAAATTTTAACCTTAGGAGGTAGAATGCTCAGCAAGAGGCCTGGGATATGTAGCTTTCAGGGTTCAGTTATGAATTCAATTATGCACCCCATAATTCTTCATCTAAATCATTAGCTTACAGTCTCAATTGTCATCAGACACAGCAGGCATTTGGAACTTAGGTGCTTTGGGGAGAAGAGCAGACATGGTCTTTCCATTTGGCCAGCATCAGAATCCCTTCCTTTACTTAGGGAATTCCCAAGGCATAAGACAGAACCTATTTCTTGTTGTAGAAGCTAAAATTCCCTGACACTATTATACTTTACCCAGGCTGGCTTGCAAGTAAGGCAAAGGCACATGTCCTAGGCTCTACCAAATAGAGACACACACCCCAGTCTTTGAATTGAGCAATAAGGATGGAAAACTAAACAAAACAAAATACCACAAACAACTGTTGCTGGTGGCAACAATAGTAAGGATGACCAAGTCTGTAAAGTTTCAGTGGCAACCATGCCAGTGCTAGTACCCAGCACCCAGTGTCCAGCAGTATAGACAGGGCCAGCTGCAGCATTCATGCTCTGTGGAAGCAACGATGTTGTCCCTACAAGAATAGATGGATGATGTGACTAGCCAGGGCATTTCTCCTGTCTGCACAGCTTCAAGCTAGTTCTCCATCATTACTACTGATTCCATCCGCTTCACAGCATCCTTTCCCCACCACAATTTCTGATTTATTATCTGTTAGATTTGGAAACTGATCACATGAAACTGCAAAAATATCAAGTGTCTAAAATTTTTACATAAAACATGAATTACCTCTAGTTCCAAACTCATGAATTTATTAGTGTCCCTTTCAATCAAAAATAAAAATAAATTCTTTTTAGGAAAGAAAGCAGCTGCCATATCCCATTCTCAGAACACATCATTTAATTATCTTGGTCATAAACATTTCCAAGGTGAGAATTTATATTTCCCTCCCGTAGTTTCTGATGATCAAAAACCCCTTGTGTTCTTTATTGAAAGGGTTTGGTCTTGCGGCTGTTGGTTTGTCCCATCCAACGTTCATCATCTTCAGCTTTGCTTCTAAAGACATTTCCTCTGGTTCATTAAAAGCTGCTGCTTCTGAACACAGTTCTGGAATGATAGAACAGTCTCTAGACTTCCTTGGTCCTAATGTGATGGATATGACTAAGGCTTCCTTTGTTGTAGGACTGCCTATGGCAAATCCAAACTTAATGGTCTTTATAAACTTCGCTGGAAAGTCTCCACTTCTTCTTCAGTTGGTTGCTTCTCAGTGCTATGACCACAGTATTTTTCTCCATTCACCCTTGTTTTTATAAATTTATTTGCATCTTCTTCAAGCTTTAGTGAAGTTGAAACAACTTAACCAACATGAGCTATTTTTACTAAGAAGATTAATGGGAACAATGGCTTCAGAAAGCATTGTTATAAGGAAGTTACCTCTGCAGTTCTCACCTCCTAATGCAACAATACTGTCCCACCATTAGAGAGTATACAACAGAAATTGAAATTGTGTGGTAAGAGAAGCACTGTGAATGAACTCTGGTCACCCCAGCTCACTGTGTTTTCTCTGGCTTCTCCTTTTTACCATCCCATCACCATTTTCCTCTCCACTTCCTCTTTATCAGCCTAACTCTTGAATTCAGTTCTTTGCTCATATCAACCAGAGTTGGTCTCAGTGTAGCACTACAAACCCTTATTGATATGATGGAGATGATGAAAGAACTGGAACTATACTACCAGCTTCTTACAAAAAAAATTTTACTTTCAAAAATGACTTGCTCAATATTTTTCACAGAACAAATATGTTTCCAAATTAATATGAAGCTTGATTTCCAGCTTCATAGGAACAATCTTTCCTACTTTCAGGACCTTCTAGTGTAGTCTCCTCATTAGATCTGTGAAAACACCACTTTTCTGAAAGGACTAGCTCTATCATAAGTGTACTTTGCTTTTTAACATAAATTTATTATTTCATTATTCTAGATTTATGTGAACACAACACAGTGAACTATTTGAATGGACATTATAATGCAATACTAAGGATACAAGTAAAACATTTAATCCACTGCCTGACATACAGTGTAGTAGTACCTACTAACTTTTAGATTTCTTATCATGAACATACATGTA
Source organism: Homo sapiens (assembly GCF_000001405.40). Lineage (NCBI taxonomy): Eukaryota > Metazoa > Chordata > Mammalia > Primates > Hominidae > Homo > Homo sapiens. The sequence goes on from NC_000011.10 coordinate 111,108,283, forward strand.
AAGTGCTATGCAACTATCCTCAATGGTTGTATTAAGTTCTTAGGGGTAGAACTAAATTCTTCTCATCATTTAAGACTCAGAATTGTTGCCTCTTTTACCAGAAAGCCATCCCTGATCTTCTCAGGCTGGATTAGGCACCCATACTTCATATTTCTATAACCTTGTACATAGGTCTTTCTTTGCACATAACCAAAAGATATTCCAGTTATGTATTATGTATCTGGTTTCCCCATGAGGCTGTGAACATCTTAATAGCATACAGTGCCTAGTACATAGGCAGCACTCAGTAGCATTTTGATAGATGATTGAATGCACTCCAGAATAGAAACAGAAGGGAGCTTATTGCATCCAGGGAGTTGCACATGGTTCCGCTGGCTGTGGCATTAATTTCAGAGAGTGCAAATGGTGTTCACCACGCATGGATGGTGACATAAACCATGCAAAGGAGCTTGGGTTTTATTCTGAGGCCAGTGACTTCTTTTCCAGAAGGAAGGGATAATGATCACATTGGTGTTTTTGAAAACTCATTCCGGGTCGCAGTACAGAGAAGAGATGAAAGGAGACAGGACTCCAGGGAGAGGCTGGAAAGTTGCTTTAGTATCTCATTCTCAAGAAAGAAACTGGAGCCAAAATGATAAAATCAACAATGGAAAGAAATTAATTACAGAGATATTGAATAGGTAAATCTGACAGAACTTGATGACCCATTAAATATTGAGGAATCAAGGATGTCTCTAAGTTTAAAGTTTGGGAAACTGAGCGAATAGTGCAGAGAGAAGAGAACAGGTAGCCTTAGGAGGGAAGGTTGCTATTTTAGAACCATTATGTTTGAGAGGCCTCAGGAACATGTGAGTAACCAAGTCCAGTAATTGGTTATTTAGGTTTATAGATCAAAAGACAGTGTTAGGATAGGGTTATCAAATTAAATTCTAAAATCTGTTCAAGTAATATACAGGCTAAAAGTTATGATACTCTGTAGAATACCAGGAAATATAAAAAATAAGCCTACCAATAATAAAGTGTTTAAAAATTAAATAGATACTAGCTTATATGATATTAAACAAGTAGCATCAGACACAATTTTAAAATACATATGTGGGAGAAAAATCTATTATTCTACCCATCAGCTTAATTTTTTTCATGAAATCTGGGGAAAGTTCAACATTGTTTTATCTCAACAGCCACTGCATACTACATAAGTTCATATAAGACCACTATACTAAAAGTACTGGACTGCTAATATTGACAAGCCCACTTTAATTTTTTTTAAAAAAACCTTATTTCTAAAGTAAATAGATGTTAAGAGTGCCTGTCTATGTTTCCAAATGGTTGAAGGTAACATCTTACTTTATATGCACCCCAAAATCATCTTCACTAGTTTTGTTTATTTCAATGGTCAATATTTAGTAATTTTAAAAGCATCCAACCCAACTAATAGTTTTTTTGCACTCTGGTTTCACGATTATTTCAAAAGGAAAGGATGCTAAAAATCCCTTTTCTTCCTCATAGCCACTCTTTTTGTGCCACTTATAAAAAGAACCACTATTAAGACTATATGTGAGCTGAAGGGAACATCACTATCTCATGTATAGTAGTGGACATATACCCTTGCCAGTCATTGAAACTTGTAAAAAGATAGGCTTCAAAAAATCTACTAAGTCATATATTTAACATGCATACAAATTACCTGGGTTGCCTGACCAGTTCCCTTCCTTGCCCTGTATTTCATATAAATATACAGTTCTGGATGAATCATGATGCCTGAAAAGGCTCAGTAGTGAACTTGCTTCCCCACTGGCCTACAAAGAACAGTCTCCTCTCATTGTTGGTTGAGATTTGCAAAGCAATGCACTTGAAACCTAAGTAATCTTATTCTGCTGTCCTTAACTGATTGGGCCCAAGATCACAGGCCGATGCCAACGGCAAGGGCAGCCTGTTAGGGATGCATCATGACAGATGGAAAACAACCAACCCCCAAGTCAGAGCAATATATGCCCTAAAATGTAAAAGGCCAAGTCTCAAATGGAGCAAATTCAAATACAGGTAAGATTCTAACTAAGTTGCTAAAAAGTCTAACTTAGTCCAAAGCATAAACATGGAGCAGATTCTTGGGGCAAAATCAATTTCATTTGAATAGCCCAGGATATGGAAGACTCTTAACTCTACTTTCTGGTTCCAGCAACTAGTCTTTCTAATTGGAAGAGTTTGCTCTTCATATCTTTTGAAATGCAACCCACTGAGGTGCCTGCTTGTACTTGCACCTAAACTTACCCCTCTGTGTTCTTTCACTCTTAGGACAATGTCATGCAATTAGAAAACTCTGGCCTGGAACAATTTGCATCTTCCCGGGCAAGTCTGTGTTCCCATTTCTAAGGAGAGAATTGAACTGGACGGTCTTTATATGAGTCTATTTGATGAGGCAACAGATTCAGATCTGCTTCCTGTCTGAAGAGTGCAGTGTAGTAGGTAGAATATTGCCCACCCCCACAGACCCAAAGCTTGTCCACTGCCTAATTCCCCAAATCTATGAATATTTTACCATATATTGCAAAAGGGACTTGGCAAAGGCAATTAAGTTAAGGATCTTGAGATAGGGAGGTTATCCCGGACTATCTGGGTGGGCCTAATATAATCACAAGGGTCTTTGTAAGAGGGAGACAGGAGGATCAGAGTCAGAGGGGGAGATGAATCAGCATAGATTGGTGTGGTGTGACCACAAGCCAAGGAAGCTGGCAGTCTCTAGAAACTGGAAAAGTCTAAAAATGGATTTTTCCCAGGAGCCTCTGGAAGGAAGACACCTTGATTTTAGTCCTGAAAGGCCTATTTCTGACTTCTGACCTCCAGAAATGTGCAATAATAGATTTGTGCCGGGTTAAGTCACTAAAAGTATGGTACATTTAGTGCAATAATCTGGGAAAAGGTGGAAAAGATTTTTGTCTGTGCAGAAAGTAAGGATCTATTTCAAAAAGATGATGCTCTAGAAAAGTAGCTGATATTTTTTGGGAGAGGCAGGAATGAGATGTTGTTCTACGTAAGCTGGCATGAAGCAGAGAAGAAAAACCAGGCAATGCTTCATACTAGCTGAGTTTTGTTAACAATGATGGTCTCCTCTTGCAATGATACTAAATAATACTTTTAAACTTCTATAAATGTACACTTTCCATTATATTCAAAGATGATAATCAAGGATGGAACTACTCTGCGTAAGTATCACCCCATACACATACAAATGCCATATCACTAAAGGTATTATTATTCATTCTTTCTTGCATTCATTTATTCCACAAATATCTATTAAGCACTTCTGTGCTTAATATTTCTTAATATTTCTTAATATTTCTCTTCACCTATGCTAGGTGAAGAGGAATAGAATGATAAAATAATAATAATGATAATAATTTCATTGTTCTTACAAACTAGTATGGAAGATGATTATTAAAAGCATTAGGAAAAGGAAGGAAAAGGTTTTTAGGAGCTCTCTTTCTACAGACACACACACACACACACACACACACACACACACACACACACACACA